>NT_187614.1:2557399-2877074 GCF_000001405.40 Homo sapiens | reverse complement strand
AAGCTTTTCAACAAAACTGAGCTGAGGAAATAGCATGTAATACCGTGGGAAAAGAGAATACTCACCTTAAAGGAAAACTGGGGGAGCGGGGCCTAAATGCACACAAACTGCCCACAATCGGTTATCCAGTCTCCTCCCCTTCACTTTCCAACTCCTCTTGCATAGTCAGTCTGGTCAACCTCCTCTGGGGCCAAGCAAGCAACTTCCCCCACGGCCTTAAGGGCCCACCGGTCAACCCGGGGTGAGTGGAGACAATAGGGTTTGTGTCGCAGGGGTCGTTGACATCACGTAAGAATGCGCAGGGGTGTCCCCATCTAGGGTCCTCATCCCCCACCAGAAAGGCCCTCCGAGGCTACGGTGGTTGGGATGGCGTACCTGAGCGAGTGTCGCCTGCGACTGGAGAAAGGCTTTATCTTGGACGGGGTGGCTGTGAGCACCGCTGCCCGCGCTTATGGGCGCTCTAGGCCCAAGCTGTGGTCGGCGATTCCGCCCTACAACGCGCAGCAGGACTACCACGCCCGCAGCTACTTCCAGAGTCACGTGGTTCCGCCCCTTTTGCGGAAAACTGATCAGGTATAGGAGCTTCCCGGAAGACCCCACACACCTCCCTAAATCTTCACTCCAGCGTTCTCACCACAAAGAAGGCTCCGCCACTTTCACCTCCTCGGTTTACTTTCTTTTCTTTTTTAAATTTTTATTTATTATTATTATTTTGAGACAAAGTCTCGCTCTGTCGCCCAGGCTGGAGCGTAGTGAGTGGCACCATCTTGGCTCACTGCAACCTCCGCCTCCCGGGTTCAAGCGATTCTCCTGCCTCAGCCTCCCGGGTTCAAGCGATTCTCCTGCCTCAGCCTCCCGAGTAGCTGGGGTTACAGGCGCGCCACCACGCCAGACTAATTTTTATATTTTTGGTAGAGACGGGGTTTCGCCATGTTACAGGTGTGAGCCTGTAATTATAGGGTCTGATTCTCGCCCAGGCTGGAGTGCGGTGGTGCCATCACGGCTCACTGCAGCTTCCACCTCCCAGGGTCAAGCAACCTTCCCACCTCAGCCTCGCGATTAGCCGGGACTACAGGCTCGCGCCATCACGCCGGGCTAATTTTTTTTTTTTTTTTTTTTTTTTTTTTTTTTTTTTTTTGTAGAGAGGGGGTCTCGCCATGTTACCCAGACTGGTCTTGAACTCCTGGGCTCACGCTATCCTCCCGCCACCGCCTCCCAGTTTTCTTAACGCAGCCCGAGGACTGGAGGAAAGGGAGGACAGGTGTTGAGCGCAAGCTCCCTGAGCTCACAGAATGGCCTTCCAGCCCTGAATTTGAGAATAGACTCATTCCAGGTTTCTGCAAGGCAAGGGGATAGGGCTCAAAGCCAGCTTCTCCCAAACCAGTCGGTGTCTTTGTCTTTTGTGACGTCACAGACCCGCCCTCTAGGGTGACCTCACACCGCAAATTCTCTAAATACGCAAAAATCCGTGTGACCTCAGTGAGCAAGACAAAGGGAATTGATTTGACCTGCAGGGCGAGACGCCTTCCTCCTGTGACATCATAGTGGCAGGGCATGGGGCTTGCTCTCCGGGTTCTTTGGTCTGATGGGAGGGACACCTCTCAAACCTCTGCGGACCTCAGTTCCTCCCCCTGGCCTTTTCCCTCCTAGGTGTAGGCCCCTTCCCAGCAGAGTTCTCCTCCACCAACCCCCCAGATCAAAGATTCCGAGACTGTTTGCTGATGGTTCAATTTTTCCCCCAACATTTTGCTTCCAGTATTTGTGTTTCTACGTATAAGCGGTGTGGGGAAGAGACAGGAAGACTCATGGGGTTATTCTGTGAGCAAATCTTCGGGATTTGTGTGTGTGTGTATAGTCCCAAATGTTTGTTTGCATAGGTCTGTGCAGTGCATGTATATGGACATACATGAGTCACACATGTGTTGACTCATGTAATTTTTTTTTTAATTTTTTTTTGAGACGGAGTCTCGCTCTGTCGCCCAGGCTGGAGTGCAGTGGCAGGATCTCGGCTCACTGCAAGCTCTGCCTCCTGGGTTCACGCCATTCTCCTGCTTCAGCCTCCCAAGTAGCTGGGACTACAGGTGCCCGCCACCACGCCCGCCCGTCTAATTTTTTGTATTTTTACAAAAAATAGTAGAGACGGGGTTTCACTGTGTTAGCCAGGGTGTTCTCGAACTCCTGACCTTGTGATCTGCCTGCCTCGGCCTCCAAAAGTGCTGGGATACAGGTGTGAGCCACCGTGCCCGGCCCAATTTTTCTTTTCTTTTCTTTTCTTTTTTTTTTTTTTTGAGACAGGGTCTTGTTCTGTCACCCTGGCTGGAGTGCAGTGGCATAATTTTGGCTTACTGCAACCTCTGCTTTCCGTGTTCAAGCGATCCTCCCACTTCAGCCACTCTAGTAGCTGAGACTACAGAGACAGGGTTTCACCATGTTGCCCAGGCTGGTCTTAAACTCCTGAGCTCAAGTGTTCTGCCCATCTCGGCCTCCCAAAGTGCTGGGACTATAGGCATGAGCCACCATGCTGGCATCGACTCGTAATTTTACGACAGAAGGAACCAGAGTCTGGGGAGGGGAAAAGGAAGAACTTGAGTATTTAAAAGGTTGAAAATGATAGGGTATACATATTTTGAAAATGCTTTCTTTCTTTCCTTTTTTTTTTTTTTTTTTTTTGAGACAGAGTCTCACTCTGTCATCCAGGCTGGAGTGCAGTGGCGTCATCTCAGCTCACTGCAACCTCTGCCTCACAAGTTCAAGCAATTCTCCTGCCTCGGCCTCCTGAATAGCTGAGATTACAAGCGCCCGCCACCACACCCAGTTAGTTTTTTGTATTTTTAGTAGAGACGGGGTTTCACTATGTTGGCCAGGCTGGTCTCGAACTCCTGACCTCAAGTGATCCACCTGCCTCAGCCTCCCAAAGTGCTGGGATTACAGGCGTGGGCCACCGCACCCGGCCTTGAAAAAGGCTTTCTAATTTTCTTTTTTGAGACAGAGTGCAACTCTGTCACACAGGCTGGAAGTGCAGTGGCACAGCTCACTGCAGCCTTGAACTGCTGGGCTCAAGCAATCCTCCAGTCTCAGCCTCCTGAGTAGCTGGGACTATAGGCGTGTGCCACCATGCCCAGCAGCTAATCTTTTATTTTATTTTATTTTATTTTTGAGGTGGAGTCTCGCCCTATTGCCCAGGCTGGAGTGCAGTGGCACGATCTCAGCTCACTTCAACCTCTGTCTCCTGGGTTCAAGTAATTCTCTTGCCTCAGCCTCCTGAGTAGCTGGGATTACAGGCATGAGCCACTACACCTGGCTAATTTTTGTATTTTTAGTAGACACCGGGTTTAGCCATGTTGGCCAGGCTAGTCTCCAACTCTTGACCTCAGGAGATCCTCCAGCCTTGGCCTCCCAAAGTGCTGGGATTACACTGCTCCCAGCCAATCTGTTTAATTTTTAAAAGTATTATTTAATTATCAAAACCACCATTTGTGGTAGGTATTATTTTCATTTAAATAAAGATAACATTTATTAAACTTTACTATGCCAGGCCCTTTATCTGAACAAAATCACTTAAGTCTCACAGCAAGCCAGGCACAGTGGCTCAATCCTGTAATCCCAGCACTTTGGGAGGCCGAGGCGGGTGGATCACTTGAGTTCAAGAGTTTGAGACCAGCCTGGCCAATATGTGAACCCTGTCTCTACTAAAAATACAAAAATTAGCCGGGCATGGTGGCGCGTGCCTGTAATCTCAGCTACTCAGGAGGATGAGGCAGGATAATTGAACCCAGGAAGCGGAGGTTGCAGTGAGCCGAGATGGCAACACTGCACTCCAGTCTGGGTGACAGAGTAAGACTGTGTCTCAAAAAACAAACCTCACAGCAATACTCCTTTTACCGATGGGAAAACTGAGGCCCAGAGAAGCTGTGTAATTGGCCCAAGGTCACAAAGCCTGTTAATGGTTGAGCTGGAGTTAGAACCCAGCCTGTCTGGCAGCAGAAACTGAGCCTTCAGCTGCCAAGCTCAACTGCCCCTCCCGGAGAGGCAATAGGTTCTTCTTTTTCTTTTTCTTTTTTTCTTTTTTTTTTTTTTTAGATGGAGTTTGGCTCTTGTTGCCCAGGCTGGAGTGCAATGGCAGGATCTCGGTTCACTGCAACTTCTGCCTCCGGGGTTCAAGCAATTGTACCGCCTCAGCCTCCTGAGCAGCTGGGATTACAGGCGCCTGCCATCATGCCCAGCTAATTTTTTGTATTTTTGGTAAAGATGGGGTTTCACCATGTTGGCAAGGCTGGTCTCGAACTCCTGGCCTCAGGTGATCCACCCACCTTGGCCTTCCAAAGTGCTGGGATTAGAGGCCTGAGCCACTGCACCCGGTCTGGTTCTTAAATATATTTAATCTGTCTGCACCAGTTACCTAAGGCTCTGACCTCTTCCCTATCCCCACAGCAAACCCCAGGGCAGTTTGCACTGTGTCCCCCTCAGCATTGTGGCTGACAGTGTTCTTGCCCACTTTCTCTTGCCCACTTTCAGGATCATGGCGGTACAGGAAGGGATGGCTGGATAGTAGACTACATCCACATCTTCGGGCAAGGACAAAGATACCTCAACAGGAGAAATTGGGCAGGGACAGGCAAGTGCTGCCTCCATTTCTAGCCTCATCATGGTTCCTGGGCCATAGCAAGGCCTGGTTGAGGGGAAGAGGCAAAGGGACTGCATCCTTCCAGCTTTTCTTCACATACATGAGCAGATGGTGCCACAGTGCCCCCTAATATTAGTTAATAAGCACCAGTACTGTATGTCAGACCTCATTTTTTTTTTTTTTGAGACGTGGTCTCACTCTATCACCCAAACTGGAATGCATGAAATGCAGTAGCACGGACAGGTGCAGTGGCTCACGCCTGTAATCCCAGCACTTTGGGAGCTGAGGCGGGTGGATCACTTGAGGTCAGGAGTTCCAAACCAGCCTGGCCAACCTGGTTGAACCCTGTCTCTACTAAAAATACAAAAAAACAATTAGCCAGGCGTGGTGGCTCGCACCTGGAATCCCAGCTACTTGGGAGGCTGAGGCAGGAGAACTGCTTGAACCCGGGAGGCGGAGGTTGCAGTGTGCCAAGATCGTGCCACTGCACTCCAGCCTGGGCGATGCAGCGAGACTCCATCTCAAAAAAAAAAAAAAAAAAAAAAAGAAAGAAAGAAAGAAAGAAATGCAGTAGCACAATTACTACTCACTGCAGTCTTGACCTCCTGGGCTTGCGCAATCCTCCCACCTCAGCCTCCTGAGCAGTTGGGCCCACAGGTGTGCACCACCACACTCAGTTAATTTTTTATTTTTTGTGGAGATGGAGTCTCCCTATGTGGCCCACGCTGGTCTTGAACTCCTAGGCTCAAGTGATCCTCTGGCCTCAGCCTCCCAAAGTGCTGGCATTACAGACATGAGCCATTTGTTGGGCACTTTTCACCCTCACACTAACCCCATGGCACAGGTAGGAAAACAAGTTTCTTGAGTTAAAGTAATTTGGCAAGAGGGCTGAGCTGGGATTAATAGTCTGCTCTTCCTGGCCTGGTGCAGTGGCTCATGCCTGTAATCCCAGCACTTTGGGAGGCCGAGGCAGGCGGGTCACGAGGTCAGGAGTTCGAGACCAGCCTGGCTAACATAGTGAAACCCCGTCTCTACTAAAAATACAAAAAATTAGCCGGGCGTGGTGGCAGGCACCTATAATCCCAGCTACTTAGGAGGCTGAGGCAGGAGAATCTCTTGAACCCGGGAGGCAGAGGTTGCAGTGATCCGAGATTGCGCCATTGCACTCCAGCCTGGGCGACAGTGCAAGACTCTGTCTCAAAAACAAACAAACAAAAAGATTCTGCTCTTCCCAACTCTGAAGCCCCTGTTCCCCTCACTGCTGCATCCTGCTCATTTTCCAGGCCCAGGTTAACAACAATGGGAAAGAGTTGAGAGATATTTTTCTAACAGGGTAAACCCTCCTCCCAGCCTGGCTCCACCATCCTGGGCCACTCCTCTAGTCACATGATACTTTGTGCCATTTGGCTCAATTGATCTTGATCTCATCCATTTTTTCCACATGGGTCAGAGGCAAGGGTGAGATTTTTCTCATTTCTTGTGGGAGAAAGGCAAGCTTTGCCAAGCCCAGAATTTCTGGCCCTTCCTGTCCCAGCACAAACCATTCACAGTTTTCCTGCAATTATTCCTGGTGCGGGGTTTTATTTCTAGGAAGCCTTCTGCCCCTCAACCTCACCAGCCCTTGGCTTTTCAGCCCAGAGTCTCAGGACACTTGTGGATTGCGTGTTCAGCATGGGGAATGCAAGTGACTACGCCTGGTTGGCATCCCATACCACACCCAGGGGAATGGGGAAGCCAAGAGGTGGGCTGAATGCAGGCTCAGGCCTCTCTCTCCTTGTCCCCAAGGGCATTCTCTCCAGCAGGTGACTGGGCATGACCACTACAATGCTGATCTGAAACCGATCGATGGGTTCAATGGAAGGTTTGGCTACCGCAGGAACACTCCAGCCCTCCGTCAGAGCACGTCCGTCTTCGGAGAGGTCACCCACTTCCCTCTGTTCTAACAGCATCTTTTCCCTTCATAGCCATCGACCTGAATTTCTAAGACAAATGTTTAGATGAACTCTTAGTGTTATTTTACGTTAAAAAAATTAATTTGTGTCTCCACGTGTGCTGTTTCTTCCCTGAGATTAGAGGATGGAGCCAGTTCTACCCTCAGCTTCTCTTCCCTCTGGAGAGAAGGTGAGAGGAGAAAGGGCTTCTCAGGCCTACGCCCTTGCACTCCATACCAACGAGTGCCAGGTTTGAAAGGAGGGGCTTCAGTTCTCCCCTACCAGTGGGATAAGAAGGAGCCACACTACTCAACCTCAATAAAGCACTTCCCCAGCTATCAGCAGGGCCCCAGGTCAGAGCTGGCTATTGTTTCCATCAAGAACAGAGCAAAGGGCCGGGCGCTGTGGCTCACGCCTGTAATCTCAGCACTTTGGGAGGCCAAGGCAGGTGGATCACAAGGTCAGGAGATTGAGACCATCCTGGCTAACACTAAAACCCCGTCTCTACTAAAAATACAAAAAAATTAGCCGGGCTTGGTGGCGGGCACCTGTAGTCCCAGCTACTCGGGAGGCTGAGGCGAGAGAATGGCGTGAACTCGGGAGGCGGAGCTTGCAGTGAGCCGAGATCGCGCCACTGCACTCCAGCCTGGGCAACAGAGCAAGACTCCGTCTCAAAAAAAAAAAAAAAAGAACGGAGCAAAGGCCAGGCTCCGTGGCTTACGCCTGTAATCCCAGCACTTTGGGAGGCCGAGATGGGAGGATTGCTTGAGCTCAGGCAGGTGGATCACTTGAGACCAGCCTGGGCAACACGACGAAACCCTGTCTTTACTAAACATATATATATGTTTGTGTGTGAGTGTGTGTGTGTGTGTGTGTGTGTATACACATATGTTTATGTATATATATATATGTTTATGTATATATATATGCATATAGAGAGAGAGAGAGAAGGAGAGAGAGACTCACTCTGTTAGCCCAGGCTGGAGTGCAGTAGTGTGATCTCAGCTCACTGCAACCTCTGCCTCCCGGGGTTCAAGCAATTCTCCTGCCTCAGCTTCCCTAGTAGCTGGGATTACTGGTGCCTGCCACCATGCCCAGCTAATTTTTTTGTATTTTTAGTGGAGGCGGGGTTTCACCGTGTTGGTCAGGCTAGTCTCGAACTCCTGACCTCACCTCGGCCTCCCAAAGTGCTGGGATTACAGGCGTGAGCCACCTGCCCGGCCCAGGATGTCATTTTTCAAGTGTTCCCTTTCAGTTTATTGGTGGCCAAGGGAAAAGCCAAAGCAGATGATGGATAATTAAGAAGGTGGGGCTTTAGAACACAAAGCTTGCCAGAACTCGTGTGGGTGGAACTTGATTGTATTGAGTCACCGTAAGTGGACACGGAAGAAGCTTATTACAGGTAGAGGGGGTAGGGCTCAGGGATAGAGCATTTGACTGCAGATCAAGAGGTCCCCGGTTCGAATCTAGGTGCCCCCTTCTGTGGTGTTTTCTCACTTCCACTCCATTTAACAGTAAATACTGTCAGCCACAGTATCACCTGAAAAGATGAAGCAACTTTCAACTTGCTCTTGTGCTGAAATTGTTCCTCCCACATTCCAGCTGACCTTTAGGACAAAAAGCCCATCTGGGACCTCATTTGTCTTCAATTAAGACCAAGTCCCTGAGGAGATTCTAAATCTGTGAGTGAGTCTGACAGAGCTGTGAACACAATTTGGTAATTGGGTGTGTGTCAGAGTATAGATAAAAATGCACGTACTTTTGAAAACTTAGTACATGCAAAGCTGCCTCGAATTAAAACATGAAAGAAGGGCCAGGGCCAGGCGCGGTGGCTGACGCCTATAATCCCAGTGCTTTGGGAAGCCGAGGCGGGTGAATCACGAGGTCAGGAGTTCGAGACCAGCCTGGCCAACATGGTGAAACCCCCGTCTCTACTAAAAATACAAAAAATTAGCCGGGTGTGGTGGCACGCACCTGTAATCCCAGCTACTCGGGAGGCTGAGGCAGGAGAATCACTTGAACCCGGGAGGCAGTGGTTGCAGTGAGCCGAGACCGCACCATAGCACTCCAGCCTGGGCAACAGAGTGAGACTCTGTCCAGAAAAAAAAAAAAAGTTCAAGACCAGCATGACCAATATGGTGAAACCCTGTCTCTACTAAAAATACAAAAAATTAGCCGGGCGTGGTGGTGCACGCCTGTAATCCCAGCTACTTGAGAGGCTGAGGCAGGAGAATCGCTTGAACCTGGGACGCAGAGGTTGCAGTGAGCTGAGATCGCGCCATTGCACTCCAGCCTGGGCGACAGAGCGAGACTTTGTCGAAAGAAAAAAAAAAAGGCTTGGTGCGGTGGCTCACGCCTGTAATCCCAGCACTTTGGGAGGCCAAGGCGGGTGGATCACGAGGTCAGGAGATCAAGACCATCCTGGCTAACACGGTGAAACCCTGTCTCTACGTAAAATACAAAAAATTAGCCGGGCATGGTGGTGGGCGCCTGTAGTCCCAGCTACTGGGGAGGCTGAGGCAGGAGAATGGCGTGAACCCGGGAGGCGGAGCTTGCAGTGAGCCAAGATCGCACCACTGCACTCCAGCCTGGGCGACAGAGTGAGACTCTGGGAAAAAAAAAAAGAAAGAAAGAGAGAAAAGGAAAGAAAGAGAAAGAAAGAAAAGAAGGAAAGAAAGAAGGAAGGAAGAATAGAAAGAGAAATAAAGAAAAGAAGGAAGGAAAGACAGAAGAAAGGAGAGAGAAGGAAAAGAGAGAGAGAGAGAGAAATGCCGGGTGCGGTGGCTCACGCCTGTAATCCCAGCACTTCAGGAGTCCGAGGTGGGTGGATCATGAGGTCAGGAGTTTGAGACCAGCCTGACCAACATGGTGAAACTCCGTCTCTACTAAAAATATAAAAATTAGCCGGGCATGGTGCCGTGCACCTGTAATTCTAGCTACTTGGGAGGCCGAGGCACCAGAATCGTTTGAATCTGGGAGGTGGAGATTGTGTGAGCCGAGATTGCACCAGCCTGGGCAAAAAGAGTGAGACTCTCTCTCCTAAAAAAAAAAAAAAAAAAGAGGCCGAAGCAGTGGCTCACGCCTGTAATCCCAACACTTTGGGAAGCCAAGGCGGGCTGATCATGAGGTCAGGAGATCAAGACCATCCTGGCTAACACGGTGAAACCCCGTCTCTACTAAAAATACAAAAAAATTAGCCAGGCGTGGTGGCGGGTGCCTGTAGTCCCAGCTACTTGGGAGGCTGAGGCAGGAGAATGGCATGAATCCGGGGGGCGGAGCTTGCAGTGAGCCGAGATCGCGCCACTGCACTCCAGCCTGGGTGACAGAGTGAGACTCCATCTCAAAAGAAAAAAAAAAGAAAAGAAGGAAAAAAGGAAGGAAGAAGGAAAGCAAGAAAAGGAAAGAAGGAAGGAAAGATAAAGAAAGAAAAGGAGAGAAAGATGGAAGGAAAGAAAGAAAAGAAAGAAAGAAGGAAGAAAGGAAAGAAAGAAGAAAGAGAGAAAGAAAAGAAGGAAAGAAAGTAGGAAGGAAGGAAAGAAAGAGAGAAAGAAAATGAAGGAAAGAAGGAAGGAAAGAAAAGAAAGAGAGAGAAAGAAGGAAGGAAAGAAAGAAAGAAAAGGAAGGAAAGAAGGAAGGAAGGAAAAAAGAGAGAAAAGGAGGCCAGGCGCGGTGGCTCACGCCTGTAACCCCAGCACTTTGGGAGGCCGAGGCAGGCGGATCATGACGTCAGGAGATTGAGACCATCCTGACTAACACGGTGAAACCCCGTCTCTACTAAAAATACAAAAAATTAGCTGGGTGTGGTGGTGGTGGATGCCTGTAGTCCCAGCTACTCAGGAGGCTGAGGCAGGAGAATGGCGTGAACCCAGGCCACTGCACTCCAGTCTGGGCGACAGAGCAAGACTCCCTCTCAAAAAAATAAAATAAAATAAAATAAGATGAAAAAGAATTGCTTATTGCTTAAATGGAAGGGGCATATGTCACATTCTGGGTGGTGTACTTCAGCTTTACATCTTTTTTTTTTTTTTTTTTTGAGAGAGGGTCTCGCTCTGTCACCCAGGCTGCAGTGTAGTAGCATGACCACGGCTCACTGCAGCCTGAAACTCATGGGCTCAAGTAATCCTCCTGCCTCAGCCTCCCCAGCAACTGGGACTACAGGCATATGCCACTACACCTGGCTAATTTTTTTTTTTTTTAACATAAGTAGAGAGGAGGTCTTGCTTTGTTGCTCAGGCTGGTCTCCAACTCTTGGGCTCAAGTGATTCTCCCACCTCAGCCTCTGAAAGTGCTGGGACTACAAGTGTGAGCACCGTGCCCAGCTTCACATCTTGTGTCTGTTTGTCCCAAGTGTGGGATGGGTACTGCAGGCATTTGCAATTTGACTGGAGATAGACAAAAACACTGAATCACAGAATTAAAAAAATTATTCCCTTTCCTATCCTCAGTAACTTAAGAAAAAAGTCGTTTAAAAAATTTTTTTTAAAGAGATGGACTCTCACTCTGTCACCCAAGCTGAACTACAGTGGCACAATCACGGCTCACTGTAGCTTCCAACTCCTGGGCTCAAGTGATCCTCCTGCCTCAACCTTCCAAGTAGCTGGGATTATAGGTATGTGCCACCATGCCCAGCACTGTACACTCTTTGAATAAAAGAGAGGGAGATTGGCTAGGCGTGGTGGCTCACACCTGTAATCCTTGCACTTTGGATTTAGAAGATTTAGAAGTGTTAGAGAGCTGGCACCAAATAAGAATTCCTCCTGTCAGGCACAGTGGTGGCTCCAGCCTGTAATCCCAGCTCCTCTGGAGGCTGAAGTGGGAGCATCACTTGAGTCTAGGAATCGAGATCAGCTTAACCAATATATTTAGACCCTGACCAACATATTGAGACCCATTTCAAGAAAAATAAAATGTATCTAGTTAGTGTTTAATAATGTCATATTTAGGCCGGGCGCGGTGGCTCACGCCTGTAATCCCAGCACTTTTGGAGGCCGAGGCGGGCGGATCATGAGGTCAGGAGATTGAGACCATCTTGGCCAACATGGTGAAACCCCATCTCTACTAAAAAATATAAAAAATTAGCCGGGTGTGGTGGCACGTGCCTGTAATCCCAGCTACTTGGGAGGCTGAGGCAGGGGAATCGCTTGAACCTGGGAGGTAGAGGTTGCAGTGAGCTGAGATCGTGCCACTGCACTCCAGCCTGGGGACAGAGCAAGACCCCATCTCAAAAAAAAAAAAAAAAGTCATTTTTAGTTTCCATTCTATTTATGGCAAGTAATACTGATTCTCTTTAATAGCTTTATTGATATAATTTACATGCCGTGCAATTCAGCCAACAAAAGCCTACAATTCAATCATTTTTAGTATATTCACAAAGTTGTTCACCCATCGATACAATCAATTTTAGCACAATTTCATCACACCAAACTGAAACTCCATACCCATTGGCAGTCAACTTCCTATTTCCTCCCAACCTACCCATCTCTAGGCAACCACTAATCTACTTTCTGTCTCTATTGATTTGCCTATTATAGAAATTTCCTATAAATGGAATGATACATGTGGTCTTTTGTGACTGGCTTTTTTCACTTAGCATACTGTTTTCAAAGTCTATCTATGTTGTAGCTCTTAACAGTACTTCTTTTTTATTTTTTTTTGGAGATGGAGTCTCACTCTGTCACCCAGGCTGGAGTGCTGTGGTGCAATCTTGGCTCGCTGCAACCTCCGCCCCCCTGTTCAAGCGATTCTCCTGCCTCAGCCTCCCAAGTAGCTGGGACTACAGGCATGTGCCACCACGCCCAGCTAATTTTTTGTATTTTTAGTTGAAATGGAGTTTCACTGTGTTAGCCAGGATGGTCTCGATCTCCTGACCTCGTGATCTGCCCGCCTCAGCCTCCCAAAGTGCTTGGATTACAGGCATGAGCCACCATGTGTAGCCAGTACTTCTTTTTTTATGGCCAAATAATATTCCACTGTGTGGATATACCATACTTTATCTATTCATCATCATCAGGTAATGGATATGTTTTGATTCTCTGCCCTACTTTATTTTTGAGACAGAGTCTCACTCTGTTGCCCAGGTTGGAGTGCAGTAGTACAATCTTGGCTTACTGCAGCCTCCAAATCCTGGGTTCTCAGCCTCCTGAATAGTTGGGATTACAGATGTGCACCACCACACCCAGCTAATTTTTTACTTTTAGTAATTTTTGTATTTTTAGGGTTTTGCAATGTTGGCCAGGCTGGTCTCCAACTCTTGGCCTCAAATGATCTGGCCATCTTGGCCTCTCAAAGTCCTGGGATTACAGGCATGAAACACCATGCCCAGCCTCCCCCATGTTTTAACTGGTATGAATAACGGCTACTATGAACATTCACGTACAAGATTTTGGCCAGGTGTGGTGGCTCACACCTATAATCCCAGCACTTTGGGAAGCCGAGGTGGGCAGATCACTTGAGGTCAGGAGTTGGAGACCAGCCTGGCCAACATGGTGAAACCTCCTCTCTACTAAAAATACAAAAAAATTAACCGGGTGTGGTGGTGTGCGCCTGTAATCCCAGCTACTTGGGAGGCTGAGGCACGATAATCGCTTGAACCAGTGGGGTGAAGGTTGCAGTGAGCCAAGAGCACAGCACTGTACTCCAGCCTGGAAGACAGAGCAAGACTCTGTCTCAAAACAAAACAAAATAAAAAGCCATTCATGGGCAATATTTTGTATTGATGTATGCTTTCATTTCTCTTGGGAGTATATACCCAGGAGTAGAAATGCTGGGTTATATGGTAACTAAGTTTAACCTTTTGAGGAACTGCCAGACTCTTTCCCAAAGCATTGCTTTTCTTTCCTTTTTTCTTCCTTTTATTTTTTTGTCAGACAGTGTCTTATTGTGTTGCCCAGGCTGGTCTCAAACTCCTGGGCTCAAGCAGTCCTCCTACCTCAGCCTCCCAAAGTGCTGGGATTACAGGCATGAGCCACTGTGCTCTGCTTGCTTTTCTTTATTTAATTAAATTAATTAATTAATTAAGTTTGAGGTGGAGTCTGGCTCTGTCACCCAGGCTGGAGTACAGTGGTGCAATCTCAGCTCACTGCAACCTCTGCCTCCTGGGTTCAAACGATTCTCCTGCCTAGCCTCCTAAGTACCTGGGATTACAGGCGTGCACTGCTACGCCCAGCTAATTTTTTTGTATTTTTAGTAGAGACGGGGTTTCGCCATGTTGGCCAGACTGGTCTTGGATTCCTGACCTCAGGTGATCCACCTGTCTTGGCCTCTCAAAGTGCTGGGATTACAGGCGTGAGCCACTGCGCCCGGCCCTCTTTTATTTTTTGAAACAGGGTCTCGCTCTGTTGCCCAGGCTGGAGTGCAGTGGTATGATCTTGGATCACTGCAACCTCTGCCTCCTGGGCTCAGGCAGTCTCTCACCTCAGCCTCCTGAGTAGCTGGGACTACAGGCACATGCCACTATGTCCTGCTAATTTTTGTATTTTTTGAGAAACAGGGTTCTACCACGTTACCCAGGCTGGTCTCCAACTCCTGGGCTCAAGTGATCCACCTGCCTCGGCCTCCCAAAGTGCTGGGACTACAGCAGTGAGCCTGCTTTTCTTTTAAGTAAACTTTATTCAAATACATTTAAGTAAATATTTAATAGGTATTTTGTTTGTTTCTTTTCTTTTTTTTTTTTTCTGAGACAGAGTTTTGCTCTTGTTGCCCAGGCTGGAGTGCAATGGCGCTATCTTGGCTCACCACAACCTCTGCCTCCTGGGTTCAAGTGATTCTCCTGCCTCAGCCTCCAGAGTAGCTGGGATTACAGGCATGTGCCACCACGCCCGGCTAATTTTGTATTTTTAGTAGAGACGGGGTTTCTCTATGTTGGTCAGGCTGGTCTCAAACTCCCAACCTCAGATGATCTGCCCGCCTCAGCCTCCCAAAAGTGCTGGGATTACACGCGTGAGCCACCGAGCCCAGCCTGTTTCTTTCTTTCTTTCTGTTTTTTTTGAGACAAAGTCTCACTCTTGTCGCCCAGGCTATAGTGCAGTGGTGCCATCTTGGCTCACAGCAACCTCCACCTCCTAGGGTCAAGTGATTCTCTTGTGTCAGCCTCCCAAGTAGCTGGGATTACAGGCACCCGCCACCACGCCCGGCTAATTTTTGTATTTTTAGTAGGATGGGGTTTTTCCATGTTGGCCAGGCTGGTCTCAAACTCCCAACATCAGGTGATCCACCCACCTGCCTCGGCCTCCCAAAGTGCTGGGATTACAGGAGTGAGCCACCGCGCCCGGGCAATAAGTATTTTTAAAAAGCCATAAGAACTAATAAGTGAATTTAGCAAGCCTGTAAAATAGAAGGTTACTATACAAAAGCACGTTCTTATCTATTAGTAGCAAACAATTGGAAAATTAAAATTTTTAAATTTTATTTAAAATAGCATCACAGGCCGGGTGCCTGTAATCCTTGCATTTTGGGAGGCCAAGGTAGGCGGATCACCTGAGGTCAGGGGTTCCAGACCAGCCTGGCCAACACGGTGAAATCCCATCTTTACTACAAACACAAAAATCAGTAGGTCGTGGTGGCGTATGCCTGTAATCCCAGCTACTCGGGAGGCTGAGGCAGGAGAATCGCTTGAACCCAGGAGGCGGAGGTTGCAGTGAGCTGGTATTGCGCCACTGTACTCCAGCCTGGGCAACAGAGTGAGATTCCGTCTCGAAATAAATAAATAAATAAATAAATAAATAAATAAATAAATAAATAAATAAATAAATAAAATAGCATCACAAAAAATACAACATTTAGAATAAATTTAACAAAAGATGTGCAAAACTTCTATTCTGAAAATTACAAAACAGGTCGGGCGCAGTGGCTCACACCTGTAATCCCAGCACTTTAGGAGGCCGAGGTAGGAGGATTGCTTGAGTCCAGGAGTTTGAGACAAGCCTGGGTAAGATGGCAAAACCCTGTTGCTACAAAAATAAAAATAGCCAGGCGCGGTGGCTTATGTCTGTAATCCCAACACTTTGGGAGGCTGAGGCGGGGAGATCACTTGAGGTCGAAATTCGAGACAAGCCTGAGCAACATGGTGAAACCCTGTCTCTACAAAAAATACAAAAATTAGCCGGGCGGGTGGCGGGCGCCTGTAATCCCAGCGACTTGGGAGGCTGAGGCAGGAGAATTGCTGTCCGGGAGGCGGAGGTTGCAGTCAGCTTCGACCGCAGCCTGGGAGAGCAAAACTCCTTCTCAAAAAACAAAAACAAAGGGAGAAGAAGAAAAAGAAAAAGAAAAAAGAAAAACATGCCAAAAACACATAGTAACTGAAGGGAAAGGAATCTGCCAGCTTCCCACTATGGGAAAATCTGCCACTGTGGAAGCTGGCAGATTTTAAAAGTTTGGCAAACGGAAGCTGATGGAATTTCGATTTGATGGTTTCTATTTAGCTTCGTAAAATAGGCCTGGCATAAGGGGATTTGCTGTGAGTCAAGGTCTGAGGAAAGCGCCAGTTTGCAAAGCCGTTTTGGAAAACTGGAGCGTGGGGGTGTGTGCAGGGTGAGGGGAGGAGGCCTAGTCTGGTCCACCTTAGGTCTAGCAGAGACTACGTGGAGCTTTGAGCCGAATGCCCTGGTGAGCTGCCATGGCAACACAGCCGTGGGCACAGGCCCACGGCAACCCATCACTGAACAGAGTTGTGGCGTTTCAACAGAGAGTCTGGGACATCAGGCAACGTGGCGACCCGAAGCAGCCAAAATGAGACCTCGACAGCAAAGGCCTCGACAGCGGAGCCCGGACCTTTGCAAAATCTGCAAGTAACGCCAACGTCACAAAGCGCGACCGAGCCCTGTACGTCATCGTTCCGCGACGCCGACGCGGTGAGATGACGCCCTCCCGGAAGTGACCTCTAGAGCGGTGGTGAAACTGGCAGTTGACGGCTCCTGGGACTAGATCCCGCGAGGTAGCCCCCGAACTATTTCTCTACGTTTTCTCTTGATCCTCCCGAAATCTTCCAGATCCGCGTAGTGAGGAATCGTCTCCACCGTCATGGGGGGCGGAGACCTGGTGAGTGGAGGGAGGCCTGGGCGGGGGAGGACTGAGGCCGGGACGGAAATTGGCAGGGGGTGGGGGTAGAGGAAGGAGTGGATAACCATGGCAACGCAGCTTTGCTTTCGCCGGGAGGAGGCCGTTGCCCTGAAGAGGGGATGGATCCTTAGGGCAATGGAGGGGTGGGACTGAGATTTGGGAAAGTCCGAGGTGTGTCGCGAACAGTGACAGGTGGTGTTTGCGTGTTTGTTGACTGCGGCTCTACCGGCTGTAAATTCTGGGAAGACCGGGGAGGGGGCGGATGGAGCCATGGCTAGGAAAGGAGGTAGATATGGAGGACGTGTCACCACACTTTGTTTTGTATATCTTGTCTTGCCACACACCTCTCTTCCTTGGGTGAGAGTTCAGAGTCATGTCCTGGACTGAAGTAGGGGTGGTTTGTGCCCCATTCTCCCTACCCTAAGCCATGCCCTGGGGTCGTTTTTTATTTTTTATTTTTTTGAGACGGAGTTTCTTGTTGCCCAGGCTGGAGTGCCATGGCGCGATCTCGGCTGACCGCAACCTTTCCCTCCTGGGTTCAAGCGATTCTCCTGCCTCAGCCTCCCGAGTAGCTGGGATTACAGGCATGCGCCACCACACCCGGCTAATTTTGTATTTTTAGTAGAGACAGGGTTTCTCCATGTTGGTCAGGCTGGTCTCGATCTGCCGACCTCAAGTGATCCGCCCGCCTCGGCCTCCCAGAGTGCTAGGATTACAAGGGTTAGCCACAGCGCCCGGCCCTGGGGTCCTTTTTAAGCCTGAAGGGATCTTCCTGTCCATCTTTCTGACTTCCACACCTCCTTCAGTGCTGGATTCTGATCTGTAGTGGCAGAGCTTGCTTTTGAATTCATACCACTTAATATAAGTTATGTGGCAATGTCTCTTAAACTGAAACGTTCATTTGTAAAGCGCTAAGGCCCCAAATAGGGTAAATGTACCCACAAGAGCATGGGGCAAGGTTGGGAAAATGCTAGCCTCCGGAAAGTGGAGCTAATTGAACCAGCAAGTAGATCAGCTTAGCCGCCTGCCCAGTAAACCTATTAGTTTGTCATGTGTTCTCAATCACAGTGAGTGCCAGGACTCCATCTAGTTTCATCCAATTTAGTGTATTCTTCACATAACTGCATTTAAGGACAGGAAAGCTCTAATCCAGGGTTTCTCAACATTAGCGCTCTTGACAGTTTGGCCTAGATAATTCTTTGGGGGTGTGTGGTAGTGGTGGTAGTTGGGCTGTCCTGTGCATTGTAGAATGTTTAGCAGCATCACTGGCCTCTAGCCACTAGACTGGAGCTATCCACTAACACCCGTCTCCACCAGTTGTGACAGCCAAAAATGACTCCAGAAGATTTTCTCCCTGGGGAGCAAAATAATCTATGCTTGAGGCAGGGAGGACAAGATGGGAAGGGTTAGAGGGAGAAAGAGGGAGGGAGTGAGGGAGGAAGGACGGAAGGATGGACGGATGGTCAGACCAACTGACGGACTGACCCACAACCAACCAACTGAATGACCTGACGAAGGGGAGAGGCAGGACAAGGAGGGGAAGAGAAAAGGAAGAAAAGGGAGCTCTCATTGACCGAACATTTTCCACATGCCAAGTACCTTGTGGACATGATCTTATTTTCTTAATTGGTCTCCTGGTCCTCTCCAGTCCATTCTCTTTTCTTTTTTTTTTTTTAAGATGGAGTCTCAGCCAGGTGCAGTGGCTCATGCCTGTAATCCCAGCACTTTGGGAGGCAGAGGCGGGTGGGTCACGAGGTCAGGATTTGAGACCAGCTTGGCCAAGATGGTGAAACCCCGTCTCTACTAAAAATACAAAAATTAGCTGGGAGCAGTGGCGGGCGCCTGTAATCCCAGCTACTTGGGAGGCTGAGGCAGGAGAATCGCTTGAACCCAGGAGGTGGAGGTTGCAGTGAGCCAAGATTGCACCACTGCACTCTAGCCTGCGTGACAGAGCAAGACCTCGTCTCAAAAAAAAAAAAAAAAAAGTTAAAAAAAAAGTTGGAGTCAGGCTGGGTGTGGTGGCTCACACCTGTAATCCTAGCACTTTGGGAGGCCAAGGCGGGCAGATCATGAGGTCAGGAGATCGAGACCATCATGGCTAACACGGTGAAACCCGTCTCTACTAAAAATACAAAAAAAATTAGCTGGGCATGGTGGCGGATGTCTGTAGTCCCAGCTACTCAGGAGGCTGAGGCAGGAGAATGGCGTGAACCTGGAAGGTGGAGCTTGCAGTGAGCCAAGATTGCGCCACTGCACTCCAGCCTGGGCGACATCTCAAAAAAAAAAAAAAAAAATTGGCCAGGCGTGGCGGCGCATGCCTGTAATCCCTTTACATGGCTTATAAGGCCCTTATTCTGCTCCTTTCTCACTTGGCTTCTTCTTGCGTCCCTGCACCATCAGCTTGCCACATCTCCAGCCACACTGAATTATTGCTATGTTCTTTCTCACCACCAGGACTGCACTTGTCTGTACTGTTCCCCTCTGTTTGGAAATCTACCCCCCTCATCTCCCCTTCACACATCACCAGGCTAGTTTACAATTGTCTTTAGATATTACTTACTTTGGGGAACATTTCATTATTGGGAAAGTGAACCAAAGCAGTATCTGATGGGGAGGAGAGAGAGAAGTGTTCTTTGAGGGTGAATGGGGAGATCAGAACCAAGGAGAGATTCCTGGGAAGGAAAGTTGAAAGAGATTCTGGGTGGGTTGTAAACCATGCAAGTTTAGGGCAGGTGAAGTAGACCAAGCTAAGGTAGGTTGAGTTCCAAAGAATGAATGTCCATGCCAGGCACGGTAGCTCATGCCTGTAATCCCAGCACTTTGAGAGGCCAAGGCAGGCGGATCACCTGAGGTCGAGAGTTTGAGACCAGCCTGACCAACATAGAGAAACCCCATCTCTACTAAAAATACAAAATTAGCCGAGTGTGGTGGCGCATGCCTGTAATCCCAGCTACTCAGGAGGCTGAGGCAGGAGAATCATTTGAACCCAGGAGGCAGAGTTTGCCGTGACCCGAGATCCTGCCATTGTACTCCAGCCTAGGCAAGAAGAGTGAAACTCCGTCTCAAGAAACAAAAAAGGCTGGGCACGGTGGCTCACCCCTGTAATCCCAGCAGTTTGGGAGGCCACTGCGGGCAGATCATGAGGTCAGGCGTTTGAGACCAGCCTGGCCAATGTGGTGAAACCCCATCTCTACTAAAAAATACAAAAATTAGCCAGGCATGGTGGCACGTGCCTATAGTCCAGCTACTCAGGAGGCTGAGGCAGGAGAATTGCTGGCACCCGGGAGGCGGAGGGTGCAGTCAGCCGAGATAGCTGCACTCCAGCCTGGGTGACAGAGTAAGACTTTAAAAAAAAAAAAAAAAGAATGAATGTCCACTGTCAGAAGTGCATGAGTTCTGTTCTCTTTCAAAATATGTGCCTTCCTGCTCATTACTGCATTCCTCCTGTCTTGTCATCACCAACTCTGATTTAGGTATGGCTAGTGGAAGGATGACTTGTATGCTTTTAAGGTTAAAACTGTTTGAAGGGAATTCAGGAAGGACCCGTTCTATCCTGAAGCTTTCTTGTTCTTGTTCTTGTTGTTTTGAGACGGAGTCTTGCTCTGTCGCCCAGGCTGTAGTGCAGCAGCGCAGTTTCGGCTCACCGCAACCTCCGCCTCTTGGTTCAAGCGATTCTCCTGCCTCAGCCTGCTGAATAGCCGGGACTACAGGCGCACCTGCCACCACGCCCAGCTAATTTTTGTATTTTCAGTAGAGGCGTTTCATCATGTTGGCCAGGCTGGTCTAAAACTCCTGACCTCAAGTGATCTTCCCGCCTCCGCCTCCCAAAGTGCTGGGATTACAGGTGTGAGCCACTGCGCCCGACCTGTCCTGAAGCTTTATACACTTGAACAAGCTCCCCTTCCCCTCTAGATGTGTGAGAGATTATTGGAAGAAAACCTTGCCATTGTTGAAGACATCTTGCCCTCACACGCCTGCCTTGGGTATGGAAGGGTGGGTGAGGCAGGGCTAGTTATACCCACCACTCAGTCACCCCCCGAATTATCATCACCTTCTTTTTATTTACCACAGAATCTGAAGAAGAGCTGGCACCCGCAGACCCTCAGGAATGTGGAGAAAGTGTGGAAGGCCGAGCAGAAGCATGAGGCTGAGCGGAAGAAGATTGAGGAGCTTCAGCGGGAGCTGCGAGAAGAGAGAGCCCGGGAAGAGATGCAGCGCTATGCGGAGGATGTTGGGGCCGTCAAGTAAGTGAGGAGCTGGGGGTGCGCTTGTGTGTAGGGAATTGCAGAGCTGTCCTGAGATGCATCATCCAGTGTTGTATAATGGCTGAGTGCTTAAGGGCATGGGTTGTAATGCCAGACTCACCTGGATTCTAAGGTTGGCTTTGCATGTACTAGCTGTGGAACTGTGATCAAATTTGAGAGACTTGGTTACTTCAGTAGGACCAGGGAGTAATAATACCCAACGCCTTCTTAAGGTTTGTTGAGAATCAAATGAGATAACACGTAAGGACTTGCTGTAAGCCGAGCTCACAGTAGATGGCTGATAACCGTGATGGAGGATGGTTGCTCTACCCTGCTTCTCAGCATATGTTGAGGATGCAGTCCTGCCTTTGTTAATGTATTTCAGGCTTGCTTGGGTCGGCGGGGACAGGGGGCAGGGAGTGAGGTCCCATGAGAGAAGGTGGATGGTATGCTTGTCAATAAAAGCTGAGTGATTACGGCCAATGCCACTAGATTTTACCCTGCTTCAATTTCCTGTTGTATAATATAGGATACGAGTAGCAGATAATAACTACCCCATCCATCTCATAAAAGGAGATGGGAGTAAATATGTTTGAGAAAATAAAAAGCATACAATATGCAGTGTATTCTTAAGTCAGAATAAAATAAAATAACAGATAGACTAAAACTGGGGACTAGGTGCGGTGGTTCATGCCTGTAATTGCTGTATTTTGGGAGGCTGAGAAATCACTTGAGCCCAGGAGTTTGAGACCAGTCTGGGTAATGTAGTGAGGCTCCATCTCTGTTTAAAAATATATAGGCTGAGTGTGGCGGCTTATGCCTATAATCCCAGCACTTTGGGAGACTGAGGCAGGCAGATCACTTGAGGCCAGGAGTTCTAGACCAGTCTGTAGTAGGAACCCATCTCTACAAAACAATAGAAAAAAATTAGCCAGGCACGATGGCTTACGCCTGTAATCCCAGCACTTTGGAAGGCCGAGGCGGGCAGATCACTTGAGGTCAGGAGTTCGAGACCAGCCTGACCAACATGGTAAAACCCTGTCTCTATTAAAATACAAAAATTAGCTGGGTGTGGCGGTAATCCCAGCTACTCAGGAGGCCGAGGCAGGAGAATTGCTTGAACCCGGGAGGCAGAAGTTTCAGTGAGCTGAGATCATGCCACTGCACTCCAGCCTGGGCGACAGATTGAGACTCCATCTCAAAAAAACGAACAAACAAAAAAAAAATAGAGGCTGGGTGCAGTGGCTCACGCCTGTAATCTAGCACTTTGGGAGGCCGAGGTGGGCGGATCACCTGACGTCAGGATTTCGAGACCAGCCTGGCCAACACGGTGAAACCCCATCTCTACTAAAAAAAAAAAAAAAAAATTAACTGGGCGTGGTAGCATGCATTTGTAGTCCTAGCTACTCGGGAAGCTAAGGCAGGAGAATCGCTTGAACCCAGAAGGTGGAGGTTGCAGTGAGCTGAGATTGCGCCAGTGTACTCCAGCCTGGCGACAGAGCGAGACTCCGTCTCAAAAAAAAAAAACCAAAAATTAGCCAGGCATGGTGGCACATGCCTGTAATCCCAGCTACTCGGGAGGCTGAGGCAGGAGAATCACTTGAACTCAGGAGTTGGAAGTTTTAGTGAGCTGAGATCACGCCATTGCACTCCAGCCTGGGTGACAGAGTAAGACTTCGTCTCAAAAAAAAAAAAAGAAAGAAAGGAAAAGTTAGCTGGGCATGGTGGCATGTGCCTGTAGTCCCAGCTACTTGGGAGGCTGAGGTAGGAGGATTGCTTGAGCCCAGGAGTTCGAGGCTACAGTGAGCTATGATTTTGCCACTGACTTCGGCCTGGGTGACAGAGTGAGACTCTGCCTCTAAGTAAATAAATAAATAAATAAATAAGTAAAAATTGATTTTAGACTGAATACCCATTAGTCATAAGCCGAGGTACTATCCAAAGGTAAAAATTGTTTTGACATTTTTATTCACCAAAGCATTACACATCATGTGCTCAATTTATCAGAAATTTGGGCTTTTGTGGAGTCTGATTAATGAGGTCAGAGTACAGATGCACAACTGTAGAGAAAGGAGCCAGCATTGTTGCAGACTCATGCCTGCTTGTCTGTCGTGAATGGGGGAAGGTGATTTTATATGCTTTGTTTTGTTTTGCCCTATCACATGTCCTACAATATTGTAAAACACTAAGATCAGCATTTGGTTCTCTCTGCCCCTTCTCTTTTTGGTCTTTACTGCTAATGTATTTAGATGACTTAAGTATTCATCTGTTTGTTTTGTATAGTTCTTTTTTTTTTTTTTTTTTTTTTTTTTGAGATGGAGTCTCGCTCTGTTGTCCAGGCTGGAGTGCAGCACGATCTCGGCTCACTGCAAGCTCCGCCTCCCGGGTTCATGCCATTCTCCTGCCTCAGCCTCCTGAGTAGCTGGGACTACAGGCGCCCGCCACCACGCCCGGCTAATTTTTTGTATTTTTAGTAGAGACGGGGTTTCACTGTGTTAGCCAGGATGGTGTCGATCTTTGACCTCATGATCCGCCCGCCTCGGCCTCCCAAAGTGTTGGGATTACAGATGTGAGCCACAGTGCCCGGCTGGTTTTATTTTTGTTATTTATTTTATTTTATTTTTTGAGATGGAGTCTCATTCTGTCGCCCGGGCTGGAGTGCAGTGGTGCGATCTTGGCTCACTGCAACATCTGCCTCCTGGGTTCAAGCGGGTCTCTTGCCTTAGCCTCCTGAGTAGCTGGGATTACAGGCGCACATCACCACGCCTGGCTAATTTTAGTATTTTAAGTAGAGATGGGGTTTCACCATGTTGGTCAGGCTAGTCTTGAACTCCTGACCTTGTGATCTGCCCGCTTCAGCCTCCCAAAGTGCTAGGATTACAGGCGTGAGCCACTGCACCCGGCCTATTATTTATTATTATTATTATTATTTTTTGAGTCAGAGTCTTGCTCTGTCTCCCAGGCTGGAGTGCAGTGGCACAATCTCCGCTCACTGCAGCCTCCACCTCCCAGGTTCAAGCAATTCTCCTGCTTCAGTCTGCTGAGTAGCTGGGATTACAGGCGTGTGCCACCACGCCTGGCTAATTATTATTATTATTATTGTTATTATTTTTGTGTGACAGAGTCTCGCTCTGTCACCAGGCTTGAGTGCAGTGGTGCGATCTCGGCTCACTGTAACCTCCGCCTCTTGAGTTCAAGCGATTCTCCTGCTTCAGCCTCCCGAGTAGCTGGGACTACAGATGCACGCCACCAGGTCCAGCTAATTTTTGTATTTTTAGTAGAGACAGGGTTTCACCATGTTGGCCTGGATGGCCTTGGTCTCTTGACCTTGTGATCCGCCCATCTTTGCCTCCCAAAGTGCTGGGATTACAGGCGTGAGTTACTGTGCCTGGCCTAATTTTTTTGTATATTTAGTAGAGATGGCATTTCACCATGTTGGCCAGGCTGGTCTTGAATTCCTGACCTCAAGTGATCTGCCCGCCTAGGCCTCCCAAAGTGCTGGGATTACAGGTGTGAGCCACAGCGCCCGGCCCCATGATCAATTCTTATTTTTTTTTTTTTGAGACCGAGTCTCGCACTGTCACCTGCGTTGGAGTACAATGGCATGATCTCAGCACATTGCAACCTCCACTTCTCGGGTTCAAGCGATTCTCCTCCCTCAGCCTCCCGAGTAGCTGGGACTACAGGCGTGTACCACCACGCCTGGCTAGTTTTTTGTATTTTTAGTAGAGACGGGGTTTCACTGTGTTGGCCAGGCTGGTCTTGATCTCCTGACCTCGTGATCAGCCTGTCTTGGCCTCCCAAAGTTCTAGGATTATAAGTGTGAGCCACCGTGCCCAGCTGATCAGTTCTTAACTGTAGACTACAGTGTTTCTCAGACTCATTTTTTTAATATGAAAAAAATTCTAAAGGGTCTTGGGGCCAGGCACGGTTGCTCACGCCTGTAATCCCAGCACTTTGGGAGGCCAAGGCTGGCAGATCACGGGGTCAGGAGATCGACCAGCCTGGCCAACACGGTGAAACCTCGTCTTTACTAAAAGTACAAAAAATTAGCCAGTCTTGGTGACACATGCCTATAGTCCCAGCTATTCGGGAGGCTGAGGCAGGAGAATAACTTGAACCTGGGAGGCAGAGGTTGCCGTGAGCCAAGATCGCTCCACTGCACTCCAGCCTGGGCAACAGAGTGAAACTCTGTCTGGGGGAAAAAAAAAAGGGTCATGGCCCTGCAGTGTTGGTTTAAATTATTCTTACCAAAAATGTCCAAGCATGCAACTAGGAAAACATTCTTTATGCTCACAGTTGTTATATAACCTCAAAAACAAGTATACACATTTAAAAAGTCATATTCAGGTTGGGCATGGTGGCTCACCCTTGTAATCCCAGCACTTTGGGAGGCTGAGGCAGGAGGATCACTTGAGGCCAGTAGTTTGAGACTAGCCTGGGCAACATAGCAAGTCCCATCTGTTTAAAAATTGAAAAAATAAAAAATCAGCAAGGCATGGTGGTGCATCCCTGTAGTCCCAGCTACTTGGGAGGCTGAGGCAGGATTTGTTGAGCCCAGGAATTCAAGGCTGCAGTGAGCCATGATCGCACCATTGCATTCCAGCCTGGGTGACAGAGTGAGACCCTGTGTCTAAAAGAAAAAAAAGAACAAAAAAGTCATATTCAAAAAGCATTTAATTTCAGGTTATAGATAATACTGTCAATGAAAGTACTTTCCTGGTTGCAGTGTGAATGTAGTATTGGCTGCTTCCACGCATGCTCTTATGAATTTAGCCTGCCTTTACTGTCTGTGGTATGAGGGTTCCACTTTCTCACCACTTTTTTCTCCCAGAACCGCAGGGAAATGTTTGTGTGGCATGATGCTGTGACTTAATTTGGCCCCTAGATGGCTGAGACCAGGGTTTATTCACTTGTGAAACCCAGATAGTTACCTAATGATTCACGTATTCAGTGTTTGGCTCTTTTGGCTTGAAAGCGTCACTTATTCAGTTACCTCTGATTTTTTCCCATCATCCCCTCAAATGTGTAGTGTTACCGCTGGTGTCTGTGTGCCCACAAGCACCAAGATGCACAATCAATGCAACTGCGTATGTGGTCACTGAAATTGTTCTTGATGGTAAGATGGTGATGTAGAATGTGCTTATTCATTGTTTTAGGTCATCTTGGAAATGAAAGCATAATATAAAGACTCTGTAAAGGAGACTCGAGAAGCTCTGAGCCAAGATCCACACCCCATGTTGAGGAACACTGGTTTTCCTTATAAATTGCTTTATGTGAGTGAATATTCTCTCTCCATTCACTCGTAAGCCTCATGAGGACAAGCACCATTTATTTATTTATTTATTTGAGACAAGGTCTGGCTCCGTCACCCAGGCTGGAGTGCAGTGGCGTGATCTTACTGCAACCTCTGCCTCCCAGGTTCAAGTGATTTTCCTGCCTCACCCTTCTGAGTAGGTGGGATTACAGGCGTCCGCCACCACGCCTGGCTAATGTTTTGTATTTTTAGTAGAGATGGGGTTTCATCATGTTGGCCAGGCTGGTCTCGAACTCCTGACCTCAAGTGATCCACCCGCTTCGGACTCCCAAAATGGTGGGATTACAGGCATGAGCCACTGCACGCAACCCGCACTATTTCTTTATGCCGGCCACATGGGGTGCCGTGTTTATTGCATGGTAGGTGCCAGTAGAATGAACTCTGATTAGCTGTGGTTCTCTCTCCCTTGTGTCCAGGTTTTAGGTGTAGGTTTGCAGAAGTCTGCTTTTTAAAGAAATTGTATTTCTTTTTCTTCCCTTGAACCAGGAAAAAAGAAGAAAAGTTGGACTGGATGTACCAGGGTCCTGGTGGGATGGTGAACCGTGACGAGTACCTGCTGGGGCGCCCCATTGACAAATATGTTTTTGAGAAGATGGAGGAGAAGGAGGCAGGCTGCTCTTCTGAAACAGGACTTCTCCCAGGCTCTATCTTTGCCCCATCAGGTGCCAATTCCCTTCTTGACATGGCCAGCAAGATCCGGGAGGACCCACTCTTCATCATCAGGTACTAATGGGGGGCTAGGAAGGGGGTTTGTTACAGATGCTTTGAGACCCTGCTAAGGCCATTGATTCTCTTGCTTTACAGTTTTCTCTTCGCTTTTTTTTTTTTTTTTTTTTTTGAGACGGAGTCTCGCTCTGTCGCCCAGGCTGAAGTGCAGTGGCGCGATCTCTGCTCACTACAAGCTCTGTCTGCCGGGTTCACGCCATCCTCCTGCCTCAGCCTCCCGAGTAGCTGGGATTACAGGCACCCACCACCACGCCTGGCTAATTTTTGTTGTATTTTTTAGCAGAGACAGGGTTTCACTATGTTAGCCAGGATGGTCTCGATCTCCTGACCACCTTGTGATCCGCCCGCCTCGGCCTCCCAAAGTGCTGGGATTACAGGCGTGAGCCACCACGCCCAGCCTATTTTCTTGATAATATTAATGAGACCCTGGGTGCCTGTAGTCCCAGCTATTTGGGAGGCTGAGGCAGGAGAATGGCGTGAACTGAGGTGGTGCTTGCAGTGAGCCGAGATCACGCCACTGCATTCCAGCCTGGGCGACAGAGCGAGACTCCGTCTCAAAAAAAAATAAAAATAAAAAATAAAAATAAATAAATAAATAAATACAGTCAAAGTGTTGTGCAACCATCACCACAGCCTGTCTCCAGAACTCTTTCACCATTCTGAATTGAAACTCTATAACCATCAAAAAACAACTCACGGCTGGAAGCAGTGGCTCACGCCTGTAATCCCAGCACTTCAGGAGGCCGAGGCGGGCGGATCACGAGGTCAGGAGATCGAGACCATCCTGGCTAACACGGTGAAACCCCGTCTCTACTAAAAATACAAAAAATTAGCCAGGCATGGTGGCAGGCGCCTATAGTCCCAGCTACTCAGGAGGCTGAGGCAGGAGAATGGCATGAACCCGGGAGGAGGAGTTTGCAGTGACCTGAGATCGCGCCACTGCACTCTAGCCTGGACGAAAGAGCGAGACTCCGTCTCGAAAAAACAACAACAACAACAAAAAAAACAACTGACAGCCGGGTACGGTGGATCACACCTGTAATCCCAGCACTTTGGGAGGCAGAGATGGATGGATTGCTTGAGCCCAGGAAATTGAGACCAGCCTGAGCAACATGGTGAAACCCCATCTCTATAAGAAATATAAAAATTAGCTAGGCATGGTGGTGGGGGCCTATAGTCCCAGCCACTTGGGAAGCTGATGTGGGAGTATCACTTGAGCCCAGGTGGTCAAGGCTGCAGTGAGCCATGATCATGCCACTGCACTGCAGCCTGGACGACTGAGCATGACTCTTTTTTTTTTTTTTTTTTTGAGACAATCTCTTATATTTGTGAGAGATTTTTGGCTTTGACACCATCATGTCGTTTTTTATTTATTTATTTTTTTTGAGACAGGGTCTCACTCCGTCACCCAGACTGGAGTGCAGTGGCACAATCTCAGCTCACTGCAACCTCCGCCTCCTGGGTTTAAGTTATTCTCCCACGTCAGCCTCCCGAGTAGCTAGGACTGCAGGTGCGTGCTGCTACCATGCCCGGCTAATTTTTTTGTTTTGTTTTTTTTGGTAGAGACGAGGTTTCACCATGTTGGCCAGGCTGGTCTTGAACTTCTGACCTCAAGTGATCCGCCTGCCCCAGCCTCCCAAAGTGCTGGGATTACAGGTGTGAGATGAGCCACTGCACCCAGCCCCATCATCATGTAGATTTTTTTTTTTTGGAGACAGAGTCTTGCTGTGTCACCCAGGCTGGAGTGCAGTGGCACGATCTCAGCTCACTGCAATCTCCGCCTCCCAGGTTCAAGCGATTCTCCTCCCTCAAGTAGCTGGGAGCGATTCTCCTCCTCCCAAGTAGCTGGGATTACAGGTGCACACCACCACACCCAGCTAATCATGTAGATTTTAACATGGGCCAGTTTGTCTGTATATGTTTGGAGAAAAGGTTACTCCATAGAATTTGGAGAAAAGAAATAGTCATGAATTTTGTAATTATCTCTCTTTAGGAAGAAGGAGGAGGAGAAAAAACGAGAGGTATTAAATAATCCAGTGAAAATGAAGAAAATCAAAGAATTGGTAAGTAGTATACCAGATAAGCACCAAGAGCATCTTTTAGCCATATAACGTGAGAACGTCTCTCCATTTACTCTCAGCTTACCAGGGGAAAAACAGAATGGCCTCTAAAACTTTTGTCTTTTAGAGACCATGTTGTGGCTATTTTATGTAATCATTTTTTTGTTTTTGAGACGGAGTTTCAATCTTGTTGCCCAGGCTGGAGTGCAATGGCATGATCTCAGCTCACCGCAACCTCCGCCTCCCAGGTTCAAGTTATTCTCCTGCCTCAGCCTCCCTAGTAGCTGGGATTACAGGGATGTGCCACCACGCCCGGCTAATTTTGTATTTTTAGTAGAGACGGGGTTTATTCATATTGGTCAGGTTGGTTATTTTATGTAATCTTAGTTTATTAAGCTTAATTAAGCTTGATTTTGGTTGAAAGTCTTTTGGGTGGGAGAATGCACCATGTGATGTCGTTTTTCCAGAAGAAGAGTGTGGGCTAAGCCTGTGGAAAGCATTACCATGCAGTGTGTTCAGGAGGTTGGAGTATGCCCTTGGTCGTGGTATAAAGCTTCTAGGGGCTGGGCGCGGTGGCTCATGCCTGTAATTCCAGCATTTTGGGAGGCCGAGGCGGGTGGATCACCTGAGGTTGGGAGTTTGAGACCAGCCTGACCAACACGGAGAAACCCTGTCTCTACTAAAAATTCAAAATTAGCCGGGGTGGTGGTTCATGCCTGTAATCCCAGCTACTTGGGAGGATGAGGCAGGAGACTTGCTTGAACCCGGGAGATGGAGTTTGCTGTGAGCCAAGATTGCGCCATTGCACTCCAGCCTGGGCAACAAGAGCGAAACTCTGTCTCAAAAAAAAAAAAATAAGGCTTCTAGGGCCCACTTACCATTCACATGACATATTATGTAATTGTGTCTTGGATCAGTTGGTAAGGAAAGTTAAAGATTGACCTTATAGTTCCTGACTGCTTTCAGTGGAATTGGAGTTCCTGTGACACAGAATGGAAACTCCTAGGCAGTGGTTTTGGTGACTGTTTAAAAACACAAATTCTTAGTCTCACCTACCAGATACCAGTTCAGTAGTTGGGGGTGTTAGTGCACGGCCAGGGTTAAGACCCTTCCCCTGGTGTGTTGACAGGGAACCCCTATAATGTCCTGGACTTCTGTAGACCCAGAGGCATGGAGTCAGGCAGTTTGTGCATGAGCCACGCCCCTCAAAGGAGACTGATAGGGGTCTCAGTAATCTTTTTTTTTTTTTTTTTTTTTGAGACGGAGTCTCGCTCTGTTGCCCAAGGTGGAGTGCAGTGGTGCAGTGACACGATCTTAGCTCACTGCAAACTCCGCCTCCCAGGTTCATGCCATTCTCCTGCCTCAGCCTCCTGAGTAGCTGGGACTACAGGCGCCTGCTACCATGCCCAGCTAATTTTTTGTATTTTTAGTAGTGATGGTGTTTCACCGTGTTAGCCAGGATGGTCTCCTTCTCCTGACCTTGTGATCCACCCGCCTTGGCCTCCCAAAGTGCTGGGATTACAGGTATGAGCCACCCCGCCTGGGCTTTTTGTTTTTTTTTAATGAGATGGAGTCTCACTCTGTCGCCCAGGCTGCTGGAGTGCAGTGGCGTGATCTCAGCTCACTGCAACCTCTGCCTCCTGGGTTCAAGTGATTCTTCTGCCTCAGCCTCCCGAGTAGCTAGAACTACAGGTACACACCACCACACCCAGCTAATTTTTGTATTTTTAGTAGAGATGGTCTTTCACCATATTGGCCAGGGTGGTCTCGAACTCCTGACCTTGTGATCCTCCCACCTCAGCCTCTCAAAGTGCTGAGAGATTACAGGCGTGAGCCACCATGCCCAGCCAGTAATCTTTTTTTTTTTTTTTTTTTTTGAGACACAGTTTCACTCTGTCACCCAGGCTGAAGTGCAGTGGCACAATCTCGGCCCACTGCAACCTCTGCCTCCTGGTTCAGGTGATTCTTGTACCTCACCTCTCAAGTAGCTGGTATTACAGGTGCCCACCACCACACCCAGCTGATTTTTGTATTTTTAGTAGAGATGGGGTTTTGCCATGTTGGCCAGGCTGGTCTCGAACTCCGGACCTCAAGTGATGATCTGCTCCACTCAGCCTCCCAAAGTGCTGGGATTACAGGCATGAGCCACTGCGCTGGCTGGTCTCAGTAATCTTGTGTGCTTGTGTTCTCGGCATTTTCCAGTTGCAAATGAGTCTGGAAAAAAAGGAGAAGAAGAAAAAGAAGGAGAAGAAAAAGAAGCACAAGAAACATAAGCACAGAAGCTCGAGTAGTGATCGTTCCAGCAGCGAGGATGAGCACAGTGCAGGGAGGTGAGCATGTGGCGACTGGCCTCCCTTCTCGTTGATTCACTTGCTCATTCACTCATTCATTCCACAGACATGAACACCTGCCCTGTGCTGGAAGCTGCCAGGTACTGGGCATTCAGTGATGAACACTTGAACATGGGCCCAGTGCCCACAGAGCTTGCCATCTAATGCTAGAGTTCCTTGGAGATGCTAAATGTGAGTGGGTATCTTGGCCATGCTGCTGGAGAGAGACCCTTAATAATGCTGACTTTAGCCTAGTAGGTCTTAGGTAGGTCAGACATCCTGGGGGTGACTCTGTTTCATCTCAGCTTAGGATTCCTTCAAGACTGAAGTGGGCTTTATATAGGCTTTTTTTAATGGACTGATGGCTGATGTGGGCCCATTTTGCATGTCTTCCTGTGGAAGCAGTCAGCTCCGCCGCTGCTGAGTCACTATTTGTCCCTGGAATAGCAGCATGAAGTGAGAGGAGAAGGTGTTCAGGCGTTGGGGCTTAGAAGCGAGGCCCACAGTTTTTCACAGGAAAATTTGATTGTGCTGATGCATTTTTCGGCATAGACAGTCCAAATAGAGAAACGTACTGCCAGGTAACTGCTGGGAGGCGGAAAGGTCACATTGGAGGCAAGAAGCATAGTTCAGCATAAGATATTTAAATTGGACCTATATATATTTTCTTTTTCAATGAGTGTGTGTATTTTGATCTCTTAGATCACAGAAGAAGATGGCAAATTCCTCCCCTGTTTTGTCCAAAGTCCCTGGATATGGCTTACAGGTAGGGATGTGGGCTTCTTGAAAGGAGTGACTGTGGGACTGTGGGATGTGCCACTTGGACAATGTGGATAGCAGGGAGGTGGGCAGTGAAGCCTGGGCTGCTGGGAAACAGGCCCATTCTTATCGCTGAGCACCTTCTTGTGGCTGATGACCCTCTGAGCAGAGAGACTAAACCACCAATGGGGCATTGAGACATTCTACCCATCCCTCTACAAATAATTTACATGAAATGCACACATTTTAAGTGTATAGGTTTTTTTGTTTTTTTTTTTTTTTGAGACGGAGTCTCGCTTGTCACCCAGGCTGGAGTGCAGTGGCGCGATCTCGGCTCACTGCAACCTCTGCCTTCCGGGTTCAAGCTATTCTCCTGCTTTAGCCTCCCGAGTAGCTGGGATTACAGGCGCCCACCACCACGCCCGACTAATTTTTGTATTTTTAGTAGAGACAGGGTTTCGTCATGTTGGCCAGGATGGTCTTGAACTCCTGACCTCAGGTGATCCCTCCGCCTCGGCCTCCCAAAGTGCTGGGATTACAGGTGTGAGCCACCGTGCCTGGCCTAAGTGTGTAGGTTGATGATTTTTGACAAACATAAATCTGCTGGGTTCTTTTTTTTTTTTTTTGAGTAGCAGTGCATCATTATTTTGCCTAGGCTGGTCTCGAACTCCTGAGCTTAAGCAATCTTCTGAGTAGCTGGAAGTACAAGTTCAAGGCACCTGGCTTGACTTCTGTATTTCTGTATTTTTTTTTTTTTTTTTTGAGGTGGAGTTTTGCTCTTGTTGCCCAGGTTAGAGTGCAATGGCGCGATCTCAGCTCACCACAACCTCGACCTCCTGGGTTCAAGCAATTCTCCTGCCTCAGCCTCCCGAGTAGCTGGGATTACAGGCATGCACCACCATGCCCGGCTAATTTTGTATTTTTAGTAGAGACAGGGTTTCTCCATGTCAACCAGGCTGGAGTGCAATGGTGCAATCTCAGCTCACTGCAACCTCTGCCTCCTGGGTTCAAGCGATTCTCCTGCCTCAGCCTCCTGAGTAGCTGGGATTACAGGCACCTGCCATCACACCTGGCTAATTTTTGTATTTTTAATAGAGACAGGGTTTCTCCATGTTCGTCAGGCTGGTCTCAAACTCCTGGCCTCAAGCTATCCGCCTGTCTCGGCCTCCCAAAGTGCTGGGATTATAGGCGTGAGCCACCATGCCTGGCCTCATATTTCTGTATTTTTAACCTTGGGTCCTGTCCTCCATGCTTCTGCATCTCGCTCTTCCTTAACCTATAGTGAAGAGCTAAGCCAGGTGTATTCTTTTCTTTCTTTTTTTTTTTTGAGAGGGAGTCTCGCTCTGTCGCCCAGGCTGGAGTGCAATGGTGCGATCTCGGCTCACTGCAACCTCTGCCTCCTGCATTCAAGTGATTCTCCTGTCTCAGCCTCTTGAGCAGCTGGGACTACGGGCACCCACCACCACACCCGGCTAATTTTTGTATTTTTAGTAGAGAGGGGTTTGACCATATTGGCCAGGCTGGTCTCGAACTCCCGACCTTGTGATCTGCCCGTCTTGGCCTCCCAAAGTGCTGGGATTACAGGCGTGAGCCACTGCACCCAGCCAAGCCAGGTATATTCTTTTCTTTTCTTTTCTTTTTTTTTTTTTTTTTGAGATGGAGTCTCACTCTGTCGCCTAGGCTGGAATGCAGTGGCGCCATCTCGGCTCACTGCAAGCTCTGCCTCCTGGGTTCATGCCATTCTCCTGCCTCAGCTTCCCAAGTAGCTGGGACTACAGGTGCCCACCATGCCCAGCTAATTATTTTGTATTTTTAGTAGAGACAGTGTTTCACCATGTTAGCTAGGATGGTCTTGATCTCCTGGCCTCGTGATCTGCCTGCCTCAGCCTCCCAAAGTGCTGGGATTACAGGCATGAGCCACAGCACCCAGCCATCTTTTTTTTTTTTTTTTTTGAGACAGGGTCTTTCTCTCTCATCCAAGCTGGAGTGCAGTGGTGTGATCCTGGCTCACTGCTGTCTTGACCTCTTAGGCTCAAGGGATCCTTCTGCCTCAACCTCCTGAGTAGCTGGGACTACAGGCGTGTGCTGCCACACCGAGCTAATTTTTAAATATTTTGTAGAGACAAGGTCTCACTAGTTGCTCTGGGTGGTATCAAACTCTTGATCTCAGGCAGTCCTCCTGCCTCCGTCTCCCAAAGTGTTGGGATTCAAGGTGTGAGCGACTGCACCTGGCTGACCGAAGGAGATTCTTTTAGGGGATTCTGCAGATAACTAAGTTTATACAGTTCTCTGTGATAATTCTATGTGATGATATTGGTGTGCTCAGTGAGCTCCTTATGTAACATTTCCTGTTTCACTGCCTTTTCTTTTTTTTTTTTTTTTTTTTGAGACGGAGTCTCGCTCTGTCATCCAGGCTGGAGTGCAGTGGTGCGATCTCAGCTCACTGCAACCTCCACCTCCTGAGTTCAAGCAATTCTCCTGCCTCAGCCTTCTGAGTAGCTGGGATTACAGGTGCCCACCACCACGCCCAGCTAATTTTTTAATTTTCAGTAGAGACAGGGTTTCACCATGTTGGCCAGGCTGGTCTCGAACTCCTGACCTCAGGTGATCCCCCCCGCCTCGGCCTCCCAAAGTGCTGGGATTACAGGCGTGAGCCACTGAGCCCGGCCGCGTTTTCTCCTGAATAGCTGGATTTTCCATGTGAATAACTTCTCTTTTCCTTAATGATGTAGGTCCGGAACTCTGACCGTAACCAGGGTCTTCAGGGTCCTCTGACAGCAGAGCAAAAGAGAGGGCATGGGATGAAGAACCATTCCAGATCCAGAAGCTCCTCCCACTCACCCCCAAGACATGCCAGCAAGAAGAGCACCAGGGAAGCAGGGTCCCGGGACAGGAGGTCTCGATCCCTGGGCAGAAGGTCACGGTCCCCAAGACCCAGCAAACTGTGAGTGTGGGATTCACTGGGAAATAACCTGTGACTGTGGGGGCCTGGTCCCAGCAGGCATTTGTTTTTGCTTTTGGTGATGTCCGTCCATTGACTTTCCCAAATGTCTTTGCTTTGGTATTTCCTTTACATCATTTTTTTTTTCCACCTCAATGTAAAGCTCAGGCATCCAAAGCCACATATCTGTAGGTGTATTCTGTGCTTTGGGAGCTCTGGGGTGAGTCTAACATCAAACCCTATACCTTTGTTTTTCTCACACTTAGATTATACCTCTAAGACCATTAGCTCATCTTGCATTGTTTGAGGGATTCAGTGTAAGCCCCTGGACCAAAAAGGCTTTTTCCTCTTTGCCTTCTGTGTCTGCTACAGGCACAACTCTAAGGTGAACAGGAGAGAGACAGGCCAAACTAGGAGCCCATCACCTAAAAAAGAGGTCTACCAAAGGCGACATGCTCCCGGATACACCAGGTGAGTCAGGAGCCCAGTTGATTAACCACATTTTGCAGGCCTGAATCTAGAAGGGGCTCAAACCATGGCAAATGGATAATCCATCATTACCTTTTCGACGAACCAACTTTTATTTATCTTGCCAACCTGTAAGGGTCTGCGTCCCCTGCCTCCAGCCATGTGAGGACATTGAAAGGACGAGGTAAGGCTGGGCGTGGTGGCTCACGCCTGTAATCACAGCAGTTTGGGAGGCTGAGGTGGGTGGATCACCTGAGGTCAGGAGGTCGAGACCATCCTAACCAACACGGTGAAACCCCATCTCTACTAAAAATATAAAATTAGTTGGTCATGGTGGCACATGCCTGTAATCCCAGTTATTTGGGAGGCTGAGACAGGAGAACTGCTTGAACCCAGGGGTTGGAGGTTACAGTGAGCTGAGATCTCACCACTGCACAGCAGCCCAGGCGACAGTGCAAGACTTTGTCTCAAAAAAAAAAAAAAGTCTCTTAACAAAAACCAAGCCAGACACAGCAGTCCATGCTTGTAATCTCAGCGCTTTGGGAGGCTAAGGCAGGGAGGATCACTTAAGGTCAAGGGATTAAGGTTGCAGTGAGCTACGATCAAGCCACTGCATTCTTGCTTGGGCGACAGAGCGAGACCCTCTCTTAAATTAAACCCTCTTTAAAAAACCCCTCAATTATTCTCTCTGGGTGTGGTGGCTCATACCTGTAATCCCAGCAGTTTGAGAGTCCAAGGCAGGAGGATCGCTTGAGGCCAGGAGTTCCAGACCAGTCTGAGCAACATAATAAGACACTATCTCTACAAAAAATTATTTTAAAAACATTTAAAAAAACAAAAGCTAGTAGTTCTTTGCCCTGCCTGATCCCACTTTTAGTCATGCTACCCAAAGGCAACTACTTTCAGCTTTTTCAGTAGTTTCTTTTCATAGCTACATATTCCTAAAAATACAAATATGTTGCTGCCTCTTCATCCATTAATTTTAGATATTAGATATTTTCTTTTTTCTTTCTTTGTTTTTTTTGGAGACAGCATCTTGTTGTATCTCCCAGGCTGGAGTGCAGTGCCACAATCTTGGCTCACTACAACCTCTGCCTCCGGGGTTCAAGTGATTCTCCTGTCCCAGCCTCCCGAGTAGCTGGGACTACAGGCACATGTTGTCACGCCCAGCTAATTTTTTTTTTTTTTTTCTGAGATGGAGTTTCATTCTTGTTGCCCAGGCTGGAGTGCAATGGCCCAATCTCGGCTCACCACAACTTCCGCCTCCTGGGCCCAAGTGATTCTCCTGCCTCAGCCTCCTAGGTAGCTGGGATTACAGGCATGTGCCACCACACCCAGCTAATTTTTGTATTTTTAGTAGAGACAGGCTTTCTCCATGTTGGTCAGGCTGGTCTCGAACTCCCAACCTCAGGTGATCTGCCTGCCTCGGCCTCCCAGAGTGCTGGGATTACAGGCGTGAGCCACCACGCCCGGGCTTCCTTTTTTTTTTTTTTTTTTTTTGTCTCGCTCTGTCGCCCAGGCTGCAGCGCAGTGGCACGATCTCGGCTCACTGCAACCTCTGCCTCCCGGGTTCCAGCGATTCTCCTGCCTCAGCCTCCCGAGTAGCTGGGACTACAGGCGCATGCCACCATGCCCAGCTAATTTTTGTATATTTTAGTAGAGATGGGGTTTCACCATATTGGTCAGGCTGGTCTTGAACTCCTGAGGTCAGGTGATCTGCCCGCCTCAGCCTCCCAAAGTGTTCGGATTACAGGCATGAGCCACAGCACCTGGCCCTAATTTTTGTATTTTTAATATAGATGGGGTTTCAATGTGTTGTCCAGGCTGGTCTGGAACTCCTGAGCTCAGGCAATCCACCTGCCTTGGCCTCCCAAAGTGTTAGGATTACAGGTGTGAGCCACCGTGCCCGGCCAGATCTTAGATATTTTCTTACTGTTATAGTAAATAATCTGTTAGTGTAAATGAGCTCTCATACACTCCTAGTCCCATGTTTCTTCTATCCCTATCTTTCCAATATGGTTACATCAGAATTTTTGGTTCAGTGAGTATGTGGATTCATACTTGTATGATATATAAATATTGTTTACTGATACTTTTCATTCCTAAGCCAAGCAGAATATGGAGGTTACATTTCCTTTCTTGTATGATTTGTATATTTTTTCCTAGTGTCAGTATTTGCTTCCTGCAATCTAAACCATGTCTTTGAGTTCTAGGAAATTTTCTTGTATTATTTCTTTGATAACTTCTTTCTTCTCCCTACAAGGTCTCACTCTGTTGCCTAGGTTGGAGTGCAGTGGGGCGATCATGGCTTACTGCAGCCTCACACTCCCAGGTTCAACTGATCCTCCTACCTCAGCCTTCCAAATAGTTGGGGCTACACGGGTGCCACCATGCCCAACTAATTAAAAAAAAATTTTTTTTTTGCAGAGATGGGAGGTCTCACTTTGTTGCCTAGGCTGGTCTTGAACTCTTGGACTCAAGCAATCCTCCTGCCTAAGCCTCCCAAAGTGCTGGGATTACGGGCTAGAGCCACTGTGCCTGGCAATCGTTTTTGTTTTTTTTTTTTAAGCCTCCTACTCTCATTTGAATGCTCTAATATCTTTCATTTATTATCTGAAGCAGATTTTTAATAGTAAATTGTTTTTCGTTTGGAGGTTTTTATTTTTTTTTGAGACAGAGACTCACTCTGTCACCCAGGCTGGAGTGCAGTGGTGCGATCTTGGCTCACTGCAACCTCCGCCTCCTCGGTTCAAGCGATTCTCCTGCCTCAGCCTCCCAAGTAGCTGGGATTACAGGCACACACCACCACACCCAGCTTATTTTTGTAATTTTAGTAGAGACAGGGTTTCCCCATGTTGGCCAGGCTGGTCTCGAACTCCTGACGTCAGGTGATCTGCCCGCCTTGGCCTCCCAAAGTGCTGGGATTACAGGCGTGAGCCACCATGCCTGGCCCTATTTATTATTTTCTGAGGCTAAGTTATTCCTTCAGCTTCTGGCTTCTAGCTTAGTCCTAAAGTAGTGTACTCATGGGCTGTGTCATGAATTTCTAGTCTCCAATGGGTAGTTAGATGGTAGATGTTAACAGTTACATGGATAACCTAGTCTTCTGTTCTTCTGTCAATTGTTGAGCAAACCATTGGGATATAATTGCTACAAGTTTAGGTTCCTGATGAGTTCCCAATTTATTTCATATTTCATATTTCAGAATAATCACTCTAGAGATTACTGAGTGAGATTATGGAATACTTTACTAAAAGCCTTTGAAATTTGGATGAAACCTCCTGACCAGGACGTTAGAAGGGAACTCAGGCTGGCCTTGCACTTGGAGAGAGCAGTGAACTGGAGAGCTTGGGGTCCCACCTGGCTTCTGTGCTTCTTGTGCTGCTTCTGGTTTTTTTGCTGGAAGAGACCTGATCGTATGGTTTCTGTGCTCAACAGAAAACTCTCTGCAGAGGAATTAGAGCGAAAACGGCAAGAGATGATGGAAAACGCCAAATGGAGGGAGGAGGAGAGACTGAACATCCTCAAGAGGCATGCTAAGGATGAGGAACGGGAGCAGAGGCTAGAGAAGCTGGACTCCCGGGATGGGAAGTTCATCCAGTGAGTGCATCTTCTTCCTGCCAGGGTCTTTCATGGGGAAGGTCTTAAGAGGCAGGCTGGCAGCTGGTTCCCGTTCCAGTGTTTCTGTGTTTGCACATGGAGCCCAGCCTTCAGACCACCTTGGCTACTACTCTTCCTTTCTGACCACACAGTGGGATGTTTTTCATTTGAGGGGAGGAGAAGTGAATTTGGTATTTTCTAAATCATTGAAATTCCTTGACCTTCCTTTTTAATAAGAATTCATGGCCCAGGAAGCCTTTTTCCAATGAGGCTTTGACTTATTTTCCAAAACAGATACATTTTCCCTTATGGACACTGGTTTAAAAACATTTGGTTCCAGGTGGAGTCACTCGAAAGTTATCTATGGGAGCTTAAAAGAGGTTGTGTTTTTACAGCTGCTCTATGGCTAACAACCCATTTCTTCTGAAGCTGCCAGAATAGTTGACTGATTGAAAATGTTTTTGACTTGCATTTGCCTGTCTTCTCTTCCTAGCCGCATGAAGCTGGAGAGTGCATCTACTTCCTCCCTGGAGGATCGGGTGAAGCGGAATATCTACTCTTTACAGAGAACTTCGGTAGCTCTGGAGAAGAACTTTATGAAAAGATGAAAACTGTCCCCTCTCTTATTGGTTTTCCTGCATTTTCCAGGGAAGCTGCTGACCCCTTAATTCTCTTTATAAGAGTTCAAATGACTTCTTTCACAGATGTCAAACCACCAGTGTTCAAAGTGACCCTGCTTCATTGAGTCCTGAAACAGCTCACTTCCTTTGAGAGCTAGTGTGACTTGCTTTGTGGGACACTCAGTAACTTTGGGTTTTGACTCTTTAACGGGTGGGCACTGGACCATCTCGGTGGGAGTGCTTGTGCCACTCTGGAAGGCTGTTCCCTGGGGTTGTGATGTTTATCATGCCACTTCCTTCTTACCTGTGCCAACAGACCTATTTCACTGCCTCAGCGTACACCAGACCCTTCAGAAACCTCTCTGGTGTCACCCAGATAGATTGTGCTTACTGAGACAAATGAACGTTTACTTGATTTAGAAGATAATGTGACAGAATGATGTCAGGTTAGGTCAAAGCCAAGGGAGTGACAGAATCTGGAAAATCAAACAATACAAAAAGCCCTAAATGAACTGTTAACTATTTGATCTTTGGATGTAAAATTGTAATGCGTATATGTACAAATGTACAATTTTTACATGCTTTTAAAAAAGGTTAGCTTTGTGAAAATACCTTGTTTGGTCAATGACTTTACTGGGTAATAGAACCACATTGAACCTTGATGGCAAGTAATACAATAAGGCAGGCCAGCTCGTTTTTCTCTCTGAATCTGGCTGGTTTAGGAGGAGCCTGGGTTTATCGACGAGATCTGGAGTATCTATTCTTTTCCACTGCTTGCAGTCTCCAATGTAGGCAGTGTAAAGGTATAGTAAAATGATTTTAGGAGTCAGAACCAAATTGCCAATATGCTCCATGGCTCCTAAAGGAAAATAAAATGGAAGTTTTTATTTTGCGGCTTCACTTCTTACCGTGTAGTAACCTTACTACAATTACAGATTTTCAGGAGTTGTTTGCTAGTCTCTTTCAGTCAGGTACTAAAAAAAAAACAAAAAACAGGCTGGGCGCGGTGGCTCACACCTGTAATCTCAGCACTTTGGGAGGCTGAGGTGGGCGGATCACGAGGTCAGGAGATCGAGACCATCCTGGCGAACACGGTGAAACCCCGTCTCTACTAAAAAAATACAAAAAATTAGCCGGGCGTGGTGGCGGGCGCCTGTAGTCCCAGCTACTCGGGAGGCTGAGGCAGGAGAATGGCGTGAACCCAGGAGGCGGAGCTTGCAGTGAGCCGAGATTGTGCCACCGCACTCCAGCCTGGGTGACAGAGCGAGATTCCGTCTCAAAAAACAACAGCAACAAAACAAAACCCTCGAGGGGCCACTCTCCTGTCTTTACTCCTTTTCCCTTCTCTATTCTTTCACCAGAAGCCCTCATTTGACCAGTGAACTCCTAGGCCCTCTTGACCCGCACATTAGCTGGGCGATTTCCTTGTTCTGCTAATTCCTAATTCTGCTTAAAATGTATTTGGATTTCTGTTTTTGAACACTTATGATGCCAGGCACTGTAATGCTTGAAACCCGATCTTTCCCTAGAGAATGTAACATACGTTTTTATTCATTTAATCACTTCATTATGCCGGGGTTAATTATGTTTATTTTATAATTGGTAATAAAGGCCACATTTATTTTTGTAACTGTTTAAAGAGCGACCACCTGTGGAGTACCGTGTTTACGAATTTCCATGCAGAAAGAACAACGTTGACCTGTAATTTGTGTCGAATATATGGAGATCCCTCATCTGAGAATTATGTAACAAAGCGTGGGGCAGTTTACTCAAAGATTTTACGAAATGAGCCAGAGTAAGACGATTAGTGGGATAGGTGTCTGAAGGTGCTGGCGGCCTCTGAGCTCTGACCCTTTGCGGGGAGAACAGGCAGCAGGTGGGTGGGCGCGGGGCCCATTCATAAAAACCAGTGTTCCTGGCCTGCTTCTCTCATTGGCCCTGGGGGCAAGGGGCGTGCCCCGCGGGTGGAGCGCGCCCGGGGCCCAGCAGAGTGGGCAGATCCACGCTTAGGTGGAGCGAGGGGGCGTTCCTTGGCTTTCTAGGCTGGACTTTCTCTTCCCCTTGCTGCGTCCCTCCTCTCCCCCGGGGTGGGCATGGTACGTCCCGCCCTCCTCGCATTCCCGTCCCTCCTTCCCTTCCGGAGCGGTGGCATCGCCGCCATCTTGGCATTCGGGTTGCGGGAAAGAGCCAAACCCTGGCGTTGGGGGGCCCGGGCGGGGAGCCCCTCCCGCGGTCCACAGCGACGCCTGCCCAGCCCTCCTCCCCTTCCGGCTCCGGCACGGGGCCCCGAGGCGTTCGGAGGCCAGGCGGGTTTCTGTCAGGCCCGGGGAGGAGGGGCGGGCGGGGCGGCCGCTGCCTCCCCGGGACGGGCCGTACCACGCGGACGGGGAGGACGGGGCCAGGGGACTGCAGGGCGGCTGCACCGCCCGGGGGCGGGGTGCGGAGCGGGCCGGCGGGCTCCCCGGGGCGGGGCGGGAGGGCGGGGCGTGGGGCGGACGGAACCACCGGGGCGGGGTGGGAGGTAACGGGACGGGCGCGACCATGGCGCGGTGAGGGAGCGGGGGTGGGGATCGGTCCGGGGGAGGCCTGAGGCCGCTGGCTTGTGCGCTGTCTCCGCCGCCCCCCTCTTTCGCCGCCGCCGCCGCCGCCCCGGGCATGTCGTCCAACTGCACCAGCACCACGGCGGTGGCGGTGGCGCCGCTCAGCGCCAGCAAGACCAAGACCAAGAAGAAGCATTTCGTGTGCCAGAAAGTGAAGCTATTCCGGGCCAGCGAGCCGATCCTCAGCGTCCTGATGTGGGGGGTGAACCACACGGTAACCAGCTCCTGCGCGCCCCTCTGAGCGCGGCCCCGCGCGCTCCCACGCCCCCTGCAGCCCTGGGCCCTTGCCCCGCAGGCCCTGCCGGTGACGCCTGCCACCCCTCGCCAAGCCACTTGCACGCCCACCCCACCCTTGCACGCCTTTCGGCCCCGTGTGCACTCCCCGCACGCCACGCGAGGCCTGGTGTCTCTGTGGTCTGCCGTCGCCACCTCCCCTTCCCTCCAGCCCTTCTGGCTTCCTGCGTGTGGCGTGCTCGCTTGGGGCAGCCCATGGAGCGCAAAGGCAAGGCCTCAGTGCAGTGGAGTCGCTTTCATCCCTGCTTCTCCTCCTCCCCCCTCATCCTGTTTGTGAGGGTGTATATTCCCCCTTGTTCCTTACAGCCGGCTGCCAGCTCTGTCAAGTAGCAGTGGTCTGCCCAAATAGTCCTCTCTTTCTGATCGTTTGGTTGTTGTGGCTGCTCAAATTCTTCCATCCTCCAGGCCTCCTTACCTTTGAATGTAGAACTCCACCCTGGGTTTCCTTTTTTTTCCCTCTTGAACAAGATGTATCAACTGGAGAAGCACAGGCTTCCTTGAACCAGACACTTCACCTGGGTCTCTCTGGGTTAGGGAGAAGAAAGAATGGCTATTAACCATTTGAGAGAAGAGGATGCCTGGTTATAAGGAGGGACTATTCATAGTAGAAATAATATGTCTTCCCATAGTTTTTGAAGGTGATCATTTTAAAGATGTTGACTTATCTGTTGTGTGGCTGCAATGTTGTGATGATGCATAGTGATTATGGTCCTAGATAGGAGAGATAGGTCCCCTGGGTCCTTAGGGTGCTTTGAGATTGTTCAACAGCCCCTGCCAGGAAGTTGGATCCTGACAGTTTAAGCTGGAAGACTGTTTATGTGGTGTTTGTTCAGGGTCTTTATTCTCCCTCTTCCAACCACTTGCTCTTTGCCTTCTGACCATTTCTTTATGAATCCCCACACTAGGAATGAGCAGAGGAAGTAAAAGGACCCGAAACACCAACTTCACTAACTAGAATTTTGGAATAAGGAGGATCAAGCTTGGGTTTCCTGTGGATTTCAGTTCTTTAGGTTCACTTGTGAGTGCTTGAAATTGCTCACAAGACCAAGCGATGACAAAGAGGGCCAGCAAGACTTTGCATTGCTTTGGCAGAGGAGCTGAAGGTGCCTTTGGGTGGAGATCGATGAACCGTAATCTGAGCTAGGGTTTTAGATCTTGACCTGTCATTTAGGAAAGTGCATGTGTAAATTGAGGTCTCTGTGGTTTCTTGGTCTTGGGCAGGTTACTGTTTTCACTGTCATCACTGGTGTTAGTGAGGGTCCTGCCAGGATAGCGAGTACCAGTGGTATAATGCCCAGACCTCTAGGAGCTGCTTCGGGCCAACAATCCAGCCCAGTTTGTTACTCGGTCTTCCTGCTGTCCCAGGGGTCATCTGACAACATTTCTAGGGAAACTGGGTGATCAGAATATGAACCCCATGTCCCTTTCTGGAAGTCAATCCTTGATTTTGTTCTGCATCCTGCTTCTCACTCTACCAGGCCTCTCTCTGCTGGTTCTGTTTCTCACAGAAAGCAACCTGTCTGTAGAGAACTGGTAGAGGCCTGAGAGTCAGGAGTATTACAGCTAGCTGCAATGAACCTTGGGTCCCTTATTTTACACATGAAGAAAAGGAGGCCTCAGGTGGAGGATTAGCTTGCCTGTGGTTACAGCAAGAGATGTCGCTTATTGTCTAGCACCATGGGACTGTATCGGCCAAGGGTGGTGCCTGAGTGGCTGGTCTTGTTTTCTTTGCCTCCTGTTTCTTTTCCTCTCCCTCAGCCAAGTCTCAGGATAGATGCGAAGTATAGTCCGGTTAGAGAAGGTGAATATATGCTCTGGGTTATACGCCTATGCATGTCAGGTCCTGGGAGTGTGTGTGATGCATGGTGTTCCGATAGGCAGGCATGAGTCTGTCCATATGTGGTTATGAAGTTTCTCAATAGCTGATGGTTAGGTATCACGAGTCAGGAGTCCTGTGAGTCCTACTCTGTTGGACAAAGTGGTCATCTTTTTTCTTTGCTAACTTTAAGTTGAAAGTTTGTTTGAGGGGCTAGTTGGAAAGGCATTGACTTTAAGCAAGATCCGTGCCTCTGGACATAATGAACAGGCATCTCATGGGAACTTCCCACCACTGCCCTGGACAGGCTAAGCTTCAGAGGCCAGTTAGTCGTAAGTTTTATTGCTTCATCCTGGTCTGCAGTAAGGTCTGATACTTCAGTGTCCCCATTTGGGAACTGAGACATCTGCCTAGAAGAAGAGTGTAATCTTGCACTCGTCTAAGGGATCAGGACCACATTGCCCTCGGTGGACTGCTGCACTTTTTTGGAGATTTCCTCCCTTCAAAAAAAGCCTACTTTGTAACATTTTGTCATCTGAGATTTCAGATACCACCTTTTCTTTAGTTTCTCACCTGTTTAGGCATTTAGGCATGCTGGTCTGTGGCTAATGGTGTTTCAGATAGGAAGGATGGATATGTCTTTATCTACAGCAGAAGTTAGTTACCCTTTCATGAGGTGATTAGTTTACTTCTAGGTGGAAAAAGAGAGGACTTTGAACTTGGTGTTGTCACAGGAGCTGCTCTCATGGACAAGAGCCCATGGATTTTGTGGAGGAAGAATGTGTAGGAAACAAGGAGAAAAATCAGAAGACTTTGCACCTGTCAGGGAAGAACTAGTGAAGAGCAAAAACCAGTGTTTTAGTGGATGAAATACAGTTCCGAGGGTTTGGAATTAGGGAAGAGATGGCCTCAGAGAGGAGCATGGAGACCATGGGAGGTAGACCTGACTTGATACTTGTTGGCCATTTTAAGAACCAGGTATGTGTGAAGCCTTACCACAGGGATCAGAGGAGCAGGAGCAGTTGATGGTGACTCTGTATTTAACCATTTGAGAAACTGCCAAACTGTTCTCTAAAGTGGCTGTACCATTTTACATGTCTACCAGCAGTGTATAAGAGTTCCAGTATCTGCATCCTTGTCAACACTTGTTATTGTCTTTTTAAAGTTATTAAAGCCATTCTGTTGGGTGTGAATTCGTATCTCATTGTGATTTTGTTTGTTTGTTTGTTTTTGTGATGGAGTCTCACTCCGTCACCCAGGCTGGAGTGCAGTGGTGCAATCTCGGCTCACCGCAACCTCCACCTCCCGGGTTCAAGCAATTCTCCTGCTTCAGCCTCCTCAGTAGCTGGGATTACAGATGCCTGCCACCACACGTGGCTAATTTTTTTATTTTAGTAGAGACAAGGTTTCACCATGTCGGCCAGGCTTGTCTCAAACTCCTGACCTCAGGTGATCCACCTGCCTCGGCCTCCCAAAGTGCTGGGATTACAGGCATGAGCCATCGCACCCGGCCTCATTGTGACTTTGATTGGCATTTCTGTGATAACTAATGATGTTGAGCATTTTTTCATGTACTTACTGGCCATTTGTACATATTCTTTTCTTTTTTTTTTTTTCTTGAGACAGAGTCTTGCTCTGTCGCCCAGGCTGGAGTTTAGTGCCACAATCTCAGTTCACTGTAACCTCCGCCTCCTTGGTTCAAGCGATTCTCCTGCCTCAGCCTCCCAAGTACCTCGGATTACAGGTGCCTGCCACCACACCCAGCTAACTTTTGTATTCTTAGTAGATATGGAGTTTTACCATGTTGTCCAGGCTGATCTCAAACTCCTAACCTCAGGTGATCCACCTGCCTTGGCTTCCCAGAGTGCTGGGATTACAGGTGTGAGCCACTGTGCCTGGCCTGTACATTTTCTTTTTGTTGTTGTTGTAGAGACAGGGTCTCGCTTTGTTGCCGAGGCTGGTCCTGAACTCCTGGCCTCAAGTGGTCCTCCCGCCTTGGCCTCCCAAAGGACTGGGATTGCAGGCATGAGCCACATCCCCAGCCTTCATTGGTATCTTTTCTTTGGAGAATGTCTATTAAATTTTTTGCCCATTTACAAAGATCTTTTTGCCCATTATTAAATTGGGTTATCTTCTTATTATTGAGTTACAAGAATTCTTTTTATATTCTAGATACAGGTCCCTTATCAGATATATGATTTGCAAATATTTTATCCTATTCATTGAGTTGTCTTTTTCATTTTTCTTTTTTTTTTTTTTTTTTTTTTTTTGAGATGGAGTTTTGCTCTGTCGCCCTGGCTGGAGTGCAACGGTGTGATCTTGGCTCACTGCAACCTCTGCCTCCCGGGTTCAAGCGATTCTCCTGCCTCAGCCTCCTGAGTAACTGGGATTACAGGTGCCCGCCACCACACCAGGCTAATTTTTGTATTTTTAGTAGAGACAGGGTTTTGCCATGTTGGCCAGACTGGTCTCGAACTCCTGGCCTCAAGCAATCCCCCCGCCTCGGCCTCCCAAAGTGGTGGGATTACAGGCGTGAGCCACTGCACCTGGCCTGCCTTTTTCATTTTTCTTATGGTATCTTTTGAAGTTCAAGTTTTTAACTTTAATAAAGTCCAGTTTATCTTTTTTGTTGTTGTTGTGTGTGCTTTTGGTGTTATATCTAAGAAGACATTGCCTAACCCAAGGTCATGAAGATTTACTCCTTTGTTTTCTTCTAAAAGTTTTATAGTTCTAGCTCTTTTTTTTTTTTTTTTTTTTTTTAATGAATTGGGGTTTCTCTGTATTGCCCAGGATGTTCTCAAACTTCTGGCCTGAAGCAATCCTCCCAACTAGAGTTTTAGCTCTTTCTTTCTTCTTCTTCTTTTTTTTTTTTTAATTGTATTGTGGTCAGAACATTTAACATAAGATGTACTCTCATGACAAAATTTTAAGTGTACGATTATGTTATTGATGACCATGGGAACAGTGTCATAGTGCAGCTCTGTAGAGCGTATTCATCTCGCTTGAATGAAACTTTATGCCTACCAATTAACTCCCCATTTCCCCCGCCCCCAGCCCCTGGCAACCACCATTCTACTCTTTGTTTCTATGAATTGGACTGTTTTGAAACCTTATATAAGGAGAATCATGCAATATATGTTTTTCTGCGACTAGCTGATCTCAGCGTAAGGTGCTCAAGGTTCATCCATGTTGCACATAGCAGAATTTCCTTCTTTTATTAAGGCTGAATAGTATTCTGTTGTATATGTATACCACATTTTCTTTATCATCTGTTGATGGATTTGTTTTCACACCTTAGCTCTTGTGAATAGTGCTGGAGTATGTATAGTTTTAGTTCTTACATTTAAGTCTGTAATCCATTTTGAATTCACTTTTGGGTATGGTGTGAGGGACAGATTTATTCTTTAGTCTGCTCAATTTCTCTCCTACATTCCACCCCAGTTCTGTTCTGTCCATACATTTTCTTTCTTTCTTGTTTTTTTTTTTGTTTGTTTTTTTGAGGCAGGGTCTCGCGCTCTTGCACAGGCTGAAGTGCAGTGGCACAATCACGGCTCAATGAAGCCCCTACCTCCCCATGCTCAGGTGATTCTCCTGCCTTAGCCACCCGAGTAGCTGGGACTACAGGCACATGCCACCACACCCGACTAACACTTGTATTTTTTGAAGAGTCGGGGTTTTGCCATGTTGCCCAGGCTGGTCTCGAAATCCTGGGCTCAAGCGATTTGCCCACCTCGGTCTTCCAAAGTGCTAGGATTACAGGCGTGAGCCACTGACCTCCTTTACCTGTCTTTTTATCTTGCCCTACTGCTTTAAAAATCTTCAGAGGGGCCTGGCATGGTGGCTCACGCCTGTAATCCCAGCAGTTAGGGAGGCCAAGGTGGGCGGATCACCTGAGGTCAGGAGTTCAAGACCAGCCTGGCCAACATGGTGAAACCCCGTCTCTACTAAAAATACAAAAATTAGTCGGGCATGGTGGCGCATGCCTGTAATCCCAGCTACTCGGGAGGCTGAGGCAGGAGAATCACTTGAACCTGGGAGACGGCGGTTGCATTGAGCCAAGATGGCGGCATTGCACTCCAGCCTGGGTGACGAGCAAAACTCCGTCTCAAAAAAAAAAAAAAAAGAAAAAATCTTCAGAGATGGCTGGGAGCAGTGGCTTACGCCTGTGATCCCAGCACTTTGGGAGGCCGAGGCAGGCGGATCACTTGAGGTCAGGAGTTTGACACCAGCCTGGCCAACATGGCGAAACCCTGTCTCTACTAAAAATACAAAAATTTGCCGGGTGTGGTGGCATGCGCCTGTAATCCCATCTACCCAAGAGGCTGAGGCAGGAGAATGGCTTGAATCCGGGAGGCGGAGGTTGCAGTGAGCAGAGATCGCGCCATTGCACTCCAGCCTGGGCGACAGAGTGAGACTCCGTTTCAAAAAAAAAAAAATCTTTAGAGAACATTCCTACTCAGGCCTTTGAATGAAGTTTCTTTTAGCAGGCCTTCCCACCTCACAGGGAGCAGTGGGACTCAAACAGCAGGAGAAGGAGAAAGCAAGATATGGAAAGGAGGAGTAAACACCGGTAGATTTATTGGCTCCTGTGGCCCTCTCTTCCTCTCTGGAGTTGCAGTTCTTGCTTTGGACCTCCTCGGTCCTGTGAGTGTATTTCTAGCATGTCATGTTTTCTGATGGTGGCAGGTAACAAGTGATTGCTGGTGGTGGCCAGCCCACTGCTGAACCGACAGCAGAGGACTGGAACATGTCAGGAAACCTGCATGCCTAGTCCAGGCATCCTAGGTAACAATTCCTATGAAGGTCGCACAGGGAAGTGGAGGCTTCTGGACACACAAGTTCACCAGACTAGAACTAGCTGCTGAATTTTCATCTCCATGTTGCATATTGCAGAATTTTCTTCTTTTTTTTAAAGGCTGAATAGTATTCTGTTGTATATGTACAACAGAATCATACCTCTCACTTTGAGAGACTGAGGTGGATGGATTGCTTGAGCCCAGGGCTTTGAAACCAGCCTGGGCAACATGGCGAAAACTTGTCTCTACTAGAAATAAAATTAGCTGGGCATGATGGCACACCTGTAGTCCCATCTACTAGGGAGGCTGAGATGGGAGAATCACCTGAGCTCAGGAAGTTGAGGCTGCAGTGAGCTGAGATCATACCACTGCACTCTAGCCTGGCCTATGGAAGTGAGACCCTGTCTCAATCAATCAATCAAGGAATTTTCATCTCCAGTAGATCAGCATAGAGTGAACTCATTGCTTTTTTTTTTTTGAGACGGAGTCTGGTTCTGTCACCCAGGCTGGAGCACAGTGGCATGAACTCGGCTCACTGCAAGCTCCGCCTTGTGGGTTCACGCCATTCTCCTGCCTCAGCCTCCCGAGTAGCTGGGACTACAGGTGCCCGCCATCATGCTCCGTTAATTTTTTTTTGTATTTTTTTTTAGTAGAGACGGGGTTTCACTGTGTTAGCCAGGATGGTCTTGATCTCCTGACCTCATGATCCGCCCGCCTCGGCCTCCCAAAGTGCTGGAATTACAGGCGTGAGCCACTACGCCCAGCTCTGCAGATGTCTTTTTGGTTTTGTATCCCCAGCTCCTAGCATATAGTAAGGCCCTTAATACACTGAGTAGAAGTAAATTGAATAGAAATTTGGCAGTCTGGCTGGGCGCGGTGGCTCACGCCTGTAATCCTAGCACTTTGGGAGGCCGAGGCAGGTGGATCTCCTAAGGTCGGGAGTTCGAGACCAGCCTGGCCAACATGGAGAAACCCCATCTCTACTAAAAATACAAAATTAGCCGGGCATGGTGGTGCATGCCTATAATCCGAGCTACTCAGGAGGCTGAGGCAGGAGAATTGCTTGAACCCGGGAGGCGGAAGTTGCGGTGAGCACGCCATTGCACTCCAGCCTGGGAAACCAGAGCAAAGCTCTATCTCAAAAAAAAAAAAAAAAAAAAAAAAAAATTGGCAGTCTGAGCCAGATTAGGAAAGGCCTTGAATGCCAGGCTAAGCAGTTAAAACTTTACCCTGAGGTTGAGAGGAGCAGCCATGGAAGATTTCTAAGCAGGAGTGTAGCATGATCTTGTAGATTCTCCTAATGTCAAGTGCTCTTGGTGCAATACCAGGAGAGGCATTAGGTGCCTTGTTTCTGGCCTGATGTATGAGGACTGGGAGCCTGACCCTCTGGCCATGCTAGCCTCATCCTTCTCTGAGCCTCTGCTGTTCTTGATGTCTGTATCCCTGGATTCTCACTTAATTGCATACTGCTTTGACTTTGAGGGTGTCAGGGTTTTTTTTCATCTCCCTGATGAGATTATAAGCCTCCTGTTTCTTTTGCATGTACAACACTTTCTCCCCTTGTGTTCTCCTCCTCCCACACACCTACCTAACAGAATGAAGCACGTAGCAGATATTTCAATAGGAACAGTTCAATTGAAATGGAATAGAACTCTCTGGGATATAAAATTTCACACAACTAAAAAAATAATAATAATAGGGCTAATCCCTACAGTGAATCATCTACATGTGGCCTAGTAGAAATGAGGGGTAAGTCTCCCCTAGTTGAGATATGGATTGTTCACCAATGTTAGCTGAGTTAAAAATTTCCTAGGCTGGGCCAGGTGCAGTAGCTCACATCTGTAATCCCAGCATTTTGGGAGGCTGAGGCAGGCAGATCACGAGGTCAGGAATTCGAGACCAGCCTGACCAACATGGTGAAACCCCATCTTTACTAAAAATACAAAAATTAGCAGGGCATGGTGACATGCGCCTGTAATCCCAGCTACTCAGGAGACTGAGGCAGGAGAATCGCTTGAACCCAGGAGGCAGAGGTTGCAGTGAGCGGAGATTCTGCCACTGCACTCCAGCCTGGGCAACAGAGCAAGACTCGATCTTCTGACCTCGTGATCCGTCCCCTTAGGCCTCCCAAAGTGTTGGGATTATAGGCGTGAGCCACTGCGCCCAGCCGAGCCCTGAACTCTTTGTCTCTGTTTTCCCTTTAAGTCTCGGAGCCAGGCTTGATATGCCAGGAAAAAGGAAATGGGACAGCCACCACGAATTGTTTCTGTTGGCAGAAAAACAAAGAAGTGGAATGGTTTCCTCTGTAGGCACAGATTTGACAGTCACATTCTCTTGTGAGCACCCCCTGGAATAGGAACTGGCATGACTCTTCTGGGGTTTTTTTTGGCTATTGGGAGGGTTTAGCCAATGAAGGGTATCACAGAGCTTGATGCTGGGAATTTAAAAATCAACTTTATTGAGGAATAATTTATGTATATTAAGTGTGCGTATTTTAAGTATACAATTTGATGAATTTCAGCAAATGTATTTGCTCATGTAACCATCACCCCAAGCAACATATAAAACATTTCTGTCACCGTAGAATCACACTTCTCATGTCCCTTTACACTCAGCACCCCCCGCCCCCTGGCCAGGCAACTCATCTCATTTCTCTCATTATAGATGCCTGCTGTAGAATTTCATATAAATGGAATTATACAGGATACACTCTTGTGTCTATGCCAGTTTTTGCCAGCAGTTTACCTAGTGTCTGCTCCACTGCCAACTTATAAACTACCCTGCCCCCAGCATCCCTCTCAAAGCACGTGCATTCCTATGGCTTCCTTCATTTCTCCATGAGTAAATTGGGTTTTTTCCCAACTCTAGGAAGATATGGTTCCCCAGCCCAGTTACTGCATTAACTTGAACTTCCTCCATTCTCTGACATTTCTAAATAAAAAAGGTTTGTAACATAAAAGGAGCAGCAAATTAAATGCCATTTCCCCCATTTATGCTCCTGGAGGAGTTCTAATGACTCTAGGTTATCCCCTCACTGCCACCTGGGGCCTCATTGAGATAACAGGATTTGCAAGGAAAGTGGGAGACACAAGGCTGTGCCCCCTCCCCCCAGTCCATTAAGTCAGGACTAAGGTTTCCTCTGTAAATCCTGAATGCATTAGTGGCAACTGGGTTGAGGGTCAAATGTCAAATACTCTGCTGTGATGGGAGAGGACATCTGTGGTTAATTAGACCACTAACTGGCTAAACTCGAGGTGGGGAAGGGCAGGATCTGCCCTCATCTCTGCACCAATGGAAAGCTAGCTCTCTGTCTAGGATCCAGCTCCCTGAAGGGATGAAAGTCAGAAGGTTTGTTTGCAGTAGAGGCAAGGCATCCTGCCCCATCTCCCTTAGTTTAGTGTATGGCAGGACTTGACATCAGGAACTGGCCCTGCTTTATTTTATTTTCTTTTTTGAGACAAGATCTCACTCTTGCCCAGGCTAGAGTGCAGTGCAGTGGTGCAGTCAGCTCACTGTAACCTCAAACTCCTGGCCTCAAGCAATCCTCCCACCTCAGCCTCCTGAGTAGCTAGGATGATAGGTGTACACGACTATGCCTGGCTAATGTGTTTAATTTTTTTTTTTTTTTGAGACAGAGTCTCACTCTTGTTGCCCAGGCAGTGGCGCGATCTCGGCCCACTATACCTTATGCCTCCTGGGTTCAAACGATTCTCCTGCCTCAGCCTCCCGAGTAGCTGGAATTACAGGTGGCTTCCACCACACCCAGCTAATTTTTTTGTATTTTTAGTAGAGATAGGGTTTCACCATATTGGCCAGGCTGGTCTTGAACTCCTTACCTCAGGTGATCTGCCTGCCTCAGCTTCACATTTAATTATTTTTTTTAGAGATAGGGTCTTGCTGTGTTGCCCAGGGTGGTATAGAACTCCTGGCCTCAAGTGATCCTCCTGCCTTGGCCTTCCAAAGTACTGGGATTACAGGCATGAGCCACTGTGCCAGGCCTGGCCCTGCTTTTATCAGGAGGGTCCAAGTGGGGCAGTGGCCAGACATTTACTACTGCTCACTTTAATCTATTACAGCCGGGCGCAGTGGCTCATGCCTGTAATCCCAGCACTTTGGGAGGCCGAGGTGGGTGGATCACGAGCTCAGGAGATCGAGACTATCCAGGCTAACATGGTGAAACCCTGTCTCTACTAAAAATACAAAAAATTAGCCAGGTGTGGTGTCGGGCACCTGTAGTCCCAGCTACTCTGGAGGCTGAGGCAGGAGAATGGTGTGAACCCAGGAGGCGGAGCTTGCAGTGAGCTGAGATCGCACCACTGTACTCCAGTCTGGGCGACACAGTGAGACTCTGTCTATAAATAAATAAATAAATAAATAAATAAATAAATAAATAAATTTAATCTATTACCTTGGGGATATGAGTTACAAGTCCACACAAACCCATCCAGCTTTTTTTCTTCCTTGAGCTAATTTCTTGAGTGACCCACAATTTGTATGAAGATATTCAAAGGCCTTAATTAATACCCACTTAGGTTGGGAGACATTTATCTATTGATCATTTATTATTGCATATGACAAATATTTATTGAGTATCTGCCATATATGCTAGTAATGGTGCCAAGCACTGTGGTGCCCCAAAGATTAGTAGGATGCTCTTTGCTTAGAAATATAATTAAAGCCGAGCGTGGTGGCTCACGCCTGTAATCCCAACACTTTGGGAGGCCAGGGCAGGTGGATCACCTGAGGTCAAGAGTTCAAGACCAGCCTGACCAACATGATGAAACCCTGTCTCTACTAAAAATACAAAAAAAAATTAGCTGGACATGGTGGTGCATGCCTGTAATCCCAGCTACTTGGGAGGCTGAGGCAGGAGAATCACTTGAGGCCAGGAGGTGGAGATTGCAGTGAGCTGAGATCGTGCCATTGCACTCCAGCCTGGGCAACAACAGCAAAACTCCGTCTCAAAGAAAAAGAAAAAGAAAGATAAATAATATAGTATTGCCTAGCTTAACTCTAGCAGGTGAGGTTTATAGGCATTAACTACAATATGAGAGACTGTGAGATGGCCAGAAGACAGATACAAAGAAAACTTCAGGAATTCCAAGATGGGAAAGGGTATTGATGGTCTAGAGAATCTTGGAAAACTTCATGGAGGAGGTGCCTTTTGAGCTGGCCCTTATCAGGTGGAGAGTTTCAATAGGTAAAATAGGACAAGGTTGGGAACTTACTTGAAGAGAAGAACAGAAATAAAGGCAGGGAGGGGCCAGGTGTGGTGGCTGACACCTGTAATCCCAATAATTTGGGAGGCCAAGTCTGGAGGATTGCTTGAGCTCAGGACAGTGAGAACTTGTCTCTACACAATACAAAAAAATTAGCTGGGCGTGGTGATGTGCACCTGTAGTCCCAGCTACTTGGGGGGCTGGTGTGGGCAGATTGCTTGAGTCCAGGAGGTGAAGGCTGCAATGAGCCATTGTCATGCCACTGCACTTCAGCCTGGGTGACAGAATGAGACCCTGTCTCAAAAAAACAAAAAAAGACAGAGAGGGAAACTTGGACATGCTTTTAGCAAGATTGTGGCATCCACATTGTAGCTTAGTGTCTCTGAGGCAGGTGGCCTCCTGGCTGAGAGCCTTACGTTCTCCTTGCTTTTCAGATCAATGAGCTGAGCAATGTTCCTGTTCCTGTCATGCTAATGCCAGATGACTTCAAAGCCTACAGCAAGATCAAGGTGGACAATCATCTCTTCAATAAGTAAGTTGTCTACTGAGTGGACTCAGGTTTTGTGGGCAGTCCTTTCCCTCAAGTCAGAGGCTTCTGAAGCCTCATGCATGGTGGGAGCCAAGGCAGCACCTGGCAGGGTGTGACAGCAGCACCTGGATCTCAGAGCGGACAAACTGGCTAGGAAAATGCATTCGTTATGTGCCTCTCATCCTAGTATTGTCGTCTCACTCTATTATCAGCCTACCTCCGGTGGCCCTTGGGGCATGTGGCTGGGCCCAGGGTGATTCATCTAGAGCCAGCTCAGGTGGCAGTGAGCTGCTCTGGAGCTGAGGTATTCAGTGTGAGGCTGTAGCAGTGGCCCCATCTTGGTCTTAGTCTGAGGCAGGAGGTTGCCAGGCATGTTCTTGGTCTGGGATGCCGCCAGGCTCTTTTCTGTCTGGCTGGTGTATGAGCAACAGGCAGAGCATGGGGCTCGAGGGCACTATCCAGAGTAGCACTTCCCATTTTTGTCTGCTGTCGCTTCTTGGATTAGCACCAGTGTCTGAAGGTTGTCTCAGATATTGTTGGAAACACTAGCGGCCGCCACACCTGGCACAATTTTGGGCCTGCTTTAAGCCCTTTGGGGCCTGGATTTTCCATCCCTCTGTGGACCACCCCAGGACTATTTGCTGCTTACACTTTCTCCTTTCTGCATGTGAATCCTGGTTCTATTCTTCATTGTCTCACAGTCCCCACCACCTCACTAGCTGGGTTCTGTCACCCCACCATTCCCAGACTGTTAGTCCAGAGGAGAAGATTGACTTGAGAACATCCCTTAGTGACCTCCCTCTGCCATAGTAAGTAATACCATCTTGTTCTAGAAGCCGTCTGTCTCCATAGCTGCCACCTGTTAAGTGGCCACCTAAGGAGGGAGAGGCAGCCCTCAACTCAGAGACCAGAAAGAAGGTTGTTCTGACCCAGAAGAAAGAAGGTTGTTCTGACTCAGAGGTCCGGGTTCTCGAAGTGGGCATTGCACCACTACCCCCTTCAGGGTCCATGGCCTCTGGTGAGGTGCTACCTCCTTGATATCTTGGCCTAAAGCAGAGAACCCAATCTCTTATTTTCTTCTATCTTTATTCCTTTTGTCCTTCCAACAACTGTGTATGTGTTTTTGTTGTTGTTATTGGTGTTGTTTTGAGACAGTTTCACTCTTGTTGCCCAGGCTGTAGTGCAGTGGCACGATCTTGGCTCACTGCAACCTCTGCCTCCCGGGTTCAAGTGATTCTGCTGCCTCAGGCTCCTGAGTAGCTGGGATTACAGGCACCCACCACCACGCCCGGCTAATTTTTTTGTATTTTTAGTAGAGATGGGGTTTCACCATGTTGGCCAGGCTGGTCTCGAACTCCTGACCTCAGTCAGGGTGATCCACCTGCCTCGGCCTCCCAAAGTACTGGGATTACAGGCAGGAGCCACCTTGCCCAGCCCTGTATGTGCTATTTATTAGATTCTAGCACTGTTTACTAGAAGACGGGGTAGATAAGGCAGATAGGCCACTTCCTTTCCAAGAAGACATTCCTTTTGATTTCCTTAAAGCCTGTCATCCTGGAGTAGTCACTGGGACATATTTCTGAAAGGGGGTCCCTAAACAGGATAGCTGTTGTAAAGATGGAGGATTGGTAAGAGTCATCATTTCAAGGTGATTCTCTTTCCTCCTGGGAGTCTGTATTGATGAGGGAGTGGGAGGGTGGAGATTGGTGCCAGCAGCCAGCAGACAGGGCTCTGTGGTCCCACTCAGTTGACTGAAGACCTCTTTAACTCAGGCACTCTTTTCCTACGTCCCAGTGGAAGCCCAGGGCAGGGCTTCCTGTAAGTGACCATCTTCAGGATGCTTCCACAGGAATATGGCCAGAGGAGAGGGGCCCTCTGATGAGAGAGGTTTTTCCTTGTAGCATTCAGGCTGATTTCACCTCACAGCAGATGTTCACATGCAGGTTCCCACTGTAGTAAGCACAGTGCTTGTGAGGTGGAGCCTGCACTCAGGCTTATGGCCCAGCGGGTGAGAGTTTTTTTCTTTAATGTATGTTTTATTGAAGGGCAGCACACACATAGAAAATCGCACAAATACCAGTTATACTGCTGGATTACTTTTACAAAGTGAATACAAGATGTAAAGTTTTTAAACTTTTACATGCTCAGAATCACCTGGAGTGTTTGTTTTTCGACTCAACTCCAGAATTCCTAAGAGCCTAGAAACCTACATGTTAAGTATGGCAGATGTTCAGATCCAGGCAATCTGTGGACCACACTTTGAAGAGTTCTGAAGTCAGAATATAGATGAGGCTGGGTGTGGTGGCTCATGCCCGTAATCCCAGCACTTTGGGAGGCTGAGGTGGGAGGATCGCTTGAAGCCAGGAGTTCAAGACCAGTCTGGGCAACATAGCAAGACTCTGTCTCTATTACAAAAAATAATAATAATAATAGAATTAAGATGAGCAAGGGGCAGTTCACAAAGACATATCTCTGCTTTTCCCTAGGGAGAACCTGCCCAGCCGCTTTAAGTTTAAGGAGTATTGCCCCATGGTGTTCCGAAACCTTCGGGAGAGGTTTGGAATTGATGATCAGGATTACCAGGTATGGAGGCTCCTGGCAACATCAGTGGATTAGGGAATGGAATGGGGTCAGGAAGCCACAGGACAGGTAGAGAATCAAAACGTGTTGGCTGTTTTTGTGCTGTGTCTCCCTGTCATGCCTTGCTCCAGCCCAGGCGGTCTCTCCCCCAGCACTGGGGGCCCCTTGCAGGGCGAGGGCCTTAGAAATGCTTCTGAGGATGCTGCACACACTCAGGTTCCTCTCCCTCAGAGGGAGGGCAGCAGGAGGGAGAGGGGTCTGCGGAAGCACCTTTATTTTAGTCTGACATTCCCAGTCTAGGCTGAAGAACCCTTCTCATTCGTAGTTTGACTTCAAAGAGAACTGGGTGGGGCATGGTGGCTTATGCCTGTAATCCCAGCACTTTGGGAGGCCAAGGCAGGTAGGTCACCTGAGGTCAGGAGTTTGAGACCAGCCTGGCCAACATGGTGAAACCCTGTCTCTACTAAAAAATACAAAATTAGATGGGCATGGTGATGTGCGCCTATAGTCCCACCTACTCTGGAGGCTGAGGCAGGAGAATCGCTTGAACCTGGGAGGCGGAGGTTGCAGCGAGCTGAGATCACGCCATTGCACTCCAGCCTGGGCGACAAGAGTGAAACTCAGTCTCAAAAAAAAAAAAGAGAGAGAGAATTGTTGTTAGCGAGAGATGAGGCCTCTTAAAGCAGATGAAATAGATTAGAAAAGGAAGACTTCAAGGGTAGTGTAACCTCTTGCCAGGTATGAGTGTCACCTCCTAAACTTGTGCCCTATCCTGGTGGTGGGAGTGGGGAGTTGGTCTGCCAGGGCAACTGCCCCCTTCAGGGCGTGACAGTGTTGTAGAGGCCATTGGCCTGTTGGGAGGAATCAATCCCAGTGTCAGGGACATTAGAATCTGACTCAGTCCATGGTTTCTGTCACTTCTCCTCTTAGCACATCTCCTTGGATCTTCTTCCTTGGCAGACAGCCTTGTGGTGAAGGTGGGCGAATTTTCCACTTCACCTTTACAGCTGTAAGAAATATAGCTGACTTTTTTTTTTTTTTTTTTTTTTTGAGATGGAGTTTCACTCCTGTCATCCAGGCTGGAGTGCAATGGCGCGATCTCGGCTCACTGCAACCTCTGCCTCCCAGGTTCAAGTGATTCTCCTGCCTCAGCCTCCCGAGTAGCTGGGATTACAGGCGCCCACCACCACACCCGGCTAATTTTTTGCATTTCTTTTTTTTTAGTAGAGACGGGGTTTCACCATGTTGACCAGGATGGTTTCGATCTCCTGACCTTGTGATCTGCCTGCCTCGGCCTCCCAAAGTGCTGGGATTACAGGCGTGAGCCACCGCACCTGGCCTGAAATATAGCTGACTTTCATTCATCTGTGGAGAAAACTTTTCCCCATAGCACAGTGAAACCTAGTGTATAGCACAGTGAAACCTAGAATGGATGCCCAAATCTTTTCTAACACTGTAGTTCCTCCCACCCCACCCCTTTGATAGAGTAGTTCACAGCAGCAGAAGGGGCCTTGGGTTAGAGTCTCCTCCCCTCTCTCCTCCTCTCTGGAGGGCTTGCATGCAAAGAAAAGTATCTCGAAGAAGAGGGTGAGGGTTTGTGAGAGGAGGAGGAGATGCCTTGGGCTTGAATGCCCAGGAGTGCCTACACCTAAGAGGTACTGGGAGGTTCCTCCAGCCTGCTGTTAGGATTGAACCCTGAACTCAATCATGACTTGACTGGGGCTGGAGGTTTTCTGGAAACTTCTTGCCACTATTGCAACCCCAAGTTGCTCAGACAGATTCCCTCCATTGTTCCTTGGTGAGGGGTTGCAAGTGAGGGGTTCCTTTCCCTCCCCTGGGCTGTCTAACCACATCCTCTCAGTGTCTGCATTTTGCCCCTAGTAGCCTTGTGGGCGCATGCCCGTGCTCAAGACTGAAATGAGGGCAGGGAGGATGGTGCTCAGGGAGGGGACCCTATATTCTTGGACTACCAGCCACTTAGAGAGTCAGGGGATGCTGCCTCTACCTCCCAACTAGGCTTGCAGCCTGTAAGTCTTATGGTAGAGAGGCCAGGCTGGGAGGAAGAGGCGCTCAGTCACAGAGTCTACTCAACCTTTCTGTAACGGGAACAGCCTGTTTTTTGGGGTGCTACTTTAGCACCTTTGCTGAGGAACTCCCAGAGCTGCTTACCACCTCTGACTTTAGTTTTCCCCATGAAGGTGGTCCTCACTTCTCCACCAGGGTTTTCTGAGGAGGTATTAGGGGAAAGTAAAGAGTAGGATCCTGATCAGCCGGGCATGGTGGTGCATGCCTATAGTCCCAGCTGCTCAGGAGGCCGAGGCGAGAGGATCCCTTGAGCCCAGGAGTTCAAGGCTGCAGTGAGCTATGATCGCACCACTATACTCCAGTTTGGGTGACAGCAAAACACCATCTTTAAAAAAAAAAAAAAAGGCTGGGCACAGTAGCTCACACCTGTAATCCTAGCACTTTGGGAGGCTGAGGCAGGAGGATTGCTTGATCTCAGGAGTTCTAGACCAGCCTGGGAAACATGGCGAAACTACATCTCTACAAAAGCTACAAAAATAAGCCGGGCATGTTGGTGCACACCTGTAGTCCCAGCTACTTGGTAGGCTGAGGCGGGAGGATCACTTGAGCCCAGGAGGTAGAGGCTGCAGTGAGCTGAGATCTCACCACTGTACTCCAGCTTGGGTGACAGAGTGAGACCCTGTCTCTACAAAAATAATAACAGGATCCTCATTAAGAGATGGGGAAACATCTTGGAGAGGAGACATTTCTGTGACATGATCCCCATGTATGTTTTCTTGGGAACAGGGACACTTGGGATCTCCCCTCACCGTTGCTTCCCAGAGGTCCCTTGGCATCTGCTTGGTGAACATATCCCTTTGGTTGACTCACGCCTTCCCACACCCTCCCTCTTAAGGCTTCTACTGCTCTCTGATCCTAATGGGAGTAGGACCTTGAGGAGGAGCAGGGATACAGCCAGGAAAGCTCCCCAAAACTGCCTCCCAGCCTTGCATAGACAAGCAGGAGGTTGAGGCAAGGGGAAAGGTGTCAGGCTCAGAGATGAGGATCAGCTTCCTGCTTTGGGGAAGGTTTTTCAGCATTAGGGTAGATCCAGGGACAAGAGACGAATGGGCATTGCTTCTTTGTGCTAGACCCCTTGAAGACAGTATTTTCTAAGCTTCATCTTTGCTACCCCCAAGAGACTGGGAGAATCAGCTCAGTCTGCATCTTTGTGTTCCTGATGAGGAAATGCAGGGGTAGAGAAGTTAAATGGCTCACCCAAGGTCATAGTGCGTGTGAGAGTCCAGATTAGACTCAGCCCCCTCCATCAGAGGCAGAATTTTAGTTGGTAGGATAGCTATCTGGGATCAGGATGGAAACTTTCACAGTCAGTCCTCTTCCCATCCTAGACTGGGATGAAGAGCAGGTGGTAAGGAACAATTCTTGTCACTTTGGAGGAAGACTTAGGGAGGGATGTGAACACCCTGTGAGAAAAGGGGAGGGTAAACTCCCATCTGGGAGTCCCTCTATCTCAGTGTTGTTGGCTTTCAAGCAGTCCAGCCCCTGAGGGAAGACTCAGCGAAAGTCAGAATTCTGTTCCCCTGCCAAGCCCAGCCTTCTTTTGTCTCGATTATCAGAATTCAGTGACGCGCAGCGCCCCCATCAACAGTGACAGCCAGGGTCGGTGTGGCACGCGTTTCCTCACCACCTACGACCGGCGCTTTGTCATCAAGACTGTGTCCAGCGAGGACGTGGCGGAGATGCACAACATCTTAAAGAAATACCACCAGGTATGGTGAGTCCCAAGCCTGGGCTGCAGAGGATGGGTTGGAAGAGGGAGAAGAGAGCCCTGGGGGAGCTTCTTAGGGAGGGGTTGGTCCTCTCTGGTAATGGCAGCTGCTTCTGATCACCAAGCAGTGGGACTCTCCTGCAACCGTATTTCTGTGAGCTGAAATGCCTACTTTAAAAAAGAAAAAAGGAGCCATGAAGGCTCATCGCTGACTGACTCCCAGTTGGAAAGTGTTCACGCACTGGCATCCGCCCCGTTTCTTCTGAAAGAGGCCCCCTCAGCTCGGCAGGCTTGTTTCTTTTCCCGTCCCATCTCTCCACTCATCTGGAACCTGTCCATGAGGAAGGCAGGGAGCCCCGTGGCACCATCTGTGTGTCTGTCCTCAGCCTACTTGGGTCTTCATTTCTGGGGCACCTGAGAAGGGCCGAAGGGAGCTTCTGGTCTTTCAGGAGTTATGGCAGAAACCCTGGGGCATGGCATGGATAAGAGCTTTGGATATGGAGCTGTTCTCTTCTCCCAGATGGCTGGATCCCTGGCCTGCCTCTGCATCCTGTCTCTTCCCTGCGGCATTCCCATATCAGGCTGGCAGAAGAGATGCAAGGTGTGGATCAGGGATTTTCCTGTGGTAGAATCCTACTTTAAACAAAATCTTAGGTGAGATACTAATAATATGAACCCACAGGGGCTCTGAGCCACCTGCTCAGCTTGCCTCTCCCTCTGCCATGCCAACAGGAGGCTGGAGGTGGCTGTTGCCCATTTTAAGCCTGAGAAACCCCTATTACTTCATAGAACCCAGCTGGAGAACTACTGGTCTAGAGGTTAGAATCCCAGGGAGCCAGGGAGCATTTTAGTCTGGGGTGAGCCCCATCCATCCCTGGCACTGCCTGTTCCTTAGTCCTCTCTCTTCTTCCTTTCCATTCTAGTTTATAGTGGAGTGTCATGGCAACACGCTTTTGCCACAGTTCCTGGGCATGTACCGCCTGACCGTGGATGGTGTGGAAACCTACATGGTGGTTACCAGGAACGTGTTCAGCCATCGGCTCACTGTGCATCGCAAGTATGACCTCAAGGTAAAGGGCTCTGTGTTTGCCGGAGCTGTGCCTCCCCTCTATCTGAGCCCCGAAGGGGCCACTACTCCAACTTCCATGTAATTGGGAAGCTGGAGCCTATGTGTTGGCATGGACAGGGAACTCTGGAGTGGATATGCCTGATTCTTGTGGACCAAAGGCAGTTTGAAGTCCAGGTGACAGTAACAGGAGATTATTTAAGCCCTAAATGTGCCATATTTATGCAGCAGTTGATGTTCCTGTCTGTGGAATGTGCACAGTGAGGGAGGCCGTGCTGACGCATGCACTTTAGCATCCATCAGGCCCCCATGGACTGCCAGCACAAGTGCATCTCTAGACTCTGAGAAGGACACACTTGTGGCTGTGAACTAGGGTGCTCCGTGTTCTTGAACCTGGCTTCTGACTTCTGTCACCTTATGCCGCCATCCCTTCCCTCTGTGCTGCAACTGGGCTGGTTTCCTCTGTGTTCCTGCAGTGCCTGTGCTCCTCTTCCCAGGATTTCACATCTGCTGTCTGGAATAGTCTCCTTCTCTCTCTCCACCCACTCCTTCCCCCACCTAATTGCTTCCTCCTTACCCTTCTGAGCTCAGCCCAAATACTACTTCCAGGAAGTAGGTAGGCCCTGGCCACTGTCCCTCCCCAGGCCGGGCCCGTGTGGTATGTGCTTTCAGAGTGTCCTGCTCCTCCCTGTACCACTGAGCACCGTGGTAGTGAATGAACTAATGACTTGTGGAACCACTGCTGAATATCTGTCTCCCCTGTTAGAAGGAAAGTAGCTCAAGGGCAGGGACTGAGCTTCTCCAGTGCAGTCCTGTTTGCTGAGCACCTAAAAAGTGTCTTGCACATAGAGCTCTATAAGTGGGCTTGACACAGTAAATGAACAAGGTGCTGCCTCCTGGCCCCTCTAGGACTCTAACAAGCCTACTTGAGTTCACCTGCTGGCTCTCCCATGTTTGCTCATGCAGTCGACTTTGCCTCAGCTTGACTTCCCCTGATGGCTCTTATCCTTTCAGGGTTCTACGGTTGCCAGAGAAGCGAGCGACAAGGAGAAGGTATGCTGGTGCTGAGCAGGAATGGAAGGGTCGCTTGGAGTCAGAAACAACTCCTGTCGGCCATCCTGTCCCTCGCCCACCCCAGCCCCTAGCCCAGCTCCCAGACATGCCGTCTGTCAACATGAAATGCCGTGTGTCATGAATCACCTGTCTGTCCTTGTGCTAGGCCTAGACCTTGGTCTCTGGTCTTTTACCTCTGCCCTCACTACGTTCTTCATAGTCCTGCTGGGATGGCAGACATTTCTATCTCATAGTCCAGCCTGAGTCAGTCAGTGGCTGCCTGAGCCCTGAGCTGGTCCAGGCTCAACAGGAAAGAATCCTTTAGTCATTCCTCATCTTTCATGTGTTTGCCCTCCCTGCCCACCCAAAGCCTGGGACTAGAGGCTCCTGCACTGCTGATTTAGCAGGTTGAGGGTCGGTACACTGACAACCCCTCCTTCCCCTTTCTGTATAGTTGCTCCCGGCAGAACAGTTGGGTGTCCCTGGGGTGAATTAATCAGGCTTACCCAGCCTAACTGCTGTTGCTCTCCTAGGCCAAGGACTTGCCAACATTCAAAGACAATGACTTCCTCAATGAAGGGCAGAAGCTGCATGTGGGAGAGGAGAGTAAAAAGAACTTCCTGGAGAAACTGAAGCGGGACGTTGAGGTACTTACTAACCTTCATTTTCACCTGCAAGGCTCCTTCTGTACCTAGAGTAGGCGCCTCTTAAACCTTAAGAAGAATGGAATTCAGTACTTTCCAGGAGTATGGACAAAAGGGTGGTGATTTGAGCAGCGTGGGCACTTATGGGCACCTAAAGCAAGTGCAAATGATCATTCCACCTGACGGAGCATAGTTGGCGCCAGTAGGACCTTTGTAATTTAGTTTAGAATGCTTTTCCCTTTTCACTAATTCATTCCAACACCTTTTTCAAACTCCCTTCTGCTGTTGTCCCTACAATGGAGAGGGCATCTGGCCATCAGAGCTGTAGGAACCCAGCTATTAAGGTCCTGTAACCCCAACATTTTGGGAGGCTGAGGTGGGAGGATCGCTTGAGCTCAGCAGTTCAATACCAGCCTAGGCAACATAGCAAGACCTCATCTCTACTAAAAATTAAAAAATTTAGCCAGGCGTAGGGGCACACACCTGTAGTCCCAGCTACTTGGGAGGCTGAGGCGAAAGGATTGTTTGAGCCCGGGAGATGAGGCTGCAGTGAGCTGTGGTCTCACCACTACACTCCAGCCTGGGCAACAGAGCAAGACATTGTCTCAAAACAAAAACCGAAAAAGTTGGCTAAGCATGGTGGCTTACTCTTGTAATCCCAGCACCTTGGAAGGGTGAGGCAGGAGGATCACTGGAGCCTGGCAGATCAAGGCAACATGAGCTGTGATCATGCCACTGTGCTCCAGCCTGGGTGACAGAGCAAGACCCTGTCTCAAAAAACAAAAATCCACTAATCAGGTTCTTCTCTGGCTCTGGCTCTGATTCTCCACTTACCTAGCAAACTTCTGTTTGTAATCTGGGGAGGACAGGTGCTAAATAGTGAAAATGTTATCTGGACCACTTGATAACTCAGCGTCTCCTTCTCTTTTAATAAATTGAGAGGCTGCTCGTTAAAACCAAATCCTACAAACAAACTTGGGAAAAAAAATTTTTTTTAATTGTGGTAAAATACATATAATAATAGGTGTTTTTTTTGTTTGTTTGTTTGTTTTGTTTTTTTTTAGGAGATTCTCGTTCTGTCCCCAGGCTGGAGTGCAGTGCAGTGGCACGATCTCGGCTCACTGCAACCTCCGCCTCCTGGGTTCAAGTGATTCTCCTACCTCAGCCTCCCAAGTAGCTGGGACTATAGGCACGCACCTTAACCATTTTGATATATAGTTGAGTGGCATTAAGTATATTCACATTGTTATGCAACCAGCACTACCATTCATCTCTGAACTTTTATCTTTCCCAGCTGAAACTCTATACCCATTAAATACTAATTCCCAATTCCCCCTCCCTAACCCCTGGCAATCAGTGTTCAATTTTCTGCCCCTATGAAGTTGACTACTCTAGGAACTTCACATAAGAGGAAGCAAACAGCCAAGCGAGGTGGCTCATGCCTGTAATCCCAGCACTTTGGGAGGCTGAGGTGGGCGGATCTTCTGAGGTCAGGAGTTTGAGACCAGCCTGACCAACATGGAGAAACCCAGTCTCTACTGAAAATACAAAATTAGCCGGGCATGGTGGTGCACGCCTGTAATCCCAGCTACTTGGGAGGCTGAGGCAAGAGAATCGCTTGAACCCAGGAGGCGGAGGTTGCGGTGACCCTCCAGCTTGGGCAACATGTTATGAATGAAACTCCATCTCAAAAAATAAAAAAAAAAAAAGGAAGCAAACAGCAGTTGTCCTTTTGTGACTCTGTTATTTTGCTTAGCATAATGTCTTCAGGGTTCATCCATACTGTATCATGTGTCAGAATTTTTTTCTTTTTATTATTTATTTATTTGTTTTGAGACAGAGTCTCGCTCTGTTGCCAGGCTGGAGTGCAGTGGTGCGATCTCGGCTCACTGCAACCTCCGCCTCCCGGGTTCAAGCGATTCTCCTGCTTCAGCCTCCCAAGTAGCTGGGACTACAGGCGCGTGCTGCCACGCCCAGCTAATTTTTGTATTTTTTTAGTGGAGACGGGGTTTCACCATGTTGACCAGGATGGTTTCGATCTCCTGACCTCGTGATCTGCCTGCCTCGGCCTCCCAGAGTGCTGGGATTACAGGCGTGAGCCACCACACCTGGCCAGAATTTCTTTCTTTTTAAAGCTGAATAAGGCTGAGCATGGTGGCTAACACCTGTAATCCCAGCAGCTCAGGAGGCTGAGGCAGAAGGACTGCTTGAGGCCAGAAGTTGGAGACCTGGGCAATTTACTGAGATCCTGTCTCTACAAAAAATTAAAAACTAGCTGGGTGTGGTGACATGTGCCTGTAGTCCTAGCTATTCAGGAGGCTGGGTGGGAGGATCCCTTGTGCCTAGGAGTTCACGGTTGTGGTGAGCTATGATCATGCCACTGTGCATCAGCCTGAACTAGAGGGTAAGACCCCATCTCTTTAAAAAACAAAACAAAAGCTAGGCGCGGTGGCTCACGCTTGTAATCCCAGCACTTTGGGAGGCCAAGGCAGGCGGATCACGAGGTCAGGAGATCGAGACCATCCTGGCTAACACGGTGAAACCCCGTCTCTACTAAAAATGCAAAAACAAAATTAGCCAGGTGTGGTGGTGGGCGCCTGTAGTCCCAGCTACTCGGGAGGCTGAGGCAGGAGAATGGCATGAACCCGGGAGACGGAGCTTGCAGGGAGCCGAGATCGTGCCACTGCACTCCAGCCTGGGCGACAGAACGAGACCTCATCTCAAAAACACACACACACACACACACACAAAAACTGATTAATATTCCATTGTATGGATGTATTACATTTTGTTTATTCATCAGTTAATGGACACTTGTTATATCAGTTGGGGTTCTCCAGAGAAACAAAACCTATAGGATGTTTTGTAAATCTCTTTATACCAAGATATTTATTTTTTATTTTATTTATTTATTTTTTTTGAGACAGAGTCTTGCTCTGTCACCCAGGCTGGAGTACAGTGGCGCGATCTTGGCTCACTGCAAGCTCCGCCTCCCGGGTTCACGCCATTCTCCTGCCTCAGCCTCCCGAGTAGCTGGGACTACAGGCGCCCACCACCATGCCCAGCTAGTTTTTTTTGTATTTTTAGTAGAGATGGGGTTTCACCATGTTAGCCAGGATGGTCTTGATCTCCTGACCTCATGATCTGCCTGCCTCGGCCTCCCAAAGTGCTGGGATTACAGGTGTGAGCCACCACGCCCGGCCCTAAGAGATTTATTTTAAGGAATTGTTTCATGGGATTATGGATACCAACGAGATCTGCAGTCAGCAAGCCGGAGGCCCAGGAGAGCTGGTGGTGTGGTTTTATTCTACAGGCCATCAGGCCACCAGGCAGAAGGAGTTCCCTCTTCCTCACCGGAGGGTCACCCTTTTTCTTCTCTTCAGGCCTTCTGCTGATTGGATGATGCCCATCCACACTGGGGAGGGCCATCTGCTTTACTCAGTCCACCAGTTCAATGCTCATTTCACCCAGAAACCCTCACAGACACACCCAGAATAATGCTTGACCAAGTGTCTGGGCACTCAGGCCCAGTCCAGCTGGCATATACAATTAGCCATCACACTTAGGTTGCTTCCACCTTGTAGCTGTTGGGAATAATGCTACTGTGAACATGGGTGTCATAAACTTCGTTTTGCTAGGAAGCGTTTCCTTAGTCACCCCCAACTATGTTCTTTCCTTATTCTGCCTTTCATCATCTGACATTATTTGTCCTGAGTCTTTGTCCTTCTCCCTTTTCTACCCTCTCCCCCTACTGTGGTTCTGAGAAGAATTTAATGCAGTTTACTCAGTGCATTTGTTTTCAATGCATGTTGCTTTATAAATGTTCTCAGGTGGGTGGAGGGCATGGTGCATGGACCTTCTTTTTCCTGGGACCCTAGCCCCTTCTCCCTGGGCCTTGAGAAGGCTTTGTCTGGAAGTGCTCAGAGTGGCATCCCTCCCTCCCTTCCTCTTCCAAGGAGATCCTGCTGGGCTCCCATCTTTAGGGCTCCTTGTCCTTAGTTGTGTTCTGGGCTCGTGCATAGAGCTGCTCTGCTTCCATGATGATTCTCCTCCTAGTTCTCTGTTAGGACCTAACATGGTGGTCAGTCTAACAGTCTCCTAGTGACCACTGTATGATGGTGACTGCACTCTTGCCTCATTATTAGCTAAACTGGAATGCTAGCTGGCCATTTCCATCCTGTATCATTCCATACTTTGTCTTGAAATCCTAGATAAAAGACTTGAACCACCACCCTGCTCACAGCACCCATTATACAGATGAGAAAACTAAGGCTTGGCAAGGGGAGTCACATGATGCTAGGGGAGGACTTTCCCCCAGCACCACACAGCCTCTTTTGACCTTCAGGGAATGGGTTGAGAATATTGGTTGGTTCTGGCTGCCATTCTTGTATGGTTTTGTGTTCCCTTTTCCTTTTTTTTCTATTTTTACCTGGGCTGAAAAGTCGATGACATAGTTTTTTCAGACTTTGTCTCTGAGGCCAGTTAGAAGTATATTTTACCTTGCAACCCAATGGATACACACAACTGAAACACTGTCTACCCTTATTTTCTGTCATGTATTCTGATATTTTCTATTCTATTTTATTATACAGTAGTCCCCCCTTATCAGCAGGGGACATGTTCCAAGATCCCCAGTGGACGCCTGAAGCCACAGATAGTACTGAACCCTGTATATACTATGCGTGAATTTTTTTTCCTTCTTCACAATTTCACGGATAGAAGATTTGTTCTTACAGGAGATCTTAGCAACCTCAGCATGCAATTTATTTTCTTTGTAAGTCAAGAGCTTTCACCTTTTCACTTAAAGCTGGCCAGGTGCAGTGGCTCACACCTGTAATCCCAGCACTTTTGGGAGGCTGAGGCAGGTGGATCACTTGAGGTCAGGAGCTCGAGACCAGCCTGGCCAACATGATGAAACTGTCTCTACTAAAAATACAAAAATTAGCTGAGTGTGGTGGTGCATGCCTGAAGTCCCAGCTACTTGGGAGGCTGAGACAGGAGAATCACTTGAACCTGGGAGGTGGAGGTTGCAGTGAGCCGAGATTGCACCAGTGCACTCTAGCCTGGTGACAGAGCAAGACTCTGTCTCAAAAAAAGAAAGCACTTTATGGCTTCTCTTTGGCATATCTGAATTGCCAACATCACTACTCTTGCTCTGTGGAGTCATAATGAAGTCAAATATGGGTTACTTGAATACAAGCACTGTGATACAACTATAGTGAACTGATAACCAAGACAGCTACGGACAGCTACTGAAAGACTAATGGGACGTTAGTGCATACAGTGTGGATATACTGCACAAAGGGATAATCTGCATCCTGGGCAGCACTGAATGGGACATAGCAAGATTTTATCATGCTACTCGGAATGGTACACTATTTAAAAACTTATGAATTATTTCTGGAATTTTCCATTTAATATTTTTGGACTGTAGTTGACCACAGGTAACTGAAACCATTGTGGATAAGGGTGGACTACTGCATTTAATTTAAAGAAATCCTAGTTCCAGCCCACTACATTGGGTTTAGGACTCATAATGGGTTGAAATTTTGATCTGAAATATATTGTTGTGTCATATCCATCGCTCCATCCTCTTCCATAGTATATCATTTCATTATTTCTTTCCTCAAACTTGGCCATGGCCTCTTTTTTTAAAACAAGAGACAGGGTCTCACTCTGTTCCCCAGGCTTGAGTGCAATAGTGCCGTCATAGCTTACTGCAGCCTCAAATTCCTGGGCTCACGCGATCCTCCCACTTGAGCCTCCCAAGTAGGTAGGACTACAGGTGTGCACTGCCACGCCCAGCCAATTTTTAAATTTTTTTGTAGAGATGGGGTCTCATCACGTTGCTGAGGCTGGTCTCAAACTCCTGGCCTCAAGTGATCCTCCTTAATTGGCCTCCCAAAGTTCTGGGATTACAGGCATGAGCCACCGTGCCCAGCCACCATGGCCTCTCTTGATCCCAAACCGTCATGGGCTGTTCCCTCTTCCTGCAGTGCTCGTTCTATCTTTAACCTGCAGTACTTGCCTCACTGACTCCTCTTCATCCTTGGCCTCAACTCCTTTCTTCAGGGAGGGTCTTGCTCACCCCTCACTGTAAACTCCCACAGCTCCTTGCTTTTTTTTTTTTTTTTTTTTTTTTTGAGACCATCTCCCTCTGTTACCCAGCTAGAGTGCAGTGGTGTGATCACAGCTCACTGCAGCCTCGACCTCCTGCCTTTCCCCTGCTGAATGACTGTCTTCCCCATTAGAGAGAGCTCGCGAGGGCGGGTGCTCTGATGCCTTACTCTCTGTTGAATTTCAAAACTGTTTGTAGAATTGAGTTGAAAGGAATGCCTTTCCCCCCTTTCTGGATGTCACTGGGATGTCCTGTGTAACCTCTTCTTCCTTCCATCTTTCCATCCTTGCCCTTCCTAGTTCTTGGCACAGCTGAAGATCATGGACTACAGCCTGCTGGTGGGCATCCACGACGTGGACCGGGCAGAGCAGGAGGAGATGGAGGTGGAGGAGCGGGCAGAGGACGAGGAGTGTGAGAATGATGGGGTGGGTGGCAACCTACTCTGCTCCTATGGCACACCTCCGGACAGCCCTGGCAACCTCCTCAGCTTTCCTCGGTTCTTTGGTCCTGGGGAATTCGACCCCTCTGTTGACGTCTATGCCATGAAAAGCCATGAAAGTAAGTCAGAGCCTGCGCCTGCTCTGCACAGCCCTGCCCTCATCCTACCCCCTCAGCTCATTGTTTAGATCCTTCTAGGGGCATCTGGACCTCCACCTCATTCATTGCTGCCTTTGACCTCTTTCTGCCTCCAGATTCCCATCCAGGGTCACCACCTGAACCTGGGGCTCCTCCTCTGCCAGGCTTTCCTATACTTCCCTGCTTGTCCTGGCTGACTGAAGAGTGGTTCTGCTCTGGTTCATGAGATGAACCAAACTTTATTCATACTGTCCTGTCAGCCCCACAGAGTGACTGTGAAGATCCAATAAGATAAGAGCTATGACAGCTGGAAAGGACTCCACTGGTCCTTTTCTCAGCCCCAACATGATAAGGATGGAGCTGAGCCTTGTGTCTGGGGGTTGTAGCAGTGCCCAGCTGCTGTCTGCCCTTCTCCTGCCCCCTCTTCCTTCTTCCCTGCTCTCCTTGTCCCTCCAGGTTCCCCCAAGAAGGAGGTGTATTTCATGGCCATCATTGATATCCTCACGCCATACGATACAAAGAAGAAAGCTGCACATGCTGCCAAAACGGTGAAACACGGGGTGAGTCCTCTCCATCTTCATCCAGGGCCCAGCTGGGTCGGTGCATCTGTGCTTACCCTCAGACCCCAGGGAGGGCAGTCTCAGGCCTCCTGCTCCAAGGAACACACTCCTGTCTCCTTCTTCCCAGGAGAGCAGACTGGAAGAGCAGCCTGCCTGCCTTGCCATGTTCCCTGCCTTCACCCACCTGCTCCCTGCCAGGCTGGGCCCAATTTGTTTATCCCCCAGTTCTCCAGCCCTCGGGGCCAAGCCTGCCAGTGTCTTTCCCCAGGGCCTGCTGGGCCTGTTGTGCATCTTGTTGAAGGGCGAGTAATAGCTTTGTTTCCATGCCCATACTGCTCCCCACAGGCCTGTTTCCCTGTGGGCCTGAAGCCCTGTTCTCCATGTAGTGGCCCCCACAGAGATCCAGAGCCGCGTTGCCACCTCCCCACTGCCTTTCTTCTACTTCGGTGCAGGCCTGGGGTTATAAATCACAGGAGTGGGGCCAGGACAGTTCAGGACTTGTATGCCACTTCCTGAGGTGGTCTGCTCAGTCTTGGTGGGGTTGGGGGTGGTATTCAGCTCTGATACTGAGTAAGAGGCTTCTGAATACCCTGGCTCCCCCCATGTGCAGCCTCCTGATTGGGGCACAGGAACTCAACCTGAATCAGCCTCTTGTGTATTACAGGCAGGGGCCGAGATCTCGACTGTGAACCCTGAGCAGTACTCCAAACGCTTCAACGAGTTTATGTCCAACATCCTGACGTAGTTCTCTTCTACCTTCAGCCAGAGCCAGAGAGCTGGATATGGGGTCGGGGATCGGGAGTTAGGGAGAAGGGTGTATTTGGGCTAGATGGGAGGGTGGGAGCAGAGTCGGGTTTGGGAGGGCTTTAGCAATGAGACTGCAGCCTGTGACACCGAAAGAGACTTTAGCTGAAGAGGAGGGGGATGTGCTGTGTGTGCACCTGCTCACAGGATGTAACCCCACCTTCTGCTTACCCTTGATTTTTTCTCCCCATTTGACACCCAGGTTAAAAAGGGGTTCCCTTTTTGGTACCTTGTAACCTTTTAAGATACCTTGGGGCTAGAGATGACTTCGTGGGTTTATTTGGGTTTTGTTTCTGAAATTTCATTGCTCCAGGTTTGCTATTTATAATCATATTTCATCAGCCTACCCACCCTCCCCATCTTTGCTGAGCTCTCAGTTCCCTTCAATTAAAGAGATACCCGGTAGACCCAGCACAAGGGTCCTTCCAGAACCAAGTGCTATGGATGCCAGATTGGAGAGGTCAGACACCTCGCCCTGCTGCATTTGCTCTTGTCTGGATTAACTTTGTAATTTATGGAGTATTGTGCACAACTTCCTCCACCTTTCCCTTGGATTCAAGTGAAAACTGTTGCATTATTCCTCCATCCTGTCTGGAATACACCAGGTCAACACCAGAGATCTCAGATCAGAATCAGAGATCTCAGAGGGGAATAAGTTCATCCTCATGGGATGGTGAGGGGCAGGAAAGCGGCTGGGCTCTTGGACACCTGGTTCTCAGAGAACCCTGTGATGATCACCCAAGCCCCAGGCTGTCTTAGCCCCTGGAGTTCAGAAGTCCTCTCTGTAAAGCCTGCCTCCCACTAGGTCAAGAGGAACTAGAGTACCTTTGGATTTATCAGGACCCTCATGTTTAAATGGTTATTTCCCTTTGGGAAAACTTCAGAAACTGATGTATCAAATGAGGCCCTGTGCCCTCGATCTATTTCCTTCTTCCTTCTGACCTCCTCCCAGGCACTCTTACTTCTAGCCGAACTCTTAGCTCTGGGCAGATCTCCAAGCGCCTGGAGTGCTTTTTAGCAGAGACACCTCGTTAAGCTCCGGGATGACCTTGTAGGAGATCTGTCTCCCTGTGCCTGGAGAGTTACAGCCAGCAAGGTGCCCCCATCTTAGAGTGTGGTGTCCAAACGTGAGGTGGCTTCCTAGTTACATGAGGATGTGATCCAGGAAATCCAGTTTGGAGGCTTGATGTGGGTTTTGACCTGGCCTCAGCCTTGGGGCTGTTTTTCCTTGTTGCCCCGCTCTAGACTTTTAGCAGATCTGCAGCCCACAGGCTTTTTTGGAAGGAGTGGCTTCCTGCAGGTGTTCCACCTGCCTTCGGAGCCTGCCACCCAGGCCCTCAGAACTGAGCCACAGGCTGCTCTGGCCAGGAGAGAAACAGCTCTGTTGTTCTGCATTGGGGGAGGTACATTCCTGCATCTTCTCACCCCCTCAACCAGGAACTGGGGATTTGGGATGAGATATGGTCAGACTTGTAGATAACCCCAAAGATGTGAAGATCGCTTGTGAAACCATTTTGAATGAATAGATTGGTTTCCTGTGGCTCCCTCCAAACCTGGCCAAGCCCAGCTTCCGAAGCAGGAACCAGCACTGTCTCTGTGCCTGACTCACAGCATATAGGTCAGGAAAGAATGGAGACGGCATTCTTGGACTTCACTGGGGCTGCTGGATTGGATGGGAAACCTTCTGGAAGAGGCAGATGGGGGTCAAACCACTGCCTTGGCCCCAGGAAGGGGCCATAGGTAGGTCTGAACAACTGCCGCAAGACCACTACATGACTTAGGGAACTTGAAACCAACTGGCTCATGGAGAAAACAAATTTGACTTGGGAAAGGGATTATGTAGGAATAATGTTTGGACTTGATTTCCCCACGTCATAATGAAGAATGGAAGTTTGGATCTGCTCCTCGTCAGGCGCAGCATCTCTGAAGCTTGGAAAGCTGTCTTCCAGCAGCCTCCGTGGCCTCGGGTTCCTACCGGCTTCTCTGCATTTGGTCTGCTGATCATGTTGCCATAATGTGTATGGAAAGTGTAACACATTCTTACTGGTTAAAGACGACTACCAGGTATCTAACTTGTTTAACATTGAGTTTGTGTGTGTGTGTGTATGTTTGTGTGTTTTGTATATTGTTTACATTTTGAGAGGTAGCATTCTGTTTCAAATGCTTTTTGTTTTTCTGACAGTATTGTTGACTGGGTCATAACATTTTGAGCTGTGGTTTGGTGGATTTTCAATTTTTTTTTTTAAAGGTCATTCGCTGTGCTATCTTCAAAACCTTGAGTTTGGCCCCCAATTTTTGGCATTCAAATGTTTAAAAGCTATTTATCTTGGTTTATACAAGTTTCCTTTCTCTTCTTTTTGTCATGGTATTCTATTTGGTCTGCAGTTTGAATGTAGAGAAAGTGGACTGATCCCCCAAGCGTTGTCTGCCCCCACTCTTTCCTCCTTGGGTCCCGCCATTCTTTTACTGGGCAGTCGAGGGCATTGGAGGGGAAGTGACTGCCCTCAGCCTCACTCCCTGGGGCCATGAAGAAAAGCTAAACAGTCTCATGGCATCTCAGAATAATGTTGGGTCTCCCAAGAAGAAAGGTGTAAGAATAACGACATGGCTGATTAGGCGAGGCCAGGATAGGGCTAAGGCCAGGATTCCTGGCTGGCATCCAGTCACCCCTTCTCCCATCCTTCCCCCTCTTCTTCCACAAGTCCGCAGCCGAGACACTGTAGTCTCCCAGCCACAGTGATGAGTGCCCTGGAGACTCCACTGACCTCTAGATGAAGGCCCCTGGCCCTGGTTCCTGTTAATTAACCTCTGGGTCTTTGAGTCCCCCAGCACAAACTTCTTTCCTGTACCCTGCGGCTTGGGGTCACAGGGCATGCCGGGAAGCCACAGCTGAGGGGCGCAGACTGAAGCAGTGCTCCACCTCTCCTTCTTTAGCTCAGGGGTTGCTGGTCTGTGGCAGGCGCCACGAGTGGCCCCTGTGGCTGTTCTCAGTGGCAGTCTCTTAAGTTCCCACCACAGGCAGCTCTTTATCCCCTCTCCCTACTTGACTCTTTCTCTTGCCTGTGCTTTTGGCCTCAAACAGGCCTGCTGGTAGCGCTCAGGGCGTGAGGCTACACTCCTGCCCTGCCTTTCCTGTCTTCATGGTCTGCCAGGGCATACCTTGGGGAGGTGGACCAAAGACCCAGGACTTTTTGCAGTAGCCAGTCCTACCCCCCAGTTGTCTTTTTACCAATTCAGGGTGGGAGAGAAAACTGCAGCACCCCAGCATGTGAGTTACTCAGGTGTTGGGGGCTAGAAGGGACAGTGCGTTTAAACAACACTCAGAGCTCTGGCCTTAAACCTGTGGCCCCCCAAGTCTAGGAGCCTCATCTCTTCCTGGCAGTCATGCGGGCAGGAGGTCCTGAAAGGGAAAACCCATTCAGACAACTGTTCCCCAATCTACCAGCCATCTGCAGGGGTCAGTGACCGTGGCCCTCTCCCTCCTCTAGAATGTGCCACTTATGAAGAGTGCCCCATGGGGAAAAGGAGACTCAGCTGTCCCTTGGCAGCTTGTGCCAGTATCCCAGGGCAGAAGTTTCCACAGGAGCCTCTTGCCCTTGCGCAGAGCCACTGTGAGAGGCGGTGGGAGCCAACACCCTTGGGGGAGGGGGCAGTACTGCTCGGCACATCCCAGCATCAGGTCAGATCATTGAAATTAAAAAATGTGAATTAAGTTCATATCCACCTTTTGGGGAAGCAGGACAAACCACCACCCCACCAAGTGTGTGACTTCTCCATATCCCACTGCAGTTTCCATTTTTTAAATGGGAATTTTCAATCCCCTGTGCTTGTCTAACGTCTGCTTTAAAAAGTTTGAGACCCTGTTACTGTTTGAAAATGCATGCATGTTACGATGAATCTCCAACCTGAGGAAAAAAATAAAACTCAAAAAGCTTTGTGTACATCTGTTATGTGTGAGTCCTTGGGAAATGAACCTTTTTTTTTTCTTCCCAGAATTAAAAAGTTTTGGTCCTAGCTTTAGAGGCAGCTTCGGCTAAATCAATGTATGGCTTGAGTTTGGAGAAAGAATATGGTCAATGACATCCCGCTTTCAGATGCAATTAATAAACAGTGGTTAAAAGCACAGCACCACTGGCTGGGTTTGGTGGCTCACGCCCAGTACTTGGGGAGGCCAAGGCAGGAGGATCACTTGAGCCCAGAAGTTCAGTACCGGTCTGGGTAACATAGTGAGACCCCGTCTCTACAAAACAAGAATTAGCTGGATGTGATGGCACATGTCTGTAGTCCCAGCTACTCAGGAGGCTGAGGCAGGAGGATCACTTGAGCTTGGGAGGTTGAGGCTGCAGTTAGCCATGATTGCACCACAGCACTCCAGCCCTAGCAACAATGAGACTCTTAAGGAAAAAACAAACAAAACACCACAGCACCAGAGCCAATCTGCCTGTTAGCTGTTACTACCATGCACATGGAAGAATGGACAACCCCCCCCCCGCCCCCCCGCCTCCAGCTGTGTAGAACGAACTCTGGCTAGGAGCCACTCACCTGACATAACTTTGAACATGTCACCTCTGTGCACCTCATCTACTGCATCTGGGCATTTAGCTTAAAACCCAGTAGTTCTCAAAGTGTGGTCTTGGACCAGCAGTGTCATTAGCACCTGGGAGTCAGAAATGTAAATTCTCAGGTTCCAACCCAGATCTACTGAATCAAACTTTTAATGAGCCCTCCAGGTGATTGTGATGGGGGCTAACGTTTGGGAACCACTCTGCTATGCAAACTTTCTACTTGCTTATTAGGCCATCTATGTACTGCAGATTGCAAGCTGGAATCACTTGGGGAATTCTGGAAAAGACAGGTACCCAGGCCCCTAAAAGGCCAATTGGAATCTCAAGGGGTGGGATCAAGGTATGTGTTTTAGGAATTCCACAGGTGACTAATGAGCTGGCCAGGTTAAGAAACACTAATCTAGACTACTTATGGGTACTTGACCAAATTTCTACCTGAAGCAATAAAAGATGTAAGGGTTTTCCCGTAGAGTTTGAGTGAAAAGGATTCTAAGCTCTGGCATCAATGGAACATGAGTTTATGTCCTGGCTTTATCACTTATTAAAGTAGACTTGGGTAAGTTATTTAACTGTCCTTCTTCTCCAAACAAGGATAATCTCAACTACCTTGAGTCATTATGATGAATAAATTCTAGATCGTGTAAAGCACTTGTGTGGGGCCTAGCACACAGGGAGCATGCAGCAAGTGACATGTGGATTGTCCCCACTGGCACGCACTGATGGAGTAGAGCACGAGCCAGAAAGCAAGCCGAGGGCCAGGCCACACACACTTGAGTGGCTGGCTGTAGCTGCCCAGCTAGGGCAGAGATCTGCAGGAAAGCATCAAAGACAAAAGCAGGAGTGAAAGACAGGCTATTTTATTTCAAAAAAAGAAAAAAAAGTGGGCTCTGGGAACAGGGTTAGTCCATTCGGGCCTTCAGTGTCCTGGTGGTGATTTTGTCCTTCTCGCTGCAGAGGGAGAAAATCACAAGAAAACATCTCTACCCATCTGGACCGTGACTGTGACTAGCTCTCCTGGCCCTCAGCACCAAGCCCTCAAGCCCTGCGGCAAGGGAGCAGAACAAATAGCTGCCCGCTGCCTCTAGGTGTAACTATCCTGCTCTAGTTCATTCCTGCTAGCTCATCTCCTCCGCCTGTGGTGAGGAAGGAGGGATAGGAACAGAGACCTGGGCCGACTTTCCACAGGTGGAACCACCTCAGGGAGGCTTTCCCAGAAAATGATTCAGGGCCAGACTTCACAGCTCTCAAAAGAAGGGAAGGAGCTTGGCCGGGCGCGGTGGCTCATGCTTGCAATCCCAGCACTTTGGGAGGCCTGAGGCAGGCGGATCACGAGGTCAGGAGTTCAAGACCAGCCTGACCAACATGGTGAAACCCCGTCTCTACTAAAAATACAAAAATTAGCTGGGCATGGTGGCACGTGCCTGTAATCCCAGCTACTCAGGAGGCTGAGGCAGGAGAATCACTTGAACCCAGGAGGCAGAGGTTTGCAGTGAGCTGAGATAGTGCCATTGCACTCCAGCCTGGGCGACAGAATGAGACTCCATCTCAAAAAAAAAAAAAAAAAAAAAAGGGGGAAGAAGCTCCTCCAAGCCTAGAGAACAAGCCACTTAGGAAGGAGAAGGTGTGGTGTGTTTCACCCCAAAGAACATAAAAAAAAACCGTCGGTGGTAAATTCTGTTTTTTGGGTTTTTTGTTTTTGTTTTTGTTTTTTTTGAGACAGAGTCTCACTGTGTTGCCCAGGCTGGAGTGCAATGGCGTGATCTTGACTAACTGCAACCTCTGCCTCCCAGGTTCAAGCAATTCTCCTTCCTCAGCCTCCCTAGTAGCTGGGATTACAGGCACGTGACACCACGTCTGGCTAATTTTATGTATCTTTAGTAGAAACGGGGTTTCGCCATGTTAGGCTGGTCTCAGACTCCTGACCTCAAGTGATCTGCCCACCTCAGCCTCCCAAAGTGCTGGGATTACAGGCGTGAGCCAACGCGCCTGGCCAAATACTATTTCACGGTAATTAAGCAGGCTATCCCCCAAAAGGGTCCAAATGCTTATCCTGCAATGTAGGAAAGTGGTTGGAAGGATACCTCCTACTCTATCCAATCAGGTTCCTGGTGATGGCCCCAAACAAGTAAAAGGACAAGGAGGATGGCACTTAGGGAGTTGGCTGAGGCTTGGAAATTGGTCTCTAGAGCTCAGAACATCACACAGATCTGGGCTGGAGAGAGGATGCGAGCCACCTAGAATTTCAATCCATCTGCAGTAGCTTTGTTGTGGCTCACCCCAACACGGATCCCTGAGACTTCGGAGACATTGTTAAGGAAGAAATGTCTCTTGTGAGCACGGGGTCACAGAACCTCACCTGACAAGAGGCCAGAGGAAGCTGGGTAGGCTGCCAGTTACCAGCCATAGGGAGGCATGGACTTTTGCTCACCCAGGACTGCCAAAAGCACCTTTCTTATCTCACACCTGACCAGGGGGCTGGGAAAATGGGGTGTATGCTCGTGGAGAAGGGAGAGAGGCAGGGTGTCTGCAGAGCTTCTAGACTTCTCCCAGCCCATACTCACATGATGTGGACAATGACTCCCATGCCTGACACTGCATCCCGGTCCACAGCATTCAGCATGGCTTGGGAGATGGTTTCAAACAGGTGATCCGGATCCTGCCAACAGAGTGGAACCCCTTCAAACCACAGCCTCTGGCTCTGATTTGGTCTGGTCCCTTAACTCTCTTTTTTCTAGGCTCAAGATTCCCAGCTCTGGCCCCAAGACATGCCTGAAGTAAGGGATGATTCCCAGGATGTGGGAAGCCCCTCTCAGCTCCTTCCTTGGAAGGAAGCAGAATTATGTAAAGGAAAGTGAAAGAGACTTCAAGCCCTGAATTTCTTTTACTAATCAGCAGTGTGACATTGGGCAAATAGTATGTCTCTCTTCACTGAGCCTCAGTTTCTCTGTAAAATAGGGAGAAGAATCCCTATTTAGCTCCAGTGTGCTTTAGCAGCTGTCTGATGGGCTCTGATCCTGGATATCTTAACAGGTACCTCAAAACCCAACCTGTCCAACCACAAACCCACTTCCCCCAAACCTGTTCCTTCTACATTCTGTCTTGGCTAGCCTAGCTGGAGAACCCAGCCATCCTCTGTCTCTACATCCTTCGCTTCTGTTTTAAGTGACTAAGTCCCCTTGACAGCTGCCTTCCTGCCTCCCCACTGCCACTGTCTTTGCTCAGGACCTCAGCGCCTCCTGCAGGCGGTAACAGCCTGTCACGTCCACCTAAAGGCACCTGATTCCCTAGGTTCCTATGGCAGAGGACAGAGTTCAAACTCCTTGGCATGGCATTCAAGGCCCTTTGAGGTCTCATCTCAGTCTCCAGCATCATTTCTCCCCATGTTTAACCCACACTCCAGCCAGGCTCAGCTCTCCAGTCACTGAGCATACCTGCCCCTTCCTGTACCTTTGCCCCCAGACCCTTTCTTTCCTCCTCTTCCCAACAAACTGCAGTTCAACAGGTATTTGGATGTGTCTTGCTTCACTGGACTGCAGTGGGCCCTTGAAAGCAGACTGTACCTGCTTTCCCCAGTGGCCGGAAGAGCTGGCACTTAATAACGACAGCCGACCCTCGCCGTCAAGCACTATCTCATCTCTTCTCACTTGTTTTTGTGCTCGCTTCGGCAGCACATATACTCATTTGTTTTCCTCAGCACCACTTTTTTTTTTTTTTTTTTGAGACGGAGTTTAGCTCTTGTTGCCCAGGCTGGAGTGCAATGGCACGATCTTTGTTCACCGCAACCTCCGCCTCCCAGGCTCAAGCGATTCTCCTCAGCCTCCCGAGTAGCTGGGATTACAGGCATGCACCACCATGCCCGGCTAATTTAACTTTTTTTTTAGTAGAGACGGGGTTTCTCCATGTTGGTCAGGCTGGTCCTGAGCTCCAAACCTCAGGTGATCTGCTTGCCTCAGCCTCCCAAAGTGCTGGGATTACAGGCGTGAGCCACCGCGCCCGGCTTCCTCAGCACCACTTCTAAGGCAGACTTTTTTATCCTCATTTTACAGTCAAGGTAGTGGAGGCAGAGAGGGAAACTGGCTTCTCCAAGAACAATAACTAAGGTGGTGGGTGGATCCAGGTTGCCAACCCAGACAACCTGTTGAGCTGCCTCTAACCCTACACTGAGTTAAATGTTTGCTCAGTGAATGGATGCGAGAACCCTGTAAACCCAATGTAAGGAATTCTTACTGCTGTGGCAAATATCTAACTGTGGTCTCCTAACAGAAGATGCTCTCCTCTGGAGCCAGCCAGCCAGCCTGGCAGATGGAATTTCTGGATACCCTTCCAAGGAGCAGCAGCTGTGGCTTTCTCTCCCACCTGCACCATTCTCCCCATTACCTGCCACATAAACACACTTTTTTCCTAATGACCAAGGGTGGGTAACTCAGAGCCCAGCCCCTCTCCATGCCACCAACGTACCATGTTGGGCTCCCAGAGGGACTCACACATTCCGTACATTTGTTCGGCGCAGGTGCCACTGACCACAAAGTCATCAGTCACCATGGGGCAGCCGATGAGGTCTAGAGAGCAAATGAAGGGCTTAAAGGTCTTCGGGTCCAACCCGGCAATGACTGGCTCAGTGTAGTAAGGGCCAAACCTGTGGGGGCCAGCATCAGAGAGAGAAACCAGAACTCAAGAACGCTCGCTTTCATGTTTAAGCCTATTCAGACAAGGCCCCGGCCTAGACCCAGACCCAAAGGGAAATGGAGGACCTGTTTAGGAAGATCACCTTTCCCTGAGGCCAGCTCCCTCTCCCTTCTCCTGCCAGCTAGAAATATTCTAAGACTTTTCCACTTTCTTTTCTTCAACACTTACCTTTCTATCCTTCTCACCTCTGACCCTCTTGTGCTCCTTCTTTCTTTCAGAATTGTTTTCTTCTAATCCTCCCTCTCCTCACCCAAGGTCCTACCATCACTCAGTCCTCTATGTGTATGTTTATACCTCTACTCCTTTAGAGAAAAGATTGGAGGCAGTTTATATGAAAAACACTGAAAAATAAAACTAAACCATTAAAACATAATACAAGATAACTCAGACTGAACACAAAGTTTTGTTTTGAGCCCCCTAGCAGGCAAGGCAAAGAGGGATACTCAGTGGCTGGGTTACTCTCATTGTCAAAAGGAAATGGCAGCTCATCAGAAACTTGTTCTAGACACTGATCTTTAAGAAAAATCAGTCTTGGGCCAGGCGCGGTGGCTCACACCTGTAATCTCAGCACTTTGGGAGGCCGAGGTGGGTGGATCACCAGGTCAGGAGATCGAGACCTTCCTGGCTAACACGGTGAAACCCCCTCTCTACTAAATATACAAAAAAAAATTAGCTGGGCATGGTGGCGGGTGACTATAGTCCCAGCTACTCAGGAGGCTGAGGCAGGAGAATGGCATGAACCCGGGAGGCGGAGCTTGCAGTGAGCCGAGATCGCGCCACTGCACTCCAGCCTGAGCGACAGAGCGAGACTCCATCTCAGAAAAAAAGAAAAGAAAAGAAAAAAAAAAAAGAAAAATCAGTCTTAGGGATCTTTATGTACAGATGATGGTCCCTGACTTATGATGGTTCAACTTAAAATTTTTCAACTTTATGATGGTGCAAAAGCAACAGGCATTCAGTGGAAACTATGCTTTGAAATTTGATCTTTTCCCAGGCTAGCAATTTGTGGTACCAAACCCACTCCTGATGCTGGGCAGTGACAATGAGCCGCAGCTCCCAGTCAGCCACACAATCACCAGAGGAAACAACAGATACTTTACACTGTTCTGCTGTGAGCAATTTTTGGATATAGTGTTTTGTGTATTTGCATCCTATGTCTACAAAATACCCATTTCAACTTACAATATTTTAAACTTATAACAGTTTATAAGGTAAGGAATATCTATAAAATACCAAATAACAAATGGCCAATATCCTCAGTAGAAAGAGTCAGTAAAAGAGACGTTATCCATATGTCTTATTGGATCACAGTCATTTCTTTCTTTCTTTCTTTTTTTGAGACAGTCTTGCTCTGTCGCCCAGGCTGGAGTGCAGTGGTGCGATCTTGGCTCACTGCAAGCTCTGCCTCCTGGGTTCGAGCCATTCTCCTGCCTCAGCCTCCTGAGTAGCTGGGACTACAGGTGCCCGCCACCATGCCCAGCTAATGTTTTGTATTTTTAGTACAGACGGGGTTTCACCGTGTTAGCCAGGATGGTCTCAATCTCCTGACCTTGTGATCCACCCACCTCGGCCTCCCAAAGTGCTGGGATTACAGGCGTGAGCCAATGCTCCAGGCCTGGATCACAGTCATTTCTAAGGGCATGATCTTCAGTTATAGCTCTAAATAGAAACACACACACATACACACGCACAGTTCAAGATTACAGGCATGAGCCACCATGAAAATAACTTTTTTAGGCCAGGCATGATGGCTGACGTTTGTAATCTCAGCACTTAGGGAGGAGGCCAAGGCTGGAGGACTGCTTGAGCCTAGGCATTCAAGACCAACCTGGGCAACAAAGTGAGACCCCTGTCTCTACAAAAAAATTTAAAAATTAGCCAGGCATGGTGGCATGCACCTATGGTCCCAGCTACTTGGGAGGCTGAGGCAGGAGGATTGCTTGCACCCAGGAGGCAAAGGTTGCAGTGAGCCATGATCGCACCACTGCACTCCAGCCTGGGCGAAAGAGTGAAACTCTCAAAAAAATAATAATAATAAAATAAAAAATAAAAATAATAAAATAAATGTCTTACTCTTATTGAAAAGAAAAAAAATACATTAGGTGACCTGAAAAATTCTGGATTCTTAGCTACTATTGACGGGAGCTTCCTCTATGAGCCCATCTGAAATCAGTGATTTTTCTGGCAGGACAGGCTGAGGCATTGAACTGCAAACCTGAGCAATGTCCAGACCCTTTTTAAAATCTGGACCCCAGAGATACCATCTACGCACCTCTGTCTGAAACACTGCAGTAAAAGTTACTTCAGATGGTAACTCGGCATCAGCATAATAGGAAGTTCAAACACAGGCCCTGAGCTGTGTTATAGTATTTGGTTTTAAGGTTCTTATCCAGATAATCCCAGATATTATTAACTTTTTTTTTCGTTGGCTGGGCGCAGTGGTTCATGCTTGTAATCCCAGCACTTTGGGAGGCTGAGGTGGGCGGATCATGAGGTCATGAGTTTGAGACCAGCCTGGCCAACATGATGAAACCTTGTCTCTACTAAAAATTAAAAAATTAGCCAGGTGCAGTGGCAGGCGCCTATAATCCCAGCTACTCAGGAGGCTGAGGCAAGTTGCTCACAGCAACCTCCACCACCCAGGTTCAAGCGATTCTCCTGCCTCAGCTTCCCAAGTAGCTGGGATTACCGGTGTGTGCCACCACGCCCAGCTAATTTTTGCATTTTTATTAGAGATGGGGTTTCACCATGTTGACCAGGATGGTCTTGATCTCCTGACCTCGTGATCCGCCCACCTTGGCCTCCCAAAGTGCTGGGATTACAGGCATGAGCCACCACGCCCGACCTATTTTTTATTTCTTTTGAGACTAAGTCTCACTCTGTCACCAAGGCTGGAGTACAGTGGCATGATCTTGGCTCACTACAACCTCTGCCTCCCAAGTTCAACAATTCTCATGCTTCAGCTTCCCGAGTGGCTGGGATTACAGGCGTGCACCACCACACCCAGCTAATTTTTGTATTTTTAGTAGAGATGAGGTTTCACCATGTTGACCAGGCTGGTCTCGAACTCCTGACCTCAAGTGATCCACCTTCCTTGGCCTCCCAAAGTACTGGGATTACAGGCATGAGCCACCACGCCCAGCAAGCCATTTAATATACATCCAAATATGAGTTAATTGTTACAACTTTATAAGACTTTTTGCAGGGCGCAGTGGCTCATGCCTGTAATCCCAGCACTTTGAGAAGCGGAGGCAGTAGATCAGTTGAGGTCAGGAGTTCAAGACCAGCCCGACCAGCGTGGTGAAACCTTGTCTCTACTAAAAAAAAAAAAAAAAAAAAAAAAAAATTAGCCAGGTGTGATGGCACACACCTGTAATCCCAGCTACTCAGGAGGCTGAGGCAGGAAAATCACTTGGACCCGGGAGGTGGAGATTGCAGTGAGCCGTGATTGCACACCAGGGCGACAGAGCAAGACACCATCTCAAAAAAAAAAAAAGAAAAAGTTTTTGAAAGCTAAAGGGTATTTTTACAAATTACAAAAATTACTTCAAAATAAAAAGTTAAAAGAAAAGAAAAAAAAAGAGATCAGGCCAGGCATGGTGGCTCATGCCTATAATAGGACTTTGGGAGGCCAAGGTAGGTGGATCACCTGAGGTCAGGAGTTCGAGACCAGCCTGACCCACATGTTGAAACTCTGTCTCTACTGAAAATACAAAAATTAGCCGGGTGTGGTGATATGGACCTGTGGTCCCAGCTACATGGCAGGCTGAGGCAGAAGAATCGATTGAACCTGGGAGGTGGAGGTTGCAGTGAGCCGAGATCACGCCACTGCACTCCAGCCTGGGTGACAGAGCAAGACTCCGTCTCAAAAAAAAAAGAAAAAGAGAGCTCAACTTATATTCTGGCCACCCAGGTTTGCCCAGAGGTAGAAAGCACCCACAGGGTTTCCTTTCAATTCCATCCTAGATTTCTGCACTAAATTCTACAGTTAGGCCCCTTGTTTCTCACCATAAAGCCCTCAAGGAGAACTGACGAAAATGAACACCCCATTCCTAGGCTCCCTGCTATTCCCAAGAAGCCAGTGCTGACAGAATAGCTCTAGGGCAAGAGTGGCTCCTGCTGGGAGACCCCAGAACACTCTGGTGGGACTAACTCTTTTGCCTAGATGCAAATTTATCTGCTATGTGCATTCCTTGCCTTCTTCCAACATAAGTATTTTCTTTCCTATCTGGTTGCCAGACAGGCCCAAAGAAAACACACCCATAAAATAAGGATATTATCCTGCAAATAAGAGATGGAAAAACAAGGAGAGTCCTCTTCCTCAGTACCTACTCCATACTACATTCAAAGATGTCTGCATTCCCTCAGTGCTAGCTACACTTGCACTCACCGTTTCTCATACAAGAGGTTGGCCACCATGCTCATGAGGGTATAAGGTTTGATCTGCCGACCTTCCTTCAACTCATACAGGTTCAGCCGGAACTTGAGGCGCTGGGCACTGAGGTAGGAGAAAAGTGAGTTAGTAAGTCATTATTGAATATTCCTGAGTGTCTACCCTGTTGAGGTCAGGGAAACATAAGGAGACATCTCATCTCAGTCCCTGCCCAGGGAAAACTGTAGTCTTACATGTGTTAGGAAGTAGCAACTGGTGCTTGCTTTGGCAGCACACACACACACACACACACACACACACACACATATATATATATATATATATATATTTTTTTTTTTTTTAGACGGAGTCTCACTCGTCGCCCAGGCTGGAGTGCAGTGGCGCAGTCAGTCTCGGCTCACTGCAAGCTCCGCCACCCGGGTTCACGCTATTCTCCTGCCTCAGCCTCTCAAGTAGCTGGGACTACAGGCGCCCGCCACCACTCCCGGCTAACTTTTTGTATTTTTAGTAGAGATGGGGTTTCACGGTGTTAGCCAGGATGGTCTCGATCTCCTGACTTCGTGATCTGCCCACCTTGGCCTCCCAAAGTGCTGGGATTACAGGCGTGAGCCACTACGCCTGGCCAGCAGCACATATATTAAAACTGGAATAATACAGGGAAGATTAGCAGAAGGATGACATGCAAATTTGTGAAGCGTTCCATATTAAAAATGTTTAGGCTGGGCGCAGTGGGTCACACCTGTAATCCCAGCACTTTGGGAGACTGAGGCGGAAGGATTGCTTGAGCTCAGGAGTTCAGCTGTGGGCAACATAGCGAAACCTTGCCTCTTACAATAACTACAAAAATTAGCTGGGCATGGTGGCACACACCTGTAGTCCCAGCTACTTGGGAGGGTGAGGTGGGAGGATCACTTGAGCCTTGGAGGCGGAGGTTGCAGTGAGTTAAGTTTATGTCACCAGCCTGGGTGACAAAAAAAAAAAAAAGGGGGCAGCACCAACTGCTGTGCTATGTGCTAACAGACTTGAAAGATGCCTTAGAAAAAGGCCATTTGGCAGCTCTGGTGAAAAAAGGAAAAAAGGTCACAGCTTGCCAGTTCCATCTCAGAGCCCCAGGATAGGCCCCTGCATAGAGCAGACCAATGCCACACCTGCTGGAGGAAAAGCAATGAGTCTCAGGACACCAGAGCAAAGAGACTTAGAAATGACTTGAGCTTCATCTTCCAGGTAAGGAAACTGAGGCCTAGTGAAATGAGCAGTCATTGCCCAGAAGGAAGCAAACGCAGTGAGAAAAGCCCTCTGAAGAAAAGGAAATGGTGTGAGAACAGCAGTGACTGCAGAAGGGAAGGCTCACGGGAGACTTCACTGACAGGAACCCCAGGATGTCATTCTCTGACTCTACCAGACAGGAAAAAAGGGCAGGCTGGGTGAGATCTCAGTAAGTGTTATGTTCTTGAGACTCAGGGAGTTTTAAGAGAAATGAGAACATTTTCTTTTATTCTTTCTTTTTTTATTTTGTTTGAGACAGAGTCTCGCTCTGTTGCCCAGGCTAGAGTGCAGTGGCACAATTTCAGCTCACTGCAACGTCCGTCTGTCAGGTTCAAGCAATTCTCCAGCCTCAGCCTCCCGAGTAGCTGGGATTACAGGTGCCCACCACCCAGCCTGGCTAATTTTTGTATTTTTAGTAGAGACAGCGTTTCACCATGTTGGCCAGGCTGGTCTGGAACTCCTGATCTCAAGATATCCGCCCACCTCAGCCTCCCAAAGTGTTGGGATTACAGGTGTGAGCCACCGCGCCCAGCCGAAATGAGAACATTTTCTGACAGGCATCCACCCACGCTTGTGAGCTAGTCTCTCCACCTTCTAGGAAACAAATCCAGGACCTGCTGCTCCTCAGGCACCAGTACCCTGCAGGACCTGCCCCCTGTGACCACGTATTCCCTCCTGAAAACCTATCACCGTTCTTTTCCTCTCTTATTCTTCTCTGGCTTCTCTTCGCCCCTCACTGCTAAATGTAACGTTCAGCTCTCAAACTGCCGCTCATTATTTCCCTCCCTACAGACTTTGTCTCTCCAGAATCTGCTCCCATAGATTTGGCACATTGCCAATGCTTCCCCAACCCTGAGATGTAATAACAAAACCCCAACTGCTTGCAAGATGTTTCTATTGGGCTTGTCTTGTCTGCTCAAAATTGTTGTCAAAATCAAAGTCAGGCCAGGTGTGGTGGCTCATGCCTGTAATCCCAGCACTTTGGGAGGCTGAGGCAGGTGGATCACTTGAGGTCAGGAGTTCGAAACTAGCCTGGCCAACATGGTGAAACCCTGTCTCTACTAAAAATACAAAAATTAGCCAGGCATGGTGGTGCGCGCCTGTAGTCCCAGCTACTTAGGAGGCTGAGGCACGAGAATCGCTTGAGCCTGGGAGGTGGAGGTTGCAGTGAGCTGAGATCATGCCACTGAGCTCCAGCCTGGGTGACAGAGCAAGTCCCTGTCTAAAAAAAAAAAAAAGAAAGGGAAGGACATGTTTTTTGGAGGCGGCAAAGTCTCAAACTCACTGGTGGTGTGTGGTAGATGACTGACACCTTGGCCGGTCAAGACGCCGGGGTTGGATGGTCCAAGAAGAGGCCTGGGTGTGGGCGGGGACCCTTGAAACTTACACTGTCTGGACGTCAGTGGCGAGCCCGGCCAGACCGATGTACAGCCGGTCACCCATGGGAAAGATCTTCTGGAAGTCCGTGGTCACCATCTGGGCCTGGATCCCGAAGCGCCTGTCTGCAGCGATGGCCACACAGTTCTTCCCCTTCATGGCCATGACGGCCCCTCCGTTATAGGACATAATAGACTAGGACAGACAGAGCGGAGGGGTCAGCGCGGGGGGTCAAACGCTGCCACAGCCCCCGGCCCAGCTCCTGATGCGGAGGCTCCTGTACGCCCGTTCTCCATTCCGGAGGCGTCTGAACCCCTGGTTCTCCAGCTGGGATGAGCACTGTGTGGCGGCAATGAGCCGCACTCACCCTCTTGGTCCTCACCGGGGCCCGCTCCCCTCGAACTGAAACCGCTTCCTTCCATCGACCCTAGGCCCTTTTCGTCCCCAAGCCTCTCCTGACCCCCTCCGCTTCTCAATCCTTCCCCATGCCCCTTTGCTTTAACTCCCCATCTCACCATGATTGCGGTGTACTAGGATCCCTCGATCGCCAGAGCAATTCCAGTAAACCGGGTCTAGCCTTCACTGCGCAACCGCTCTCACTGCTGTCTCTTCATTGGCTGATAGGCGGACTCTTCCTGGACATCTGGGCTTTCTATTGGTCACACGTCCCTGTCGGTCACCAGTACAGGTAGTTTGGTTGCAAAGTCAAAACGGAGGCGGGAAAAGCGGAAGTGAAAAGTCACTGTGGCTGCGGAAGAGACTTGCGACACGGTGCATAGTGGGATCTCGGCGGACCTGGACTCGGGACCTCAGGGACTGGGGGCGGAGCCTGCGCGCACGTGGGCTGGTGAAACTGGGTTTAGGAAGCTGCGGCCCCAGCTGAAGGGGCACCGTGACGCTTATCAACGTGATGTATGAGTTCGTCGTATTAGTCGTGCTAGCTTATTTATTCACTCCAGAAATCCTGCGTTTACTGTGTACCAGGCACTTGCCTAGGCTCGGAATATTCACTGGCCCACAACAGTGCCTAGTATATAGGAGGCGCCCATTAAATGGAAATTTAATGATGCAGGTGGGAAGGGGAAGGCGTCGCGTGTAGGCGTCGCGGGTATTTTGCGGCTGCAGGGGTTCAGCTGTGAAAGGGAGTTTGGAAGCCGAAGCTTGTTCTGATTTGGGGGACTTCCTGCGGCCCGACTTCACGTATCCTCAATCTCAGGTCACCCTAAAAAGGGACGTTCCGCGCCTCTCCACGTTTGAGGTAGAACCTGAGGATAGCCAGAGTCGACCTCTCGCCGTTCCAATGGAGGAAGGGCGTGCACGTCCCGCGTCCTCTCCTCCCAAGCTCTTTCGCCTCCCTCCCCCATCAGGATCCTTCCCTTTCTCCCCCGGGTTCCACTTATTTCGCCCGATGGCGGCATCTCTTACGGCGTCTGCGCCGTCCAGGCTCGCTCCCATTGACTCGGCTCACTACTACGCCGGTAGTCGACTCGGTCTCTGTGGCGCAATCGGTTAGCGCGTTCGGCTGTTAACCGAAAGGTTGGTGGTTCGAGCCCACCCAGGGACGCTATGACCTTTTTTTTTTTTTTTTTTGTCTTTTGGGTTTTTTTTTTCTCCCCGGAAGATAAAAACCTAAGCCTTTTACTCAAAAGCCAAATTTTGCATTGAAATGGCAGCAGCAATACTTTTTCTAGGAGAATCACTGTTCTTGAAAATTCTTTGCTGCTCAGTCAATAATGGGATAATTTCTCCAGCACTTCCCTCCACACCCCCCCAACCCGCCTCCAAGCTAGATCGCAGGAAACCTAAAGACACAGGTTTTTGTCTCACTGTGCATGCAACACGTTTCAGGATGCATTTTTTCATAGGATTAAGAATGAATTTACAGTGGAGGTTCGACAGTTTTCTATTGTCTGCCTCAATCGATATTACAGTCTCCAAATACTACATTTGGAAGGGAAGAGAATGAGAGAGACACAGAGAGAGAAACAAGTATGAAGAGAAACAAAGGTGAGAAAGGGAGAACATTGTTGTGATACAGGGAAAGAAGGGACGTGACAGAACTAGGCAGGGTGGGTAGGGGAAGACCTCAAGACAATGGAGAGTGGGAAAATAGACGCATTTAATATTAGAAGCATCAGAAAAAAAGGAAAACAACACATTTTTTCCCCCTAGAACTACACAGGGAGGTGGGGGAGGAAGATGGGGAAATAGAAGGAGAAACTGACTAAGGACCTTGTTTGGGGGAGATAAAAGGTATAAAGGACACAGAGGTAAAGACGTTCCGGAAAGCTCTAGAGGAGCCGCCCTCTCCTGTCTCGTCACCATTTTTAAAGGGATCTGATCCTCGCAATAGCTCTTGGTATATGCTGGAGGTAATTGCCTAGATTTCCCGCGTTCCTGTCCTCTGCGAGTCTCTGGCTTGTGACAGCCACTGTGACTCTTCTGATGCACTTGTCAGCTAGAGGACCGCGTGAGATGCAAACACAAAATCAAGGGGCGCCTAATGTCTGACGAGGCGCATTCCTGGGCGCAGTGGGAGCCTCGACCTTTGTGGAGGAGAATGTGCAAAGCACTCTTGAGCAGTTCTCATAGACACTTGGTCTCTGCAGATTCGGCTCAAAGGAGGCCTCTTCTGGAAGCCCACCCCAGTACTCACCCACCCTTAGCGGGAGCTCACACCAGAAGCGATGGGCGCTAAAGGGACAGGCTGTGTGTCCTTCAGGGTTTGCACCCACCGGCCTGTGAGCGCCCTGCGCAAAAGCCAGGCTCCTGTGCCTTGAGTTCCCAGTTCCTAGCGCAGTATTTGACACTGGCACATGACAGGTGCTTTCTATGTCGGCTAGTAGTAGAACAAAAGACTAGGAAACTCTTTCGATGTGGGAAGAGTTGGGTCAGAAGGTTCTCCTGAGAAACCAGAAAGGCCAGGAATGTGGAGACTAGTCATCCAGGACGCAAAAGATGAAAATGGAGTTTTAGTGGGTAATAGGGTCTTAGCACACTCCTCTCTAGCGGTTCTCTCCTGTCTGGCGCTTAACAACCGAAGAATAAGTGGATGGACCCCGGTGGCCCCTCGGGCAGCCCTCCAGGATTCATGGGCCGCAGAGGAACGTCAACCCCCTTCCCACTGGCTGATAATGCCCCGAGGGGCAGCCCCCCAGGTGCCCATGTGGTTGGTGGGTGGGATCCAGATCTCCGCAGAGCCCCTGTTACAGGTTTCTCTTGTTCGGGGTCTTGTAGCCAGAGAGGGGCGGCTGACTGGGAGTCCTTCCCGCGTTCCCCTCCCTGCAGAGCGAGTGGATGCGCGTCTTCCCCGGCAGAGTGCAGGATGCCGGCGACACATTTGCCTGGGAACAGTGGGAGGGTCCCCTTTCCTCCGGGGCCGGTGAACTACTCGCCTCTCCGCCTGCAGGCTCCGGAGCAGGTGACCGGATCTTCCCTTGGCCCTTCTCCCGCCGGTTCTCGGACCACTCCCTCTGGAAGGAAGTCTCTCCGCCCTTCCTCTTCCTCCCCGCCCCCGTCCCGCTGGTGTGGCTGCAGGCTCGAGCTGGGGTCACTCGGCGGCCAGTGTGCGCAGGTCTCCTGGTCGCCGGCCAGAGGGCGAAAGCATTCACCCGAGGCCCCCAGCTTCGCGGCTGCCTTGGCTGCGAGCAACGAGGGAAGAGGAGGCAGGCGCTCCAAAACTGGGCGAAGATTCCTATCCTAATTTCTAACTCGAGCCTCCCACCGTCAGTGCGCTTAATGGCGCTGCTGGCCGGATGGATAATCGAGCTCTCTGGAGGGACAGACGCGGCCGCCATCCCTAATAAATCGTGAATAACGAATGAGGGAATCGACCATCCTCATGAGGCCCACGGGCGTCCAGTAACGCAGTATCGATTCGCTTCCCCGGCGTCGGCCTCACCGCTACTCCCGGCGTTTCCAAGCCTCCCTCCTCGTTCTCTCCCTCCTGCCGGAGCCACTGCGGACCGGAGCCCCAGCGCCAGGTGGAGCCGGGGCGCCAGTGGGAGTCGGGCCCAGCCGTCTTGGCGCTCGCCCGACTCTCCCGCCCGCGCGCCCAGGGAGGCGCACAGGCAGCGCGCAGCGCAGGGCGCGAGCGAAAAATGCGGGAATCAGCGCCAGGCAGGAGAAAAGGCGCGGGCCCACCTTACAGCCCGGCGCCTCGTTTCCTAGTCCAGTGTGGCCGCTCGCCTTCGGCCGGATTATTGTGTCCCAGACCCGGAGCCTGAGTTCCCATCCTCAGCGGGCCTCCGTTCTTCTCTGCCCGAGCACGCCGGGGGCGCAGCCTCCGCCAGAGCTACCCGATCCCCCCGCGGCGAGGCCCCCCACCCGGCCTCACCCCGCACCTCCACTCCCCTCTCGCGATTGCTCCCTGCCAGGCGCCCAGGCTGGATCCTGGTGCGCCGCTTTTCGGGGCCAGCGCCCCTGCCGCCGAGGGGGCAAGGGGAGTGGGGAGGACACGCTCGCCCTCCCAGATGCAGTTATTAATTTTAAGGGAGTGTCACTTGGAGTGAATGAAAATCGCTCGGACGCCTGGCTGAAGGCGTCGCGTCCCCCGCCGGAGCCCCGCGCCCTTTGGTCTAGGCCGGGGCGTGGAGGACCACGAGCCACCTTTCAGCCCAGTCCCCATTTCACCATTTTCCAGGCGCCCCAGTTAGGGATGGGCATCACAGTGTCAGTGGGGGGAACCCATATTTTGAAGGGAGGGGGGCTAACTGCGGAAGGTAACATAAGAGAATCCATCCTCCGGGGTCGGGGCGGCCGCATGGGAAGGGAGGGGTCTCGTCCTGGCTAGGGACCCGGCAGCCGGTGGCGGGGAGCGGCCGCGCCAGCCTCCCCCTCCTCTTCCCGTCTCTGCCAGCATCCTGAAGGAATGAGGTCACGTGGGTGAGTGGTGGGCGGGACCTACTCTTGTCTGGAGGAAAAAAGCCATTTTGTCTCCCCCCCACACTCCGGTCCCTCCCCTCCCCCCTCGGTCCCCTCCCCTCCCCTCTCCCTCCCACCCCAAGCCGCTTTCACAAACTCCTTTCTTACCGTAGGTTTCTCCCCTCCCGCCGCCCGGGCGAGCGACACGGCTGCGGCCCCCCTCCCCTCCCTTCCCTCCCTCCCTCCCATCCCCCCCTCCCCGAGACCCACCGGACCCCGAACCCAGGTAAGCGGAGCGGACTCCCCCTGCCTTTCCCTCTCCTGGCCTGTAACCCTCTGGGGATTGGGATGGGGGCCGGCCGTTCTTCGCAAGCCCCGATGGGAGGGGGAGGCTCTGAGCCGATCCTGCCTTCGCACCCCCCGCGCCCCGTCAGTCCCTAGCCCAGCTTGCCCCGTCCGCCTTTCTTTCTCCCTTTTTTCTGTCCCTTTTTCCCTTTCCTCTCTTCCAAGATGGCCGAAACGGGCTCCCCGTCTTAACGATTTGGCGTCTCCCTCGACCACCACCTCTTTGTGCAGCAGCCCCCGGGCAGACCCTGTTCCGAGGTAGCGAGGGGGAAGGTCCGGGGCAGCCGGGAGGGCTTGCGGGATGCGCGCTGGGTTGGGTCGCCGCTCCCCACGAGCCAAAGCCGCCTCTCGCTCTGCCCGGTCTACCCCCTTTTCCATCTGGGCGGGGGTCGCTCTCCCGTGGGCACAGGGGCGCCGTGGACGCGCGGGGACTTGGGGCCGGCAGAAGGGGATGTGCTTTGGGGCGGCCGCGAGGCCGGGGGAGGGCGCCCTTCCCCGCCGGGGTCCGGGTCCTCTCGGGCACCTCCCCCCGCCGGTCCCCGCTCCCCGTCCCGGCGCCGGCGCCCCGCCCCCTCCCCGAACCACCTCAGCAGAGCCTCCCTCCGGAACACCCCTCCCGGGGCCCCGCAGAAAGTTTGGCTCTAGGGAAGGTGGGAGCGGCCACCCGGTAACTGGGGTCCCTGATCCTTGGACATGGGCTCCTGGGGAAGCCCGGGCGCTGGGGGTAGAATGGGGATGGAGGGAAATTTATCGCAATATTTCCCATCGCCAGCGGAAGCAGGGGGATCTGCTAAACTGGCCCCCCTTCCCCTGGGACGCCCAGCCACCCCACCCTGCGCACGCCCTCCTACTGCTAGCTCTGAGGGCGTGGGACCCCCGGGCAAGCAGACACCCCCTGCCTGTCTCCACGGTGGGCCCGGGCTGCCCCTCGCCCTCCCCCACTGCCCCTGTCTGCCCATAATCGCTCCGGTTGGCTTGAGGTGGGAGGAGGCGGCATGGAGGCGGGTGGATTTGCCAGTGAATATTGTGGAAGTGTTACCCAGCGCTTCCCGAGATCTTTGTCCCTCAGTGTCCCCCATGCTGCCTCAGTCTCCCCAGAGGTCTGTCTCGAGGGGAGGGCTGTCTCCTGGTTGTCCCCTCCCCGCTCTGTTCTGATGCCTCCTCCTCTGGGACCTCTGGCAGTTTCTGTTCCTGAAACTCTTTAATTTCTCTCCTCCCTCCCCCCTTCACTCTGGTCCAAGGTGTTATTACTGGGAGCATAAAGCCAGCTCTGTTGCAGCTTTTTGGTGGGAAGGTTTTCCCACGGGCTCCCCTGGTTGGGGGTTGGGGGATTGAGGCTTTAGAACTGACTTTGGAATGAAGCAGGAAACCAACCCCAGGATCCAGACCATGTGTAGCTAGGTAGGGTTCAAGTTGAAGTCTTGGGGGTTGGGCAGGAAGGGGGACTCTGCTGCCCCTGGCCTTGCCTGAGAGATCTTGGTTGATGGAGCTGTTGTCATGGGAATGGAGAGAGCCCGAACAGGAAGAGGGTACAGCTTTGTGCAGGTCACATGCCCACTGCAGCCCTCCAGCCTCTGGTCCCCAGAGCGGACTTTGGAAGCTGAACTGCTTTTGTTGCTGGAAGACTTATGTTATAATTTACCCTGGGTGGACCAGGGTCGTACAAAAGGTTAGTGTGTGTTTGCAGGGTCTGTTTCCAGGCAGGGATGTCAGGCTGTGTGCTTCTAGGTGGGGGGTGGATGTGGATGGCTTCTGCATGTAGCGAGGGTGGGCCTGGCTCTGGTCTGGCTGTGATTGTGTGTGTGTGTGGCGCAGGGTGGGGGAGGGTTGTGGCGTGTCTATCTGGCCTTGTGTGTAGTGAGTGTGAGAGGTGGAGGGGGGTGTGTCTTGCTGTATGTGTGTGTATCTGGCAATGTGTATATTTTGGGGTTTTGCCTTTGTTTGATCTTAGGGAGTTGAGAGGTGGGAGAGGGAGGAAGGGAGGGTTGAGTAAGCCCAGCTTCAGGAGGCCCTTTTCAATGCATGGTGGGGACAGGGGAGCAGATCTTTGTGCCATTGTCAAGGATTGGGGAAAGTTGGGAGGTTCACAGTGTCCCTAGGCAGACCCTCACGGCCCCAAACACAAATACAAGGGGCTTGCGCAGTTGGACCCACGAAGCTGGGAGAGGAACAGAGTCATAAAACCCCTGGTCTGAGTCTTGATGCTGTACTCTGGCTGGCTGTGCTTCCCTGCAGCCTCTGTTTCCCTATGTGTAGGAAGTGGGGTAAGGCAATTAACATGTGCCTCCTCTTCCTGCCTCAAGGCAGGAGTCCATGCTGATGGTCATGTTTGGGCCAGACTGACTCCCTCCCAGACGGCGGCCCACTGAGTGGTTTTCCCGCCACTCCAGGGAGCTGCTCTTTTCCCCTCCCACCTGCTGGGATGAAGCCGGGCATTACTGCTTTAGATGAGTGAGGAGCCTGGCCAGGTGCCAGGATGTTAAAAGCACTGGGGTGGGAGTCAGGCACTTTCTTGTCACAGGACTGCCACTGCTTTGCTTTGTGACCTTAGACAAGTCACATCTGAGTGTGCTCATCTGTAAAATGAAAGGATTGAACAGGTGCTTCTTTTTCTTTTTCTCTTTTTTTGAGATGGAGTTTCTTTCACTCTGTGGCCCAGCTTGGAGTGCAGTGGCACGATCTCCACTCACTGCAACCTCTGCCTCCCAGGTTCAAGCAATTCTCTGGCTCAGCCTCCTGAGTAGCTGGGATTACAGGCGCCTGCCACCATGCTCCGCTAATTTTTGTATTTTTGTTTGTTTGTTTGAGACAGAGTCTCGCTCTGTTGCCCAGGCTGGAGTGCAGTGGCGCAATCTCGGCTCACTGCAACCTCTGCCTCCTGGATTCAAGCGATTCTCCTGCCTCAGCCTCCCGAGTAGCTGGGACTAGAGGCGCGTGCCACCACACCCAACTAATGTTTTGTATTTTTAGTAGAGACGGGGTTTCACCATGTTAGCCAGGATGGTCTCGATCTCCTGACCTCATGATCCGCCCGTCTTGGCCTCCCGAAGTGCTGGGATTACGGACGTGAGCCACCATGTATTTTTAGTAGAGATGGGGTTTCACCATCTTTGCCAGCCTGGTTTTGAACTCCTGACCTCATGATCCATCCGCCTTGGCCTCCCAAAGTGTTGGGATTACAGGTGTGAGCCACCACGCCCAGCTGAACAAGGTGCTTTCTAAAAGCCCTTTCACCTCTGCAGTTCTAGACATCTGGATGTGACCTTGAGTGACTTTTCCCAAGACCTGGAGACATTCTAGTGAGGGAGTGGGGCTGATTTCATTTGGAGGCAGGGAGAGCAGAGAGAGCTATGGCATCAGAGAAGCACAGGGGCCTTGGGGCTGGGAGACCCACTGTTTCCACAGGGGACCATGAAGAAGTGAGAGAGGCCTAAATTGCAGGGTGGCTTCCAGAAAGACACTGGTTAAAATGGAGAGATGGGTCTGGGTGTGGTGGCTCATGCCTGTAATCCCAGCAGTTTGGGAGGCCGAGGCGGGCAGATCACTTGAGGCCAGGAGTTGGAAACCAGCCTGGCCAACATGGTGAAACCCTGTCTCTACTAAAAATACAAAAATTAGCCAGGTGTGGTGGCACACGCCTGTATTCCCAGCTACTTGGGAGGTTGAGGCAGGAGAATCGCTTCAATCCAGGAGGCGGAGGTTGCAGTGAGCCGATATCTTGCCACTGCACTCCAGCCTAGGAGACAGAGTGAGACTCCGTCTCAAAAAGAAAAAAAAAAGAGAGAGAGAGAAAGAGATGGTGGTGTTTTCTTAGCAGGGGTCTTTAAGGATTGGGAAAGACAAGTGCCAGGCTTGAATGGCAAAGAGGGGTCGGGGTTGGATGCTGGGTGCTGAGCAAGCTCCCTTCCTGCCACATTAGCAATAGCCAGACCCAGGGCCTCAGGGCCCAGAATGTGGGCTGCCTAAGGGTCACACACACCCTTGCAAAGACAATGGCAGAAGACACTGAAGGGCTTGGCTTCTGCTTGGGGAAAAGTGGTGTTAGAGGTGGAGGCAGTGCTCAAGTCCAGGGAGGGGTGGACACACAGTTGGGACTGACCTGTTAAAGCACCTGAGCTCTGCAGAGGCCACTTCCAATGGTGCTTGGCCTCCCCTTTCTGTTTCTTGGGATCTGTGTCTCCCACTCTTTCTCCCTCGAGTTCTTCCCATCTCCCAGCCTCTTCCTCAAAGTAATGACAGCTGGATTTCCAGTCACCCATCACCCCTTTTTCCCTCACCTTCTCACAGCACACCAGCCAGTGCAGCGGGGGAGGAACTGGGTATCAGGAATTCGCGGCCTGGGGCCTCCTGGGGTGGGGAGATGGGGAGAGGGTGCTCTAGGGAGTCAGAGCTCCTGTTTACATTGCTCTTGGCACCTGCTGGCAGGGCCCTGCAGGTAACCATGGCAATCAGGTGAGGAGCCAATCAGTGCTTCTCCCCACCCCCAGCCCCAGAGGTAACAGTCAGAACCTGTGGGGATGGAATGAGGGGAGCAGGGAGTGTGGCAAGGGGCTTATTTTCTTAAACTGGAGAAGGAGCAGCGTTTCATTCAGTCAGCACCACCTTGGGCCTCGTGTCTAGAAAGGGTCCAGAGGAACAGGCTGGGGCTGAATTCTCAGAAATGCTCGGGGAAGTGACTGGGTGAGGGGTACAGCCATTCGCAGTGTGGGGCTCTCGGCTGTGGGGTTCTTCTTAAAAGCAAGTGTCAGCCGGGTGTGGTGGCTCACACCTGTAATCCCAACACTTTGGGAGGTGGAGGCGGGCAGATCACTTGAGGCCAGGAGTTCAAGGCTGGCTGACATGGTGAAACCCCATCTCTGTTTAAAAAAAAAAAAAAAAAATTAGCCAGTGTGGTGGCATGCACCTGTGATTCCAGCTACTCAGAAGGCTGAGGCACAAGAATCACTTGAACCCGGTAGGCGGAGGCTGCAGTGAGCCGAGATCGCACCACTGTACTTCAGCCTGGGCAACAGAGCAAGACTATCTCAAAAAAAAAAAAAAAAGAGCAAGTGTCTGCTTTGAAAACACAGCGAGTGTGTGAATGAGGTGGCTCGGGCACGATGTGAAGTGTGCGGAGCCTACATGTGTATGTGTGTGTACGCGTGCATGTGTATATGAGGGTGAACGGGAGATAGATGAGGGCATGCGATTTACCCCAGCAACAGAGACCCCAGGCATTATCAGAGCTCAGCATCAGCATGTTTGTTGGTGGCTCTGCACACACACATAGATGCATCTGGACACACATATGACTGACAGGCAGTCACAGGAAGTACCTTTGGAGGCCCAGATGGCACGTACACAGGATGGATATTACACACGCTCAGAGAGACAGCCACTTGGATTGTTCTCTCCTCTGGATGGTTGTAATAATATTTGGGCATCTTGCCAGGGACAGGGTTACTATGGAAACGACCAAACAGTGGAGTATCCAGCAGCTTTCTGCGTAATTGCAAAGGGGGGACCCATGCAGGGAGGGCTGGCCGAGGCCACCCTGCGTGGGGTGGGAACCCCTCTCCCTTCTCAGATCCCCGGGGCCGCCACCTCTCCGCCATGTCTCTGGGCTTGCTGTAGGACTGGCTTGTGCCCCTCTGTCTGCCCTGTAACCTGGTGTCTCTCCCACATGTGGCCTTTGTGTCTCTGCATCTCTTTCGGTCTCTGGCCAGGTTCCCTGAGCCTCTGTTGGCTGTCTGGGTCCTGGCCAGACTCATCCTGGGGTCTCTATAGAAACTGCTGATCCCGGCTGTGAATTTCTTGTCCTAGAAAACTCAGTGTGGTGGCTTTAGAAATCTTTCTGGAAAGGAGAGAAGGGTGTGAGTATGTTGTAAAGGAGCTGTTGGGGCTTGGCCACCCTCCCAAGCCCCACCCCTGGGCTTTTACTCTGGGAAAGAGGAGGGAGGGCTGCTGTCCCTTCCAGGTGCAGGTTTGGTTTGATTTCTTTACCAAGAAGGAAGCACGGTGGCCAATCCAGAGCCGGACTTTTCACCTCTCTGGACCCTGCCCGGGCCTGGCTGGTGTCGAGCAGGCGGTCTGGGGACAGAGCACTTTCTGCCCAGCTTTGGCAGGCATCTGTGAGAGCCTGTGGTTTGTCACTGGACAGCCTGTGAACAGGTGGCAGAGGCGTCACCAGGGCAGGAGACAGTGGGAGAGTAACAGTGACCATGTGGGGGGGATTCCTGCATTGTGTATGAAAGGGGGGTTCCTGGACCCTGTGTGCTTGTGGACAGGGAGCACTCATGCAGGCGGCTGTCCATCAGGGACACTGGCAGGGATTCCTGTGGCAGGGGTATAGCCTTTTTGCCTAAACTCTTTGAGTCCAGGGCTAGGGCTGGAGCTGCACGTTCCCAACTTCAGGCATGTAAGGACCCTCTCTGTTCCCTGCCTGAGTCTCAGGCCTGGAAGCCAAATGATTAGCGTATGGTGGATTTTCTGGGAGCAGCCTATATTTGGCAGACTTTAGAGGAGGGAGGTGCTCCAAAGCTTAGGCTGGATGCAGAGCCAGAAGCACAAGTGATGGCTGCGGCCTTCTAACTTAGGGTAGCCTGTGTCCATGGTGTTTCCAGGGAAGACTTCCTGGAGGAGGAGTGAATGGATGGAGTAGATAGGAGGCTGGGACGTAGTGGAAGGATCAAGTCTGAGGCCCTGCACCTGGGTGGAGGGGTTGAGGGAGTAAGGATAACTTATTTTTCCCTTCTTCTATTCCTTGAAGTTTCAGGCCAGTGGCTGCTTTATCTAAGTTTCCTCCTAGTTCCTAGGATGCTTTAAATGTGGACCATGTGAGTGAATACGGATTGGGATTGGAGAGTTTTGTTTTTGTTTTTCTTTTTTAGACAGAGTCTCGCTCTGTCGCCCAGGCTTGAGTGCAGTGGCATAATCACGGCTCACTGTAGCCTCGACCACCCAGACTCAAGGGATCACGTGAGGCAGGAGGATCCTCCTGCCACAGCCTCCCAAAATGCTGGGATTACAGACATGAGCCACTGTGCCCGACTTGGGATTGGAAAGAGTTTTAAAAACCCTCTTCTTTTCCATTTTCCTGCCTCCTCACATTCTCTGGGGAGTTGGGCAGTACATCCTGTGGCCTAACTTCAGTCTTTCCTCCTGCTTCTCAGAGGAAGCCTAACCTTGTTGCTCAAGGCTGTGTGACTCTCCAGAGCCTGGGCACCCAATGAACTCTCAGAGGTGGCCAGAAAGAACCAGCCACATGTACACCCCCAGCCCACCCTGAAGGCAGAGAAGGGTCTTGGGCTCAGGGAGAGATGTGCTGGTGGGGGGAGGTGTGGAGTGAAGCGTAAGAGGGGCTGCCGAGGCTCTGGGTTTCTTTTTTCTTTTCTTTTTTGAGACAGACTCTCACTCTGTCGCCCAGGCTGGAGTGCAGTGGCATGATCTCGGCTCACTGCAAGCTCCGCCTCCCGGGTTCACGACATTCTCCTGCCTCAGCCTCCCAAGCAGCTGGGACTACAGGTGCCCACCACCATGCCTGGCTGATTTTCCGTATTTTTAGTAGAGATGGGGTTTCACCATGTTAGTCAAGATGGTCTCAATCTCCTGACCTCGTGATCCGCCCGCCTTGGCCTCCCAAAGTGCTGGGATTACAGGCGTGAACCACCGCGCCCGGCCAACTCTGGGTTTCTGATTCCACTTCCGTTTCCCAGGGCAACGCTCCCCAGTCCCCCCACCCCCGACCCCGGAATCATGCATCGGACTACACGGATCAAAATCACAGAGCTGAACCCCCACCTCATGTGTGCCCTCTGCGGGGGGTACTTCATCGACGCCACCACTATCGTGGAGTGCCTGCATTCCTGTGAGTTGGGGGGAGGGGAGCTGCTCAGGGTGGGCAGCCTCTGTGCCCAGATTGGGGCGGGCACGGCCTGAGGAAGGTAGCACGCAAACCCTTGCCCTAAAGAGCCAACGCGCCCACGTGTCTGCTGGGAATCCTTAGGTCACAGAGGGCCTACCTCGCAGGGGCGACTGGGCGCGGGGCATCAGCCCAGAAGTTCATTTCAAGGACTCACATCTGAAATCTCAGTTCTTTCTTGAAATGGCTGAAATTTTATGCCCTGAAGACGCGGACACCCCTTGTTTGCACTGTGGGCTTGGCAGCAGGGGGGTGGGACTCAGAGGCATCTTGAACACGCTGGCTTTTGTCCCCCACTCCATCGGGGAGCTTGGGACTCAGGGCTGACCTTCTGCATTGTACATGACACTGGCCTGTCTCACACAAGATCCAGCTTCCCTCAACAGTGCACAAGGACAGGTACCACACGTGCAGAACACACATCGCCACATTGGGCCTCGGAGCAGGGACAGGGTGGAGGAGGAGGGATATCTGAGTCTGAGCAGAGGGCGGGGAGGCTGGTCCTGGAGTTGGAAGTTGGCTCTGACTCTCCTCTCTCTCTCCACACCCCCAAGTCTGCAAAACCTGCATCGTGCGCTACCTGGAGACCAACAAATACTGCCCCATGTGTGACGTGCAGGTCCATAAAACCCGGCCGCTGCTGAGCATCAGGTGGGCTTGGCACGGCACCTCCTGTCCCCGCGATCCTCTGGGTCAGCCTCCCCCATCCCTCCCACGCTCCGTGCTTCCTTCAGCCAAGGCGGCAGGTGTAGGAGAAGCATGGGGTGTGGACCTGGGCTACTCCCCGACCTTGGGGTTACATTTGGCTCATCACAGGGTGAGGCATACTAGAGGGGCAAAGACCAGACCCACAGGGATCCTAATGCCTGGGCACCGGTCTCAGGAAGGGGGTGGGAAGAGGGGTACCCTGGCTGGGAGAGCAGGGCGAGGTCGGAGCGCTCTGGAGAAGGCATTGCTGATAAGCCCTGTCCATTTTTCCCCAGGTCTGACAAAACACTTCAAGACATTGTCTACAAATTGGTCCCTGGGCTTTTTAAAGGTATCTGCACTCCATTCCTCCTCCACTGACCCCATTTCCCAACCCATGGCCCTGTCCTCATCCTGCTGCCTTCTTCCAGATGAGATGAAACGGCGGCGGGATTTCTATGCAGCGTACCCCCTGACGGAGGGTGAGTGTGCTCGCGTCTGTTTGTGTGTGCACAGTCTTGCCTGGGACCATGTAGGTGTGTAGCGCTACCCCTCACCCTCTGACCTCCTCCGCGCACACCTCTCCAGAAGGTGGCTGGGCTCACCTGGCTGAGTTCATGATCTCTGGGTCCTTGGCGGGCTCCCTTCCTACATCCTCCGCCAACCCGAGAGCTCTTTCCTTCTGCAGTCCCCAACGGCTCCAATGAGGACCGCGGCGAGGTCTTGGAGCAGGAGAAGGGGGCTCTGAGTGATGATGAGATTGTCAGCCTCTCCATCGAATTCTACGAAGGTGCCAGGCAAGTCTGGCCCAGGCTGGCCCCTTCTGGGTTCCTAGTCTGGGTAACCCCTTCTCCCACCCAGGACCCTCTCTGGATGTGTCCATTGAGGGATCATCCTCCTGGGTCTCCTGGTTCTTCCTGGGTCTTCCTAGCTTCATTCTTTCTCCGTCCCCAGGGACCGGGACGAGAAGAAGGGCCCCCTGGAGAATGGGGATGGGGACAAAGAGAAAGTGAGTGCTGGGGCCTGCCCAGGACTGGAATGTGGGCTGGGAGGGAGTGGCCTGGGGTGGATCCCCTACCATGGGTGCCTGTGCCCCAGCAGACAGGGGTGCGCTTCCTGCGATGCCCAGCAGCCATGACCGTCATGCATCTTGCCAAGTTTCTCCGCAACAAGATGGATGTGCCCAGCAAGTACAAGGTGGGTCCCTGGGCCTTTCAAAAAATGAGTGTCTGTGTATGGGTGTGTCAGACAGTCTGTGCAGCCCAGCCATTGGTCAGAGCTGGCTAGGTGTCACCCAGGGCTTGCGCGGTTAACTGAGCCCATGCGTTAACAGAAGGGTGGTTGAAACCAAGATTGGGGGCAGTCTAGGGGTGTTGAAGTCAGTGTGCAGTGGTGCATGGGACCAAGACGGTGTGTATGTGTGCATGTTGCACACTCGGAACTGTGGCAGAGGTGAGTGCAAAAAACGCAGGGCCTCCTCAGGCTGGTTGGCTGTGGGAAGGCTAGTCTGAAATTCCAACGGAGCTCCAGGACATAGCTTTTCAAGCTTGAATGTATATGTGTCCCCTGGAGATCTTGTTAAAATGCAGATTCTGATTTATTTAGTAGATTCCATATTTCCTTTTTTTTTTTTTTTTTTGAGATGGAGTCTTGCTCTGTCACCAGGCTAGAGTGCAGTGGAGCGATCTCGGCTCACTGCAACCTCCGCCTACCGGATTCAAGCGATTCTCCTGCCTCAGCCTCCCGAGTAGCTGGGATTACAGGCGCCTGCCACCACACCTGGCTAATTTTTGTAGTTTTAGTAGAGACAGGGTTTCACCATGTTGGCCAGGCTGGTCTTAAACTCCTGACCTCGTGATCCACCCCACCTTGGCCTCCCAAAGTGCTGGGATTACAGGCATGAGCCACGGCACCCGGCCAGATTCCATATTTCTAACAAGCTCCTAGGTACTGAAGGTCCATGGATCACACTCTAGGACAGTGGATCCTAAACTGTTGCCTGTTAAATCTCATGAGTTAACTCACATCTTACCAGTTAAGTCAGAATTTCTGGGGGTAAGATGCAGGCATTGATTTTTTGTTTTTGCTTTTTTTGTTTCCCCTTTGTCACGCAGGCTGGAGTGCAGTGGCATCATCTTGGCTCACTGCAATCTCCACCTCCTGGTTTAAAGTGATTCTTGTGCCTCAGCCTCCCAAGTAGCTGGGACTACAGGTACATGCCACCACACGTGGCTAATTTTTGTACTTTCAGTATAGACAGGGTTTCACCATGTTGGCCAGGCTGGTCTCCAACTCCTGGCCTCAAGTGACCCACCCGCTTCAGCCTCCCAAAGCTCTGGGATTACAGGTGTGAGCCACCGCACCTAGCCAGGCATTGGTGGGTTTTTGGTTTTTTGTTTGTTTGTTTGTTTTTTGAGACAGAGTCTTGCTCTTGTTGCCCAGGCTGGAGTGCAATGGCAGGATCTTGGCTCACCGCAACCTCTGCTGACCCCCCGGGCTCAAGCGATTCTCCCACCTTAGCCTCCCGAGTAGCTGGGATACAGGCATGTGGCACCACACCCGGCTAATTCTGTTTTTTTAGTAGAGACGGGGTTTCTCCATGTTGGTTTGGCTGGTCTTGAATTCTCGGCCTCCCAAAGCTCTGGGATTATAGGCTTGAGCCACCGCACTTGGCCTAGGCATTGGTGTTTGTTTTTTGTTTTGTTTTGTTTTTTTTGAGACGGAGTCTCGCTCTGTCGCCCAGGCTGGAGTTCAGGGGCACTATCTCCGCTCACTGCAAGCTCCGCCTCCCGGGTTCACGCCATTCTCCTGCCTCAGCCTCCCGAGTAGCTGGGACTACAGACACCCGCCACCACGCCCAGCTAATTTTTTGTATTTTTAGTAGAGACGGGGTTTCACCACGTTAGCCAGGATGGTCTCGATCTCCTGACCTTGTGATCCGCCCGCCTTGGCCTCCCAAAGTGCTGGGATTACAGGCATGAGCCACCGCACCCGGCCACATTGGTGTTTTTTAAAGCTCCCTGGGTGATTCCATTTTGCAGCTGGGGGTGAGAGCCAGAGTTCCAGGAGATCCCCCTGAGCCTTTTCAGCTCCTCTGGGCGACCTGCCAGAGATAGGAGACCCAGACAGCTGTGTGCATGGTGGGACCAGAGGCTGCTAACAATAGGGGAAACTTCTCTGGAACCCTTCCTGCCTGGTGGTCAGGAGTTATGTTGGAACAACTCTGACAGGGAAGTCAAATCCACAGTGAAATCCCAGAGAAATAAGGGACCATCTGTAAATCCACCCTTCCCATTGCCCCGCCTCCCAGTCCCCCACATTCCCAGCCTGGAGCCCCGAGCTGGCCAGGGTCATGGTGTCCTCCGCTTCCCTCCCCCAGGTGGAGGTTCTGTACGAGGACGAGCCACTGAAGGAATACTACACCCTCATGGACATCGCCTACATCTACCCCTGGCGGCGGGTGAGCCAGCGAGTGGGGCGGGCAGGGAGCAGACTCCCACAGGGTCTGGCATAGGTCTGTGGCCACATGGGCCACCCTTCTGTAATCAGAGACAGTCTGTCCCTTATCCCATGAGCTGCATGTCCAGGGTGGCTTGCTACAGCAGGTCAGCCTCTGGGCCATCTCTTGCGGATGACTTTCCGCTCAGGAGACAAGGCTCCCTGGGCAGACGGTGTCCCCAGATTTGGGGGCAGAAATAGGTGCTGGCAGCTGCCGTGTGTTTGCCTCCCTCTCTCCCGTCTCCTCTCTGACGGAGTCTCTGCTCTTAGACCTTTTCCCTCTCTGGGTCTTCATGCACCCTGTATCCTTGTCTCTCTCCTCTCCAAGGCCCCATCCCATCCCTTTTTTCGAGTTTGGACACTGTGGGGTGGAGATGGTGGCCCTTTAGTTGGACTCTGTCTCCTGATACCTTCCCCTTCCCTGTGTCTCTCCTCCCCACTCTCCCCGCAGAACGGGCCTCTCCCCCTCAAGTACCGTGTCCAGCCAGCCTGCAAGCGGCTCACCCTAGCCACGGTGCCCACCCCCTCCGAGGGCACCAACACCAGCGGGGCGTCCGAGTGTGAGTCAGTCAGCGACAAGGCTCCCAGCCCTGCCACCCTGCCAGCCACCTCCTCCTCCCTGCCCAGCCCAGCCACCCCATCCCATGGCTCTCCCAGTTCCCATGGGCCTCCAGCCACCCACCCTACCTCCCCCACTCCCCCTTCGACAGCCAGTGGGGCCACCACAGCTGCCAACGGGGGTAGCTTGAACTGCCTGCAGACACCATCCTCCACCAGCAGGGGGCGCAAGATGACTGTCAACGGCGCTCCCGTGCCCCCCTTAACTTGAGGCCAGGGACCCTCTCCCTTCTTCCAGCCAAGCCTCTCCACTCCTTCCACTTTTTCTGGGCCCTTTTTTCCACCTCTTCTACTTTCCCCAGCTCTTCCCACCTTGGGGGTGGGGGGCGGGTTTTATAAATAAATATATATATATATGTACATAGGAAAAACCAAATATACATACTTATTTTCTATGGACCAACCAGATTAATTTAAATGCCACAGGAAACAAACTTTATGTGTGTGTGTATGTGTGGAAAATGGTGTTCATTTTTTTTGGGGGGGGTCTTGTGTAATTTGCTGTTTTTGGGGGTGCCTGGAGATGAACTGGATGGGCCACTGGAGTCTCAATAAAGCTCTGCACCATCCTCGCTGTTTCCCAAGGCAGGTGGTGTGTTGGGGGCCCCTTCAGACCCAAAGCTTTAGGCATGATTCCAACTGGCTGCATATAGGAGTCAGTTAGAATCGTTTCTTTCTCTCCCCGTTTCTCTCCCCATCTTGGCTGCTGTCCTGCCTCTGACCAGTGGCCGCCCCCCACGTTGTTGAATGTCCAGAAATTGCTAAGAACAGTGCCTTTTACAAATGCAGTTTATCCCTGGTTCTGAGGAGCAAGTGCAGGGTGGAGGTGGCACCTGCATCACCTCCTCCTCTTGCAGTGGAAACTTTGTGCAAAGAATAGATAGTTCTGCCTCTTTTTTTTTTTTTCCTGTGTGTGTGGCCTTTGCATCATTTATCTTGTGGAAAAGAAGATTCAGGCCCTGAGAGGTCTCAGCTCTTGGAGGAGGGCTAAGGCTTTAGCATTGTGAAGCGCTGCACCCCCACCAACCTTACCCTCACCGGGGAACCCTCACTAGCAGGACTGGTGGTGGAGTCTCACCTGGGGCCTAGAGTGGAAGTGGGGGTGGGTTAACCTCACACAAGCACAGATCCCAGACTTTGCCAGAGGCAAACAGCCTTCCAATTGCCCCTCCACCCCCAGCTGAGGCCCGGTCACCTGGTCAGGACAGAGCAACTGCATCTAAAAGCACAAGAAGACAGAAACCTGTAAGCTCTGACCCCACCCCCACCCCTTGAGAGGTCAGCGGACCACCTCCTTAGGGACAGACCCTGGCAGGTCGCTGCCCACCGAGATTTCCTCAAGTGTGCATAGATCTGAGAGGAGTCGGGAGTCGAGACTCGAGATTCCATCATAGCGTAGGTGTGTGGGGTTGGGAGCCCCCTGATGGGCTTGTCTGTGTTTGCACCTTGTCCTGTGTCTGAGGTCCTGTGACTGTACCCTCCTTTGCCCTGGGACATCTGTATCTCTTGGCTTTGTAATAAATGCTGCATACTTTCTGGAGCCTGTAGTTCTTTGGGGTGGAGGGAAGAAGGGAAGGGTGCCTCTCATCTCTGGGTTTAGCCTGGCTTGGGGACCCCATACAGAATGAATCTGAACTGCCCTCTCCTGTGGCTGGTCAGGTGCCCCCAGCCCACAGAGAGGTTAAAATCTGGAGCAGGAGGCAGCACGTGGGCCTCATAGCAGTGACTGCAGGACTACCAGTCTGGTTGGGCAGGCTTGTTTTTGCCATCTTCCCCATCAGCAAACATTGAACCAGGGCCCACTCCCGCCTGCCCCAGACTGGAGACTTTTAGGTTATAAGGAATAATTCTTCCTTCATGAGCCAGCAGTGGGTACCAGAGTCTCTTGGGCTCAGCACCTGTTTCCTTTCCCACAGAAGGGGGTGCCTGTCAGAGGCCTGGAGCCAAGGCCACCTGTGGCTGGACAGCAGCAGCCCCCTCAGAGTGGGGAGCCCACTTCTGCCTTCTGCACGCGCTCACTCCTGTGGGTGCCATCGCAGTACGGGGGCCTCTGAGTGGCCTTGCAGGTACAGAGTGCCACCATGCGGGTCTCTTGGGCCTTGAACTTGAGTGGAGATAGGCCAGTGCGTTGGAAGAAGTGGGAGCCGTCACAGAAGGGCTGGTGGGGGAAAGACAGGAGTCAAAGACCTGACCCCACCTGCTGGGGCAGGGCAGGGCAGGCTGCAGGAGCTCAGGGGGAGTGGAGCACAGTGGTTAGGGTACAGGCTCCAGAGCAAGACTGCCAAGGCTCACTGAGTGACCTCTCTTATCTGTAATGTGGGGGTGATAAGAGTAGAGTTGTATGAGGAAATAAAATATGATCGTGATGCACTTTGCCTATAGTAAGTGTCTGGTAAGTATTTACAGAGTCTTTATAGCATTAGTCTCTGGGACACCCAGAGGGCCAGGACACTAATAGAGTGTGAGTGTGTGTGTGTGTGTGTGTGTGTGTGTGTCTCTGAGTCTCCACTGGATCATGAAATTCATTTACTTCCCATGTTCCTGGGTTAAAACTTCTTTGGGCTGGAGAGTACACTGTGGTAGCAATTTTGTTTGGCTCCAGGGAATAACTGGGCACGTGACAGGGAGTGAAGGTTACAAGGAGGAGGGGATGCCCCATAGCAAACTGGCTGGCTGGCACAGAAGTGTACTCCCCATCCCAGAAGCCGCTCAAGCAGAGACTGGGTAATGGAAACAGGCCCAGAAAGGTGACATGCCTTGCTAGCTGAAGGCAGAGCTGGTGCCAAGGCCTTTTTTTTTGACAGGGTCTCACTCTGTTGCCCAGGCTGGAGTGCAGTGATGCAAACACGGCTCACTGTAGCCTCAACCTCCTGGGGTCAAGCGGTCCTCCTTCCTCAGCCTCCAGTATGGCTGGGAACACAGGCCTGCCTCCATGCTAGTCTTTGGTGGGGGTAGAGGCATTTGTAGAAGCGGGGTCTCAACTTTGTTGCCCAGACTGTTCTTGAACTCCTGGACTCAAAAGAGCCTCCTGCCTTGGCCTCGCAAAGTGCTGGGATTACAGGTGAGCCACCTCGCCTGGCTGAACCAAGGCCTCTTGACATTGGAGTTAGGGTGGGATGGAAAGGAGATGAGAGAAGCGTGCAAATAGAAACCAGCAACTTGTCTTAGAGGGCTTGAGGTGCATGGACCTAAGTGGGACTCAAGGACCCTGGGCTGCTGACACCATGCCACATAGCTTGAAGGAATACCAGTCAGAGCTCTGCTCAGGAAGGAAAGGGGCCAGGGAGGCAAACAATATGGGCAGGTTCCTGCTGGGACGAAAGGCTCCTGGGCAGAAGGGGAAGCAAGTGGGGCAGGCAGTGAAGCTGAGAAGACAGCAAACTGTGGCAAGCGGCCAGGAAGTCCCATAAACTGAGAAGGAAGAGTTTTCTGGAAGAAGAGTAGAGAGGGGCACAGGGGAAGGCTGGGAGGCTTTGGAGGCAGGAGAGCCTGAGCAGAATCTCTTCCCAATGTGTCTATGGCCATACCACCCTGAATGCGCCCAATCTCATCTGATCTCGGAAGCTAAGCAGGGTCAGGCCTGGTTAGTACTTGGATGGAAGACCGCCAGGAAATACCAGGTGCTGTAGGCTTTTGGGGTTCAAGGCCTGGGAATCTGTGGCCCAGGCGCTTCCTGGAAGGAGACAGGGAAGGGCCAGGTGAGCTTCGCCATGCAGTGCACCTCTGAGAAACAAACAGCTCCAGAAGAGCCCACTGGAAGCCTGGCCACACCAGGCTGGCTGCGTGACTGAGTTTCTGTCTCTCTGGCTTCATTGCAAGGGGTAGATGCAGTGAGCTTAAGGTTGCTGGTGGCACTGGCCTTTTGTTCCCAAGCCCCCTTGGTGTCCCTCAGGTATGTGTGGGAAGAATAAGATCATCCTGGGTGGGAACTCACTGGAGACACCAGGCTGTTCCTAGCCAGAGGTATCAGTAGGAAGGCAGACAGGGGTCTCACCTGCTTCTTGCTGCGGCCACACACACACCACCTGTAGGTTTTCCCTGCCACCAGCTCCACCTTGATGGGGGTCTTCAGGGCCACCACGGACCTGGCTGGGGTTCTAGGGAACCACTGGGCCTGTGGCCAGGGAAGATGAGGGGCTCAGGGTTAGCTCAAGCCCTGGAAGCACCGTCCGGCCTGCGACCCTTCCTAGTTTCCCACTGGCCTGTGTGTGTGGCAGGTTTCCTCTACAAGAGGCTGATCTGATGCCACCCAACAAGACCGTTCCCCAGGACACCATAGGACCGTGAGCTTTGGACAGGGAGATTTCAAAGCCATGCAGGCACTCAGGTTTCAGGGTCCAGCTGCCTTCCCTCAAACGCTGGCTCCCACCTGCGTGCTAGGGAAGGCGGGCTGGGATCCTTCCAGCCTACGGCAGGGCCACCCACACTGGGGCTTGGTTCATTAGGTGCTGCTGTCCTCAGTACAGAAGACTGGCGCCCTGCCCAGTGCCCTCTGGTCCGCCCCACCTCCCTGAGAGCCACGGGCTAACTCCAGGGAATAGGCCTGTACTCTTCCTAGCTCCATTTCCTGTTTCTGCCTTTGAGATCTCCGTGCCTGGGGGTCTTGTGCGAGGAGGAGGGGAGGATGGGGGGACTCACCAGCCAGGAGGAGATGTCCCGCCGCGGGTTCAGGTCCTGCAAGGTACGCAAGCATGGCAGGCATCACAAGACGGTGGTTTGGAAACGGAAAAATAAAATCAGTGGAAAGGGAAGGACACGGGAGGCCATCTAGGAAGGAGGAGGTGACAGGGCTGAAGGGGCGAGGGAGGAATGAGAGGGTAAGAAAAAGGTCGCAAGAGAAGGTGCTGGCTGCGGAGGTCCTGGCAGGGACTGGCGCTCGGGAAAAGCCTGTGAGCTGAGGCAAGCCAGACACCGGCGGGACGGGCCGGGAGCTCCGGGATGCTCGGCCGGGCCGGGGCTGGAGTGGGGGCTGGCAGGGGCCCGGCTGGGGTTCGGGACGGGGGCTGGTGCAGGGCGGGGGTGCTCACCCGGGCACCACGCGCCGCCGGCCGCAGGATCGCCCCCGCGCCGCGCATGGTCGCCTCCCGCGCCGCGCCCGCCCGCTGGCTCCGCCCCCGCCGGGTCACCTCCCCGCCCCCTCGGTCCCCGGCCCGCCAGGCCCCGGAAGACGCCGCGGCGTTCTGCGAGGGCGGAGGCCAGGGGCGGGCGGGGTACGGAAGCCCGACCACGGCGCCCGCCCAGCGGCCTCCTCAGCACGCCGGGCGTGAGCGGTCGGTCCCGGCGCCCCCTGCCGGGCGGGCCTGGCGGTGGAACGCCCCGCGCGCAGCCTCGGCGCCTGGGGCACCCCCGAGGGCGCAGGACCCTCCCAGGAGTCGCTGTTGCTGGCCGAGCCTAGGCCGCGCTTCTGGGAGCAAGCGCGCGGGCGTCGCGTCACCTCGGGACGGGTCAGGGTCCCGACGGCCGGGGCCCACGGACTGATGCACCCTGCGTGGTGGGCCCGGGTGTGCTGAGCGTCTGTGCGCTCTCTGCCGCTGAGTGCGGACAGAAGGGCCGCAGCCCACGCCCTCCTACACCCCCGCAGTTGGCACCCACCTCCTGTCCCCTTCCATAAAGCGAGACTACGCAGGGGCTCTTCGGATTTTTTTTTTTTTTTTTGCAAAACATTCTTTTATTAAAAGAACAAGTGCTGTTTACGAACTGCCCTTCGTACAAATAACATCCGTTATACAAAGATACAAGATCCGGGTTATGCACAATTCCAGGCTTGGAGGTGGCAGGGGGGCATCGCCTTTGGGCTGAGGATATCAAGGTTTTAGAAAGAATGAAAAAGGAGCCCCTGGGTTTGCAATCTGTGGCTTCCCCTCCCTGCTCCCTAGGAAGGGTCTGCTACATGGAAACAGGTTGGGATAGAAAGGGGGCGGGACGGGAGCAGGGGTGAGGTCTCCAGTCCCACCACCCAAGTCCCAAGTTGAGCTGGAGAAAGTGAACAAAGGGGAATGAAGGCACCCCTCAGTTCCCAACTTTTCAGTAGGTCAAGACAAAGTGGTCGGGAGCTAGACACACTCTCAATCCTGATGGACATGGTGGGAGAGAGCCAAGGCTACTTGCCCACCTTCCTTGGAATTCCCAGTTGAAGTTACCTCAATCCCTCTAGGCACCTCTCCCCAGGAAAATAAGTTGAGATAAAGGAGAACTGGGTGCAAGCTGCCTACCCCTAACTGGCCCATTGCACACCAAGGAAGATCCTAGAAGCTGGCAGGGGGAGCCTGTGCCTTTGAAAACCTGTCTTCATTTCCAATTTGGGAGAGAGAAGCGTGGAGGTTACCCTTTCTCGGAGCTGGCCCCTGGCTTGGGCTCCTCTCATTTCTCTAGACCCTTCCTAAGAGTCTGGGGTGAGCACCTCCCTAGAACTCAGTATGGGGGAAACAGGCAGGGGTCCCCTCATCAGCCTCAAGGTCAGGACACCTTGAGGCAGCAGCAGACCCAGGAGCCTGAGGGGGAAAATACCCCACAAATAGGAAAAACAAACCAAGACAATCCTTAAAGTGTCATTGTCCATGGAGAGGATCCACCAGCTCTGAGCTAAGACAGTCAGTGCCACATAGACACCCTCCCACCCCGGGCACAGCCCTGCACTCACACCGTGTGTCACACACACACAGGGACAGCCAGCCAGCCAGCCATGTGGAGACCATGTTGTGGGGCAGGGGAACCAAGGGCCAGGAGGCCACAGTCCTGAGGGCTTGTCCTGGCCCTGTCACTGAGCCCCTTCTAGGCTTGGAGCTGTCATCTGTGATGGGAGGAGCTGGCTGAAATGACCCCTAAAGACAGGTCCCTTTGGCGCTGGCATGCACCAGTTGTGACCCCACAGCAGGCACTGCCTCTATATGCACCCCCACTCACACCTCCTCACTGAGGGTGGGAACACCCAACTCCACATGCTCACCCACTCACACCTCCTCACTGAGGGTGGGAACACACGAAGCTCTGCTCTCATGCGTTTCCAAACTCTGCTTCCGCTCTGCAAACCACATCCTTCCCCTCCCCCAGACAAAGAGATCTACAAATCTGGGTCCCTTCCCACCCTCCACCATTCACTCTCAAAAAAGGGACTGAGGTTAGGAGACGGTGAGATCGTTACAGCCATCCCCCTGCGTTGGTATTCTGCTCCTCCTGAAGCTTTCGAGACCTTTCCCATTGAAGCTCCCTGAGAAGGAAATGCCACTACCTCTCTCATGAGAGATGTGGGGGGGAAGAGGAGAAGAGGGCTGCACCCGTTCATACCCAGCCTGGGCCCCGTCTTCAAATCTAACCTAACCGCCACAGTAGTCCAGTCTGGGGAATGCAAGCGGCTTGGGAAAGTTGGAGAACAGCCACTTGGAGATGAGAACCCCAGCCTTTGGTTTGGGCTGAGGGAGGGAAGAAGTGTTCTGGGTGGGGTGTCTTGGTTTCAATGCACAGAATCACTTGGACCTCTCACTCTTCAACATGGCAACCTCGGGGTAGACTTACTTCTCTTCCCATCCAGACAAAAGTTAAGTTTCGCTCTAAGTGGGCCAGCCTTGGGCAAGGGCGTGGGTGTGAATGAGCAACTCTTCTAAGAATCTCTGAAGGTTACTTTTCTTTTTTTTTCTCTTTTGAGACAGAGTCTCACTCTCTCACACAGGCTGGAGTGCAGTGGCACAATCTTGGCTCACTGCAGCCTCAGCCTCCTGGGTTCAAGCAATTCTCGTGCCTCAGCCTCCCAAGTAGCTGGGATTACAGGCACGTGCCACCATGCCCGGCTAATTTTTGATAGAGACGGGGTTTCACCATGTTGGCCAGGCTGGTCTTGAACTCCTGACCTTAAGTGATCCGCCCGCCTCAGCCTCCCAAAGTGTTGGGATTACAGGCGTGAGCCACCGCGCCTGGCCTGAAGGTTACTTTTCTTTTCAGTGGTTTGGGGCAGGGAGTTACACAGCTTAATAGATTAAGAAGAATAAAATGCTGAATGCTATCATTTCTTTCTAACATATTTAGCATTAATAAAAAGTGAGTATTTCTGAGGTCATCACAACTGCCTCCCCCTCCCCCAAGCCCTTGCAAGTGCCTAAGAAATTGCCTTTGAAGGATTCCCACCCCCCTCCATTATCAGCTCCCTAACATCTTACAAAGTCTTATCAACAGGAATATTAATATTATTTTCAGTATCAGAAAAAAAAAACAGTTGAGCAGCACAGGCAAAAATATATCTGCACTACGTTTCTGTCGTTGCCAAAAATATACACATCTTCTTTTCTTTATTAAAAAAAAAAAAAAAACCCAACAACAAAAACCCAAACAGAAACACACACAGAAAAATCCACACATGCAAAGAGACTGACAAGGCCGGAGCCTGGGGAAGCTGGAAACCCCTACCCTGGGCTCCAACCCCAGTGCAACTGAAACAGGGACACAGGCTTCGCCTTGCCTCTCGCCTCTCTCCTGACTGTCCACTCAGCCTCTGTGCCAAAGGCCTGGGCAGGCGGGGACTCTTTGAAGGTGAGAATTGCCCACTCTACCCTGGGGAAATAGCTGGTGGGTGAGGGGACAGTTGTTAGTCAGCTTAGTGGCTCCCCTGGTTGGTGGGGGTGGGGTGCAGGAGGCAAGCTGGCTAATTCTGGGAGGGAGGCTTTTGCTAAAAGCAGTGGCATTTCCCCCCACCTTACGCCCTCCCCCAAGCCCTGGGGCTCCCCTTGTGCCAGAGAAGGAGGAAGCTATCAGTGGGGTAGGGGGCCCTAAGGGGGCCCTGAGACCATGTGGGGTCAGGGGAGGGAAGGCAGGATACTACCCTGATTCAAAGCCCTGTGCCCCCAGCGACTCTCCAATATTGGAGTACTGCTCTGGTGTTTGTTAACCATTCATGCCCCCAGAGAGGGACCAAAGTTGGTGAGGTGGGGAGGGTGCAAATAAGAGCTGGGAGGTCCCCTCTCTGGCGCTGCTTCATCTGACCACTGCGCCTATCCCTGCCCTTGGCTGCCCTGGGTCCAGGAGGAGAGAGACAGGCAGACAGACACACACACACACACACACACACACACACATGCACGCACACACACACTCACACACTGAGACGGGCAGCTCCATCTCCCCACCCTCGGCACTCCTAAGTCCAATAGTGCAAACAAAGGGCGGGGCACCAAGGAAGGCCAGAGCCTCCCCGCACCTGCCCTCTCCTCCCCATCACGGGGCCCCAAGAGGTTGAGGAGGCTGGGGCTGAGTGTGATGCTCTCCTGCCCCTTCTCCAGCCCCCAACATCTGTGGGCTTTTACAAGCTCAGCTTGTGCCCCTGCGCTGGGGGGAGGGATGGCGAGAAAAAGTCCAAGGGGTCCCTTCTGCCATCTGCCCGAGCTGGGAAGAAACTGCAGGTAAAGTGGGTCCAGCCCTTCTTCCATAAAAGATTTCCCCGCAGGGACAGGCCCAGGGCCTCTCCCTCCACTTCTCCCCATTCAAGTGCTGATCCATTTCATGTGACAGGTCCAACCAACCCCCTACTTCTGCCATGGCCCACTCTGCTCTCTGGGGGGACCTCCAAAACATTTGCTGGGGATGGACCTCCTAGGCGGGCTTGCAGACTGTCCTTCCTCTGAGCCTCACAAAGCGGACAGTGCGGAAAGGGAAGGGGGCCAGATGGAGGGGGCTCCCCTCTCAGTCTCAGTCCTCGACACCAGGAGCTCTCCACACTCCCTGGACCTCAGCACAGGCTCTGGGTCAAGGCTCTCCAGGGTCTGGGCGCAGGCGCCTGCTCCAGGCTAGGACCCCTCAGGCCAGGATCTGTTCCCTCCACTTGGGGGGGTCAGGAGGGGTAAGGGTGGATTTAGCCTTTTTCCTGGTTGGCTGAGGCTCCTTTGTCAGCGGTCTGGAAAGAGAGGGAGGGAGGCCGGGGGTGTGGAAAGTGTCAGGTCCTAACCCCCAGATAAGAACAGCTTCCTAGGCCAAGAAAGCTGCTGTGGGGTACTGAAACGGGGCCAATGGAAGCCTCTGGCCTGGGCTCTGAGGGGTGTGCACCAGGGCCGATGCGCAGGGGTGTGAAACCACCCTGCAGAAGAGCACCGGGCTGCGTGGGCATGTGCAAGCTAAGGCCGTGTGCCCTCAGGAGAGGGAGAGGGCCTTTCTGACATTGGCCTACCCAGAGGGTCATCTTTTTCTAATTGGTCGGATGAGAAACAAAATGGCTTTTTCTAATTGGTCCTCCCGGAGGAAGGCTGTTTTCTAATTGGTCCTTTTCCTCTGAGCCCATGCTCAGATCGGATCTTTCTTGGCCGTGCAGGAGGGCACCCATGTGCAAGCAGAGGCCCTGGGGTCTGAGGCAGGGTACTTTGCTGACCTAGGGGTTGCTTCCTTCCCCCTGCTGAGGTACCTGATGATAAGCCTTCTGACAATCCATCTCTACCCATCCCTCAGAGGGGAGGCAGGAAGGCCCCGGGCCCCTTACTCACCCCTCCTTTGGGGCCACCGCCACTGCCCTCTGCTCCCGACAGGCTGAGGAAGGGGTTGGTCTGGGCAGTGAGGACTGGAGGTCCGCCTGCTGCTGCTACTGCTGCAGCTGCAGCTGCTGCGGCCATGAGACTTGTGTTGTTGCCAAGCGAGGGAGCCACTAGGGCTCCAGCGGGCAGCAGGGGTGGAGCAGACGCTGTGGGCAGCAGGCCAGGGGTACCCGCAGACAGCAGCGGGGTGGAGCTTCCTGCCAGCAGGCTGGCCATGGGCAGCTGGGAGCCCCCAGCCATCTGCAGGCGCTGCAGCTCCCGTTTCTGCTGGATCTGCTGGATCATCTGGTAGACAACAGTCTGGTGTTCCTGCAAGGGGGCCAGACCGCTTGTTGGCCAACAGTCCCGGGGGTCTCTTCCCTGCTGCCTGCCTGCCCTGCCTGGCCAGGCCCCACCCCATCACACTGGAATCAGGAGGCAAGAGGCCTGTGAGACAGTCAAGGTACTGTCTCGCATTTCCCACTTAGCCTGGGTCTCCCCATCTAGACAAGAAAATGGTTGCACGCCATTGGTATTTGCCAGCTGCAGCACTGCCGGCCAACAGCAGGGTATTTAATATCTCTGGCCCTGCCCACAGAATCACCCCTCAGCTCCTAAGACAACCACAGACGCCCCCAAGTTGAAAAACACTAAACTAGGTCAATAGTTTTCTTTTCTTTTCTTTTCTTTTTGTGAGACGGAGTCTTGCTCTGTCACCCAGGCTGGAGTACAGTGGTGCGATATTGGCTGACTGCAACCTCCACCTCCTGGGTTCAAGCGATTCTCCTGCCTCAGCCTCCCAGGTAGCTGGATTACAGGGGCCTGCCACCACATCCGGCTAATTTTTGTATTTTTAGTAGAGACGGGGTTTCGCCAAAACTACTGACTAGGTCAATAGTTTTCAATTCGCCGGACACGGTGGCTCACGCCTATAATCCCAGCACTTTGGGAGGCTGAGGCCGGTGGATCACTTGAGGTCAGGAGTTTGAGACCAGCCTGGCCAACATGGTGAAACCCCATCTCTACTAAAGATACAAAAATTAGCTGGGCATGGTGGCATGCACCTGTAATCCCAGCTACTTGGGAGGCTGAGGCAAGAGAATCCCTTGAACCCGGGAGGCGGAGGTTGCAGTGAGCCGATATCATGCCATTGCACTCCAGCCTGGGCAACAAGAGTGAAACTCTGTCTCAAAAAAAAAAAAAAAAAGTTTTCAATTCCCTTTCTCTTTTGTTTTGTTTGCTTCTATCATTTAAGATTCATTTATTTTGCTTTGAATAGGCAAAGCATTCTTAATGTCCCAGAAACCAAAATAATATATCAAAGTTTACCTTAAGAACTTACTCCTCTTGCTCCCATCTGGTCCCTACAGGCAGCCAGCTGAATTGGTTTCCTGTCTAATATTTCTTTATATGAAAATGTTGATTTTTCTTATTTTTTCAACTCCCTGTTTTGTTTTTGAGACAGGGTCTCATTCTGTCACCCAGGCTGGAGTGTATTGGCGCCATCTCAGCTCACTGCAGCCTCCACCTCCCCAGTTCAAGCGATTCTCCTGCCTCAGGCTCCCAAGTAGCTGGGACTACAGGCGTGCACCACCACGCCCAGCTAATTTTTTGTAGAGACTCAGTTTCACCAAGTTGCCCAGGCTGATCTCAAACTCCTGAGCTCAAGCGATCTGCCTGCCTCAGTCTTCCGTGCTTGGATTACAGACATGAGCCACCACACCCGGCTGCTTCCCTCATTTTTAAAAAGTAAAACTCCTTTTCTCCAAAGGTAGTTTCAGCCGACCCAACAGGAGACAGACCCAAAGAAGCTGCTGTGGTTGAGGGTGGTGTCACCTGCACAGCCACTCAGACCCTGGAGTTTCCCCTGAATGCCTTTGGGGCTGGGACTGAAATGCTGAATAACTGAGGACTTGCTGCCCTCCAGAGTCTTTCACCAGGATGCGACCTGGGGCTATTACAGCAGCCCTTTCTCAATGCCCAGGGGATCCTGGGCATGATCTTATCCCCCTTACCTGCCATGGATGCTCCACAGGGCCCAGCCCCAGTCCCACAGGCCCAGCCTAGAGCTTCCCCTCACTCTGCCTGCTCCTGCCCTCTCCTGGCTGGCCCTGATCCTCTGAGATGTGCCCTTCCAGGCAGACCAAGGGGCACCTGAGGCAGGGAAGGGAGGGGCATTACCGGGGTCAGCTGCGGGGAGGCCAGGAGCTGCTGGAGTTGCTGGAGCTGCTGCTCTTGCTGCTGAAGGAGATGTCTCTGCTGCTCTGTAAGGCTGAGGTGGGGGTGGGGGGTGGGGGGGGGACAACACACAGACCATGGGGGAGGGCCAGGGAAACACTCCTGCTCCTAATCCCAAGCCCCTAGACTCCCTCAGACCCAGGGGAAGCAAGGCAGGGATGTGCGATCTTAGAGCACCGTGCTCATAGGGTGCAGCAAGAGGGATACAGGTCTGATTTAGAAGAACTGTCCCAGAAGGAAATCCTAGAGTGCAGGACAGGAAGTCAACAATTCTTTTGTCCCTGGGGAGCTACCGTCCAGAGGACACACATGTCTAACAGTCTGTGGAGTCCTTAGAGGCCAAGAGGTGACTAGGATTATATACCCTGTGAGACCAGAGGCCATTTTTCCTTTTAGGGATTGTGGGTGTTTTGGGGAAAATCCCTCCCTTCCCAGAGCCAGCCCCCCACCCTGTTCCCCTTCCCAGGGCTGAGCTCTCCCTCACCTGTTGAGACAGCCTGGCAGCTGCAGCGTGGGGGCCCCGCCAGCCTGGCTCAAGCTTGCGGGGTTGGGGGCAGCGGCCCCATTCAACCCCCCAAGGAGCCCATTGAGGGGCAGGCCCCCACTGCCTGCCAGCCCCCCCAACAGCCCCTCAGCCATGGGCATGGCCCCCAGCCCCGCTGCCCCGGGTGCCCGGCCCAACCCGTTCTGCGGCTGGGGCGGGAGTGGGGCAGGGGCCCCAGGCAGGGCCAGGGGCAGAGTGGCAGGGCTCTGCTGGAGGAGGGGCAGCGGTGGGGGCGTGCTGTGGAAGGACAGCGACGAGCTGCTGCGGCTCGGGCAGCCTGAGTGTGGGTCCTGGGGAGGGAGGGGGAAGGGAGGGGTCAGAGGGCCAGCATGACTTTTCTGGCCCCTGGCCCAGCACCCACCAGCATTCTCACAGAGCACAGCAACCCCCACTTCACCCCCAGGCACCCTGGAAGAAGCAAGGTCCGGGGATGAGGGCTAAGAATCCAAATTGTCTTCACGAATCATGTTTCCTGACCCCTTCCTGGGAGTCCAGCGCCCCTCATCATCCTCATTTAATAATGGACAATGATGATGGTGGTGACCATCTGGTGAACCAGATCCTGGGCTGAGGGCTTGACCTGTGCTATCTTGCTATTCTCATTTTATGGGTGAAGCCATTGATTCTTGCACAGGTTAAGTAACTCTGCAGGCAAAAGCACTACAGCTAAAGTGAAAGGCTCAGGTTCAAATCCTATGTCCACAATCCAATGGCTTGGGTGACCTTGGGTTCAACCTGTCTTAGTTTACTCACTCGTAAGCTGGGGGGTAACAGTAGTACCTATTCCATAGGCTTACTATGAAGACTAAATGAATGCTTTAAAAAATTTTTGCATAGGGCATGACAAAGGGCAAGTGTGCAATTAATGCTGGTTATTATTATGATTATTACTGCCCAAGTCACACAGTTAATAAATGGCAGAGAGAGAACAAGAACCCAGTTTGTTGGATTCCAGTAATAACCACAACACAATAGCAACTGCTATTCGAACCGCCACCAGTTACACAGGAATTATTTTGTGTGAGGCGCTATAATAAACCCTTCACAAATACTTCTCAAAGAGGCCTTCCCTAACCACTTTCTATCCACAGAAGCAGCCCTCCCCCGTTCTCTCTCTCACAGCCCTCAATTTCTCTCCACACTAACATATCTCCCAGTTTGTGATTACTCCTTCTTTGCTTGGGGTAGCCTATCTTAAGAAGCAGCGCTGTGCCGGTTTTGCTCACTGATTGCTTAGCCAATGGCTGGCACTAAGTGGGCACCTCATAAATATTACTTGATTAAGGGAGGACTGAATGGATCAATCAATTGCTCAGTCAGTCACTTCATTGCCCAGCCTCCAATAGCTGCGGGGAAGAGATGGGACCAGGAGAGCCTTGAGTCTCCCCCTCCTTCCTGCCCCACTCCTCGTAGCGCCCACCTCAGAAGAAGTGGACAGCGAGTTGTCCAGGCCGAGGCTGCTCTTTCCCGGAGGGCTCTTGCTGGTGCTCAAGGAGTCGCTGCTGCCGGCTGTGGGAGGGATGTCACAGGCTGCAGTCAGGGCCAGTCCGGACTTCAGGGCACGGGCCTCTCTCCCGGGCTGGGCAGGATCCCCTCACCTTGGGGAGGCAGGCCATAGGGCCCAGGGACAGGGCCGTTGGCGGCAGGCAGGGCAGCAGGCAGGGCAGGGAAGGGCACAGAGAGCTGCACGTTGAGAATCTGCAGCCGCTCCTTTTTGGCCGTCAGGCTCAGGATCTGCTCTTGCAGCCGCTGGTTCTCCTTCTGCAGCGCGTGCAGCGCCTTCAGCATCTCCACGACTGCGGAGAGAGCGAGGAACCTGAGGGAGGGGCGAGGGGGCGGAGGCGGGGCCAGGGGACCGGGGGCGGGGCCTGGAGGGGAGCCAGTGCTCAGCCCTTGAAAAGGCGGCGCCATCCTAAGGAGGGACACAGGTGAGCTCTGAGAAGAGAGGCGGGACTTGGGGAGCCACAGGTGTGAAGACCTGGGGCGGAGCCTGAGGCTGGGGTCGAGGCCACACGGGTCAGGAGAGAAGGGCGGAAGTTGCGGTTTGGTAAGGTCGGGGCCCGGAGGCCACGAAGGCCAAAGGTGGGGCGCTGAGGGACCAGGGCCGGTCGTGTGGCCTGGCAGGGATGGGAGGTGAGGCCCGGGGTGGCCGAGAGTCAAGGCTGGGGCGGGGCCTAAGGGCGGAACCTTAAAGAAGCTTGGGGACCTCGGGGAGAAAGGTGACTGTTAGGGCCCTAGGGCAGGCGTCCCGACCGGCGCCACCCCTCCTCACTGTTGACGCCGGCCTCCCCGTCGCCCTGCTTCTCCAGAAGCTGCTCCATGTTAGTCGTCCCTGGGGCCGCCGGGTCTAACTGGCCGCCCCCACAGGGTGCAGAGGCTGTCTGGTCGAAGAGTGCGGGGAGGCTGCTGATGGGGGACCTGCGGCCAGAGGGAACCTGGGTTCAGTCGACCCGACCACTCCAGGCTCCTCTGGCCCTTCTCCCGTATCCCCCAGGGGTTCCAGCCCACGCCGGTCTCTCCGTCCCTCCTCCCTCGGGTGTCCCTCCTGCCCCCAGCCCCTCCTCCAGGCTGCCCCTTCCCTCACATGGAAGACAGACTCTCCTGAGGGGAGGTCCCCCGACACCGGAAGCTGCAGTCCTCCAGGTCTGGCTCTTGGAAGAAGGGAAGGCTGGGATCAGCGTGGAGGAGTGGTAGCTGCCTCAGGGTCCCCGCCCCCAGATGGATATGGGATTGGGACCTCACCGCAGATCCCTTTCCCCAGGAATCCCCAACCCCACACTGGCAGTTCAAGGCCAGCGCTGAGGGCCCTGGCTTGGAAACCCTGCCCCTGGGAGGCAAACCCCGGGCATCTGCTCTCTTCCTCCTCTGGGCTGAAGGCTCCACTGTCTGGCTTCTTTCAGATCCACCGCCCAATTCCTTTCCTGGGATCTTCAGAGTTATAGAAATTTGAGGTCAAGACAGACCTGGATTGAACTTAAACCTGACATCAACTTTTGTGACCTTGGGCTCCTAACCAGCCTCTCCGAAGTGACTGTTATTAAGATTAAAAGAAGGTAATAAATGTGAAGTGTTTACCTGAAGGGTTTAGCTAGCATGTAGCAAGCCCTTAATGACTGCAGCTATTATCATAATTAGCTCTGTATGACTTTTTACATTCATCAGATCCCTTATCAGGAGGCAAAACTAAAACTCTTCCTTGGGCCACAGAATCCTGATCTGAGTTTTAACAAATATATCACCCTACTCTGTCGTTCTTAAACGTGGAATCATATTTGTCCCCTTTAAGGCTTACCTGAGTCGGCAGCCTGGCTGTAGGCCCCGCCTCCCAGCCTGACAGGTGGTCTCCCTGCACCAATTAGCTTTCTGGGGCTGGGCTGACTCTCCAGGGAGAGGGCGGGGCGCTTGTGACCCGCCCCCTTAACTCGTAAATACCCGGAGAGGTTGAGACCTCCGTAAGCGCTGATCCCAAGACACACTACGAAGCCAAGGGGAAGCACGCTACACCGGTGAAAGCACTGGGCTTGGAGTCAGGAGAACAGAATCTGAGCTTTAGGTCTGCCATTTCCTGCCTTGAGCAAGTCTTCCATCTCTGCCTTTTTCTTCTGTGAGATGGAGCAGTAACTTCCCTGCCCTGCCTTCTCGCTGGGTTCTAACTTGAAAGTGTACCCTGGTTTGCTGTGTGTGGATTTTTTTTTTTTTTAAGAGACAGGTTCTCCCTGTGTTGCCCAGGCTAGTCTCCTGAGTAGCTGGGATTACAGGCGGGAGCCACTACGCTGGGATTTTGTTTGTTTTGAGACGGAGTTTTGCTCTTATCGCCCAGGCTGGAGTGCAATGGAGCGATCTCGGCTCACTGCAACCTCCGCCTCCCACGTTCAAGCAATTCTCCTGCCTCAGCCTCCTGAGTAGCTGGGATTACAGGCGCCCACCACCACGCCCAGCTACTTTTTGTATTTTTAGTAGAGACGGGGTTTCACCATGTTGGCCAGGCTGGTCTCAAACTCCTGATCTCAGGTGATCCACCCGCCTCGGCCTCCCAAAGTGCTGGGATTACAGGCGTGAGCCACCACACCCGGCCTGTTTGTTTTTGCAGGGAGGGCAATGGCCAGAGGGAGGGGGCAGCCAGAAAGCTCTCCCATTCTTTCTGGGGTCACATGCAGGTGATGGGTGTCCGACCTTTGGGAAGAAAGGGGAGAGGGGATCAGATATTCACATACCTGTGTGGCTGCTCTCAGCTTGGGAGAGGAGGGGATTAACGGCACCCATGGGGGTTCCAAAGATGTGGGTAGAAGGGAGGCTAAAGGTAGAGCCAGCCAGAGAAAACACCTAAGGGAGGGAGGTAGAATCCCCTGGCGGTTATTCTTGGATCTAGAGCACAACTGTGTGTACCGGGGTGCAGGGGGCCGGGTGTGCTGGGGAGCAGAGGGGTCCAGAGCCCGGAGGGTGGTCTGATGGCAACTCAGCCCAGTTGCTCCAATTCCCATGGAAGGCTGGGGTCCTCTGTCAGTCTGTCCCCAACCTGCCCAGGGAAGGAGGAGCCCAGGAGTCAGGTCTCACCTGAGTGGTGGAGATAGAAGCAGAAGAGGAGGGGAGGGTGCTGGTGAACGGGGAGCGGCTGAGGCGGGGCAGGGCCGAGGTCCCTGGGGGCCCCAGGAGGCTGGAGGAGAGAGGGGTGCTGCAGACAGCCCGCAGCATCCCGCCACTGTGGGAGATGGGGTCCTTATTACTGGTGTAGATGCCTGCAGGCACAAGGACAGAGGGAAGCACGTGGTTACTCTCCACCCCAGACTCCTGCTCAGCCAGGTGGCTGACAGCCCCTCCCCAGCTCGAGTGCTCCCCGGGATCTGGCTACATGCCCCAGTCTAACCCTCTTGCTGCAAAGATGTCACTTCCTGCCTGGGTGACATCTGCTTGCTGCGCCTGCTTGTTAAACTGCCCTGCCGAGGGCTACAGAATTCCTAGCTTTTCTAATCTCCCTCCCAAAACTTGGTAAAACCTTCTGACAATCTGTCCCCAATCCTTTCTACTCCACGCATGCAGAGGGGGATGTCCTGAAGGTGACTGTCTCCTCCGTGCTCTATCTTTTGGAGTGGTATCCATCCCATTTCCTTCTAAGTGCATGTGTAAGCTCTGTTCCTCACTAGACTGGCTGGGCCCTGAAATGCCCTCTGTCCCCAGGGGTCACTAACCTGCCCCTAGTAAGGGGGACTCCAGGCTCAAGCTGGGCAAGCTCCCAGAAGGCCCAAAGGTTCGGGAGGACAGACCTCCCAGGCCGGAGCTGACCAGGGAACCTCCAGAGAAGGGTGAGGCAGCAGTGGCGGTAAAGCCAGCCAGCTGGGCACTGGGCAAGGATGGGGCAGCTGGGCCCCCAGTGCCCTCCTTGTTCCGGCTGCCCTTGGGACGGCCTGGCCCATGGCGGCTCCTCTTGCTGGCTTTGTGCTTCTTCTCCTTCAGGCCTGTCTCAGGGGTCTCATCAGCAGGCACAGGGGTGGCACTCAGTGCGGGCATCCGTTTGTGGGTGCCTGCCGAGGCCCCAGACCCCGTGACGTGGGGAGACTTATAGTCCCCAGGGGAGGGCGCCCGGGCCCGGCCTGAGCTGGAGGTGGTGGTGGAGAAGCGCATGATGGGCCCAAAGCCAGAGAAGACCACCTTCTGCTCAAAAAGGTCAGCCTTGGGGGGCTCGGGAGCTGAGGGAGAAGGAGGGGCTGAAGGGGCGGGGGCTGTGGGCTTGGAGTACTTGTCCTCCTCTGGCTGCTCCAGCTTGGGGAATGCAGAGAAGTCAGGGGAGCTCTGCAGGGACGAGACTGTGCACAGAGGGGAAACAGTTACAGCTGGACCCCAGATCCCCGCACTCCCTCCCACTCCCGCGTGTACTGGCGGGAGAGAGCTCTGGTCCACGAATGGGGATGCCTGGTTTCCTGTCTCAGCTCTGCCACTGTCTGTGTCCTGGGATGAGTACCCCCGACCCCTCCAGCTTTCCCACCTGTAATAAAATGGGGGAGAGTAACTCGCACCCTACTGGCCTCACCAGATGACTGTAGCGATTATAGGAGAAAATGTTAATGGGGGTTCTTGAAAAATTGTACCTTGCAGCACAAATGTAGGGGATAAGGAATACTGTTATGAGGTTGGTGGGGTGGCCCCTGAAGGGGAGAGGAGAGTTCTGGTTCAAGAAGGAAGGGTTTGGGGGCAGGTTTGGAGAGGAGGGGATTCCCCATCTTTATCCTGAACCAATGGAGAAGTAAATGAGATGCAAAACCAATATGCAAAGTCCCTTGCCAGAAAAGCTCAGGACAAAAGGCTTTCCCTGCTCCCAGCTTCCTCCCGGATGCCCACACTCACCTGCAGGCTGGAAGGGCCCCCCAGAGGAGGAGGAAGAGGAGGAGGAAGAAGAGGAGGCGGAGGTAAAACTGCTCACACCTTTCCCACTGCTCAGTTTCTTCCCTTTATGACTCAGGCTATGGCTGGAAGACTTTTTCCCCTTTGACTCCCTGCTGCTCTCAGAGGTCTCCTGCGTGCTGGCCTCGTGGTGGGAGGAAGAGGAAGCCGAGGAGGAGACCTGAAGGAGAGGAGAGAGGAAGGTTCAACACCAGGTGCCTGGGCCTGTGCTGATCCTGATGTGGGAGTGAAGCAGGAGGGCACAGGACCTAGCTCAACTGGGAGAGCCCACAGCTAGTTTCATGAAGGACTTCCGGGCAGGGAGTGGCCAGGAGCTCCTAGACCAGGGATATGGGGAGGCAGCTGTGGCACTCCTGGGTGTAAGGCAGAGGGGAATTCACTGAACCCAAGAAGGTGTCTGTCTTTCACCTTAGGCAGGGAAGATGGAAGCCAAGAGGGAGATGAAAACAGTCCCAGAGTCTGAAGAGATTTACTCATTGGTCCATTCATTCACTGAATACTTAGGGCGTCTAAGAAGGCGGGACCTATGCTGGAAGTGGCGAGGCAGAGAAGAGGACCCACAGGAGAATGGGCTTCTCTGGTGCCATCCTGGAGCCCTCCAGCTACTACCCCAAACTTCGGCCCCCTGGCTTTCCACCCATTCTCTGACCACCCCATGCTCTTCCTAGACAACCTGATTGCACACACTAAGCGTTTGCCAGGACAGCCTATCCTTACTCTTCCTGGGAAATCTCTCATCCTTTAAAATCCAGCTTGGAAGTCCCTCTTCCCTGAAGCCTCCCTAAATACCTCAGGTGGAACAAGACATTCTGTCCCCTTATTTCCAGAGAACTGTGCACACATGACCACATGTCAACAGCTGCCACTCTGCACTGAAATGTTCTGTCCTATCTGAGGCACCAGAAACCAAAGAGAGCGGCAGGGTGGTGGTTGAAGGAGCGTGGGCTCTAAGTCGGGCAGAGCAAGGTATGAGCCTGATGGGTTCTGCCCTTCACCGCCATGTTTTTGTTTTTTCTTAATTTATTTTTGAGATGGAGTTTCACTCTTGTTGCACAGGCTGGAGTGCAATGGTGCGATCTCGGCTCACTGCAACCTTCAATCACCTCCCAGGTTCAAGTGATTCTCCTGCCTCAGCCTCCCAAGTAGCTGGGATTACAGGCACCAGCCACCACACCCGGCTAATTTTGTGTATTTTTAATAGAGGCAGGGTTTCACCATGTTGGCCAGGCTGATCTCGAACCCCTGACCTCAGGTGATCCACCTGCCTCGGACTCCCAAAGTGCTGGGACTACAGGCGTGAGCCACCACGCCTGGCCTCACTGCCATGTTATACTGTGCAAAGTCTCAACGTCGATAAGTGTCAGTGTCTTTACAGGGAGCACTATGCATATGTGGTGAGTTGGAAGCAGCATGATGCCAGATACATGGTATAGGGTCAATAAATGATGAGACGTCCAGTGGCAGCAGCTGCAGAGACAGTGCTGTGGGCAGGTGAAGAGCACAAGCCTTCAAGCCAGACTGCATTGGAATCTCAGGTCTACCACTTTACTAGCTGTGTGCTTTTAGGCAAATTACTTAACCTCCCTGTGCCCCATCATCTTCATATATTAAATGGGGTTTATAAATTTCCAACCTAATTGGATTATTTTGAGTATTAAATGGACTAATCTCCATATGCCCCTCCATCTCCTGGTTCTAGAACACAGCCTGGCATGCCGTGAGTTCGTTCGTGCTTCAGGCTGCTGCCAGGGAAGGCCCTTTTCCTCCTAGTAGCGACCAGGTATTCAGTTAATCGTGCTGAACAGATAAATGCTGAATGCAGGCTGGACCAGAAACGAGAGCCACCCTGCACTGCCCCTCCCGGGCGGAGTCCTGGTCTCTGTCTTCCTCTTTGTTCTTTTCAACAGCTGGAGTTCTGAAGGGAGCCAGATGTGGTTCTGAGAGCAAGGGAAGAGAGGGGCTGGGGGGAAGGGTAGCCGAAGTGCTGGGGCGAGTGGAGGAGGATGGGCAGAGTTCTCTGGCATGTCCAAGGGACATCCAGTTACTGGAAAAACTCCCAGACCCCTGGCCATTTCTTGCCACCTGCCTGCAGGCCCCTGGAAAGGTCAGAGGGCATGAATGACAAGGTCTCCAGGTGAGCCCTGGGAAGCAGGGGAGAGGTTTACTGGGGCAGTTGCCACAGCAACATCACCCTGGAAACCTGATACCTGAACCTCCTGCTAAGGTGCCCAGAACTCTGCCAACCGTCTGAGATGGGGTGGAGGTGAATGGGCAATAATGGTGACAGGAGGGAGCAGTTTCTCCATCTCCCCCCACCCTACCAGGTTCTCCTCCCATGGGGAGGGCAGGTTGTAGGGAGCAGGGAGGGCTGTTCCAGCTTGGATTAGCAATTCCCTGGCCTAGGGTAGGGCCTGCCTATCGCTCAGCCAGATGTTGCCCATTTCTGGAGACAGGCCTGACATACCATGCCCTGCTGGGAATGGTGGGATGAGTGGGAGTTTCGGGATACTGTCCAGGGGCCTGCCCCCCATGCCACCTTGGTCAGAACTTTCAGCCCCTCCAACCTGCACAGAGTGGGATTTGGGTTGGGTGACAAGCTTTGGGTGTCCTCCTGATGGGGCGTAGGGGATGTCCTCTACCGATCTCTGGGGACAGGGGCCCTAGAACTTGGAGAGCAGGCCTGAGTGCCGTCCCCCACTCTCTGCAGACAAGAGCCCAGGGCTGAGGCCCTCTGGACAGAGGCAGATGGGAGTATCTGGCAGACAGCACCCCAAACTCCCAATCCCATGGTTGGTCGGTGATTGGTGGCCCCTTCTAGGCTGGAAGAAGGAGTAGAGGGTATGGGGTAGGAGGGGAGTGGCATTAACTTGAAGCTGTGGGGAGGGTGCCCAGGTCCCTGACTCACCAACCTCTCGCCCCCGCCTCCCTCCCTCTGCCACCCCAGACCCACACACCATCCCTCCTGAAGGTGGGCAGCAGTACCTTGTCAGCAGTGGGGACCACGGGCGGGGTGAGGATGCTGGGGGGCGACTCAGGCCGCTTCTTGTGCTTCTGCTTAAGGCGTTCTTTGTCCTTTCGACTCTGGAGAGGGAGAGGTGACTAGATATTGTGCTGGGGGGCTGTCTGGGCGAGGACAAACATGACATGTGGGTATGGGGAGCTGACACCCCCTTAGGGATGGGGTTTTGTGGGCACCATCTCTCCCTGAGGAGGGCTGGATAATGGGCTGGGCAGGAGCGATTCAGGCAAGTTCCTATGAGAGCCAACAGCCCTTCCCCCGGCCCCGCCTGCTAAAAATAGCCTGTCCCATTATCACGCCAGTGCTATAGAGCACCACGCGCGTGAACATAACACCTGCAAGGGTGTCCACCTGGGACACAGCTGCACAGAGGGACAGGAGCTGGGCACGCTGTGCTATGTGGCGCGAGGGAATGCAGGCATGAGCACTTACTAGGCGGCACATGGCTGGACTGCGGAGACGTGTGCAACGTGCAGAGCCATGTGTCTGGGGCCTGGGGGACACTGTGATGTCATGGGGAGGACCCAGAGGAACCACTAACACAGCCACAGGGAAGCCAAGCTCCCGCCTCACCCCCCCACCGTTTCATTTCAGCCCCCTCCTGCCCTCAGTGGCCTCAGAGGAAGGAAGAAGGCAGGGCCAAGACCTTAAGGGCACCTCATGATGGCTTTTTGAGCCATGTTTGTGAGTCTCCAAGTCCCCGTGTGGGAGTGATGGCAGGTGGGGGAGGACTTCTACCTTCTTCTGGCCCCTCTCGTGGTGGGTGGGGTGCTTCTCCTGCTGCGTGGATGGTGAGGCTGACCGGCTTCTCCTCCCAGAGATGAAACCACTGCCACCTCCCCCCATGCTGCCACCTCCTCCTCCAGCGCCTCCTCCGCCTCCCCCGCTGCTGTGCCGGGATGTCTTCTGCGGGAGAGATTTGAGAGAAATTGCAAACCCTCTTCTCACGGGCTTAGGGAACGCTTCCAGAAGGTTAGAGGATCCTGATCCTGGGGGTCAGCCCCATGTGCCCCGTCTGTCACTAAGAGGACCTCATGTCCTCTATGATGCTCTGCTCAGCAGAAGGGTGTTCCCCAGCCTGAAAATCCTAGAGTGTTCCAGCTGGCTCGCCCAATGTGCAGAGTCAACCACTGAGGCCCAGAAGAGGCAAGGATGCGTCTGGGCCCCAGCAAGGCCCAGGTGGAGGTGAGACTGGGGCCCGGGTCTTTCATTCTCTCCATGGTGCCCTCTTGGCTGACTGAGCCACGGCCCGTTTCTACCTCCTTCCCTGGAGCAGAGGGCGTGCAGGGGACCCTCGTGGGGAGCCAGTGCTCCCCTGCACTCCATATCCAATCCTCCCTCCAGACACTTGGCTCAGCTATCACCCTCTTCTCCTTTATCCTGGCCCCTCCCCTCCACCAAACACAGTGGTTGCTCCTGTCCCAAAGGATATGCTGCCCTTAACTTGAAGAAAGGGGGGAAGTTAAACATCAACACAACCCAAACAACCCACATGCTGCGTCTCCTCCCAGCCAGGGCCTGCCTCCCCCATCCCCTTCACTACAGACCCAGCCTGATGGCTCCACCCTCCCCGGGGTTATAGCTGCTCCCTCTAAGGTCACCAGCTACCTCCCAACTGCCAAACCCAAGGGCTAATTTCAGGCCTTATCTGACCAGTGGGCAGCTCCCCAGTGTTGGACACAGCTCCTACCTGCAGAGCCCCATACCCTGCAAGGCCCCCTCTTTCGTGGCCCGCCTGATCCATCCTTGTGGACAACCTGGGATTACGGCCCCAGCCTTATAAGCCTGGAGCTGCCACTACACCCTGCCCAGGAGTCTGACATCCACCAAATCTAAATGTCTCCACATGGTGTCTCCTGCAAACCAAGCCAAGCTCGCTACCTTGTCCTAAGCTATCATCAAACCCTGAAACCACGGTGACCACGTAACTTATGATCCAAACCTGGACACTTTCAAAAATGAAACAGGGGAACTAATAATAATTACACCAGGGCAACAGGTATAAACTGGGACTGTCTGGGGCAAATCAGGACATGTGTTCCCCCTACAGAAGCCAGCTGTACCCCTTGTTCATGGCACCCCCCAGGTATTCAAGCTCCATTTACCCAGTGTCTAGAGCCTAGATCCTAAATGTCACCCCCAACTCCTACTTCTCAGCCACTCCCACGATTAGGCAAGTCTCCCTAGAAATGGTTCTAGCATCCAGCCTCACCCCTCCATCCCCCTTCTTGCAGCTGTCTCCCGGCCACCAGCCTCAGCCCTTCTGATCTAGCCTCACAGCGGCTGCCAGGGTAATCTTCCTAAAAAACAAATCTGATCATGTTACTCTCCCGCTTACAGGCCTGACAAGCCTGTGGCTCGGGGGTAGATCCAAGCTGCAGCCAACTGCTCCAGAATACCTCACAGCTTCTGGGACACACGTCTCTCCACAAACACAGACACAGAGTAGCACCCTTTCCAGCCTCCCCCTGGACCCCTGAAGCCTGGGGCAGAGGCAAGCCCAGCTCGGGCTCTGCTTTCTCACTTCATCTCCTGCCTCTTCCCCACCAAACACCCCATTCTCCCGCTGCTCACCCATGCCCTTCCTCCTCTCAGGACTTTGTCCACGCTAGTCCCTCTGCCTGGGACTCGTTTCTCTGTTTGGCAGGCTCCTGAGGAGTTTTCAAATTAGGCTGCCCGTTCTAAATCCCATCTACCAGCTGCAAGATAAGTTATATGACCTCAGTGAGCCTTAGTTTACTCATCTGTAAAATGGGGAAAATATAGCACACCTAGTTCTTAGGGTTGGTGGGGGGACCACACAAAATAACACATGGCAGGAACTTTGTCCTAAGGCGGAGGCGTAGTAAATGCTGCCTCCCACACAAATGTTGGCTCTTACTTTGATTTCCACCTCCACTCAGCTTAAATGCTACCTCTTCCTTGAAGCCTCCTAGACTCTGACAGGCAGGGTCTGAGCTTTGTCTTTTGGGACAGACTGCTTGGTCTAGCTCTGATCCACACACCTGAAGCTGTACTTTATTCCTCATCGAATGAAGAGCTCCTCTTGGGCAGGGACTGGGTTTTTTCCCTCTCTGTCCTCCTAGCACCAGGCACTGGCCTGGCCCAGAGCCCATGCCCTCTAACCATCTTACCACAGCTGACTGACCCGCTCATGCGCTGGTCGCCAGGACTCACCATCTTGCTGAAGTGGTATTTGCAGTAGCCGCAGTACTTGACGTTGTCCACCTCCAGCACTTCTTCCTCACACAGCAAGCCTGCCATTTGGGCACTAACCAGAGAAGGCAGCCTGAGACGGCTGAGGCCACAGATCACATGAGCCACCTTCCTCTCACCCTCCTGGCCCCCTGCTGAGGCGAAGCCAAGACCATCCAAAGCATTGCCACCACCATCAAAGGGACAGCAGCTAGGATGAGCCTGATCAGTGGCCATCCAGGACAAACCCGGGGGGCAGGGGGGTGGGACAGGGGTCTCACCAGGTGACGTGGAAAGCTTGTCGACATCCATGGCGGTTACAGGTCATGCAGGCTCCCGAGGCCGCCTTGCTCTCCCGGCCCTGCTCCTCGCAGATGTAACAGGTCTGCAGGACACAGCGCAATCGTCCCCTCCTCCAGGGAGCCCCTGTTCTACTGATGGTCCTTAGGCCACCCCCTCCATTCCATTTGCTCTCTACAGTCTTAGATCAGTGCTATCCCACAGAACTGTCTGCAGTGATGAAAACGCTCTATGGTCTGCGCCGTCCAAGACAAATGCCACCAGTCACATGGGCTATAAGCACTTGAACTATGGCTAGCGTGACTGAGGAACTAGATTCTAAACTGTATTTAATTGTTGTTTATTTTTATTTATTTATTTGAGACGGAGTCTCCCTCTGTCGCCCAGGTTGGAGTGCAGTGGCACGATCTCGGCTCACTGCAACCTCCTCCGCCTCCTGGGTTCCAGGGATTCTCCTGCCTCAACCTCCCGAGTAGCTGGGACTGCAGGTGCCCACCACCATGCCCAGCTAATTTTTGTATTTTTCTAGAGATGGGGTCTCATCATGTTGACCAGGCCGGTCTCAAACTCCTGACCTTAGGTGATCCACCCCCCTCAGCCTCCCAAAGTCTGGGATTACAGGTGTGAGCCACCACACCCAGCCTGCTTTTAATTTTGATTAATTTATGTAGCCACGTGTGGCCGATGGCTACTATGCTGGGTAGCACAGTCCTTGGATGGTTAGCTCTGAAAGGCCAAGGCCTTTGTCTGTCTTGCTCACTAGGGAGCTTATGCCCACCTCTGTGCCTCTGCCCAGGCTTTCTTCTGCCTGGAACCTGGGGGCCCTTACCCTCCTGGAAGCTGGCTCCTTCTCACGCCCCAGGTCTCAGCCTAAATGTCTCCTTCCTTTACCATCTGGTCTAAAGTAAGCCCCCACCAGGTCTTTATTTTAGTGTCTTATTTTCTTCACAGCATTTATCACAAATTGCATTTACTTTGCCTTTTTACTGATATTTATAGTCTTCGCATGCAAGAACTTGCGTTCCATTGAGCGGGCAGCACACCTGTCTTGATCAGCACCGAACAGCGTGTGCCAGCTACCTTGCACCAGGTCTGGCACATAGTAGGCACTTAATAAAATGTGTCCAGCGAATGAATGAATGAAGTAACTGCGAAGGTCTACCCTCTGGCAGAACTACTGCAGGGGAGCCTACTATTTCACCTGAGTGCCAGAGCATGAGTGTGTCTGTCAACAGAAGGGTGGTTCACTGGTAGGTACCTACCCACCTCCCAAGTTCCCTTTCAGTGCTCGTTGGACAGAATCAAATTACACCGGATGAAGAGAGCGTTGGAGGAACCCATAGATGGGAGGGAACTGGTAGGGGACACGGCGGGGGGCCGCTGACCTTGTTGAAGCGATCATGAGGCACGTACTGCAGCACGATGGGCTCCATGGTGAGCACGTTGGCAAATTGCACCTCGGGGATGTAGAGGGCACACACCACGTGTGCCCAGCCTGGGGCAGTGTGGGGGTAGCCTCAGCTGCAGATGGCAAGCCGGAGACTCCACCCCTTATGACCCCACGCTGCAGACTGTTCCCTCCTCCACAGCCTTCCCATCAGATTCCAGCGCCAGCCAGGGAAAGGAAACCCGGCCTCCACCCCAACTCAGTCCATTCCTGCCTTCCCAGACCCTGCTCAGGGGGCCCTGCTGACCTCAGCAGATGAGCCCGCCTCACCTCCATTATCAGTCCTCTTCAATGCCCCGTCTTTGTGTGGGCACAGCTCACACCTCTGCCAATGCAAGAGTGCACAGGGGTTGGGGGATCTGCTGAGCTGGACCCTCCCTGAACACGTTCAAGGGGTCCCAGGCTGAAATGCTAAGCTCTAGGGTGGATGGATGGGGCTACAGTGGAAACAGGATTGGCCATGAGTTGGTAACTGTTGAAAATGAGGAAGGGGACATGAGATTCATTATAGTTTTCCCTTTACTTTCATATGAGTAGGAAACTTCCCATAATAAAAAAGTTCAAACAGACAAAAACCAAAGCCCCATGCCTGAGGTGGGGCAGAGGGAGGGATGAGCGTGAGGCAGAGATGAGGTTGGAGGTAGGTGTGCAGGAAACAGGAAGTCTGTGTGACAGAGCTAAATCCCACCCTAGCCTCGGCCTCAGAGTCCCCTAGCTCAACCTGAGACGCTCAGGTGTGTGGGAGGGGCAGGGGAGTGGAGAGGGGCAGTCTGGAACTCACCACCCTGGCTGCTCGCTCCTGAGATTCACATTTCCGGCAGAACCAGGGTCCCGTTGGCACCTGAACGATGCCATAGCAAGCTGAGGGTGGGGAGGACAGTCGCTGAGCAAAGCTGTCAGCCAGTGGCTTTTTCCCAGGGTAACTGGGGGAAGGCGGTGACTCCAAAGGACTAGAGCCAGTTCCAGCAGTGGGGGCTGCTCCCCAGTCTACGGGTCACTCACTCTACAGCAGGACTGCCCAACCGCCCAACACCAGCCTTCAACCACACAATTAAGCACTTCAAACAGGGCGGGAAGTCTGAGTCTTTGACCTTAAACTTCTAGAAGATCCTCCCCCCACGCCCTTTCTGGACTTGTTTCCCAGCTTCTTCCTCGGACCAGCCATCAGCATCAGAAATAGAGAAAACCAGAGGGGACAACAGTCACGACCGTCAAACACGTTTTGTTGTTGTGGGCGGGGGGATTTCTTAAAGGGCCAGTGAGGGACGAGGCGGAGAAGTAGGGGGTCTAGGGACCTCATCTTCTACCTCTAAGTATTCCAGAATCAGGTTAAAAGTCAAGGCTGAGGGCAGGTGCGGTGCTGGGAACCGAGAGGAGCGTGGCGGGAAGAGCCCCGGGCCACAGCATTCAGGGATGTCCCAGGAAGGGGGGGCCCGGCTGCCTGTGCCAGGCAGGCGGGAGATGCCAGCCTGCGCCCTCGGCAAGATTCCTCAAGGAGTTAACTCCCGAACCATGTGCTGCTGGGGGAAACTCCAAGCCTCCCTCTTCTCGATTCCGGCCCCCTGCACAACCTCTCTCCTATCCTTAGCTCTTCCCCGGCGGATTTTAGGAGTCCCTTCTCCCCTGGGACCCTTCTCTTCCCTTTCCAAGTCCGCTCCTCCCATTATCCGGAAGCGAGGGGGGATGACGCCCCCCCCTTGACCTCTTCCTCCAGGAGCCGGGACCAAAATAACCGGGCGGGAGGGGACACCTCGCAGGTAAACATTCCCCAGGCAGCCCCGACACCCGCGGTGTGGGGCGTGGGGAGTTCACTCATTGCTCCCTAGACTCTCCCCAAACTCCCTCAACTTAGGGTGGGGGGCGCGGAACTGGAACAATAGGCAAGAAAACAATGCCTGACCCGGTCTTCCAGGACCGGGCGGGGGGAGCTCCCCCTACGCCTCCCTTCCCTTCAGGTGGGGTGGGGGAGGGGCGCGCGAGCCCCAGGAGGTCTCCGGAGGGCGCGGCCGGGGGCGCCCCGCGCACGCCGCCCCCGGGGTCCCGCCGCCCCCCGCGGGCCACCCCCGTACCTTGGTGGACGGCCACGCTGCACGCGTGCCCATCGCAGTAGACCAGCGGGTTCTCGGCCCAGCCCCTCTCGTCCGAACATACGCAGCAGCCTCCTACCATCTCCTTCATACTCCCATGAGCTCCCTCCGGGGCTGGGGCGGGGGGCCGGCCGGCGGGGGTCGGGGGTCAGGGGGGAGGGAGGGAGCGGGGGGCCGCGCGCCTCCTCGCCCCCTCCTCCTCTCCCTCCGCCGCCGCCGCTTCTTTTCTTTGCCTCCTCCTTCCTCCTCCTCCGCGTCCTCCTCCTCCTCCTCCTCGCTCGCTCTGTCTGGCCGCCCCCCCCGCCGTGCTCTCGCCCTCATGCCCCGACGGGCCCCCCCCACAACAATGAGACTCGCACGCCGGGCTCGCCCCCTCCGCGCCGCTCGCCCGGCTCCTAGGGCCGCCCCGCCGCCGCGTAGCCCGAGCCCGGCGGGGGAGGCGCCGAGTGGCACATCGCGGGCGCCCGCCCGCCCCGCGCCGCCCCGCGCCACCCGCTCACGCGCCGCCCCCCCGGCCCCCCTGCCCGGCCGCGGCAGCCATGGCCGCGCGCCTCCGCTCGCTCGCTCCCGGCCCGCCCGCCGCCAGCCGCCGGGTAAAGTCTTAGGTTCAGGGAACAAAGCCTGGCTTGGTAGGGAGCTTTTCGCTCTTTCGCTCCGTGCTGCTTTGCCTGCTTTCTTTTTCGTTTCACGGCTCTGGGTCGTCGCTCCCGAGCCCTCCCTCTGCCCGCACTCCCGTCTCGGGCCCCGGGTCCCCGAGTCTCCAGCCCCCTCCGCCAAGTCTTCGTCTCTGGGTGGATTCTTCAGCCCCAGGGAAACTTTGGAGTGGAGACCGGGGGAAGGGGCGCTAGGAGGAATGGGAGCGACGCGGGCCGTTCGCCCCCGCCCCACCCCGTGTCTGGGGGTCTTTTTGGATGGCCGCCCTCGGGCCCTTTCCTCCGAGGCCACTCTGGAGGGTAGACGCTCTCACACGCAGACATTTATTCATTCAACAGATATTTATTAAACGCTCGTTGCCAGTCGCTGGGATCGAGTAGAGAGCAAAACATATTCCTGCCCTCGGGGAGCTTCCTGTCGGGTTCACAGACACACACGCACGCACAGGGACTCAGAGCCCCAGAGACACACACCGAGGCACCCACAGACACGAGCTAACTCCCAGCTTCAGTCACACCACTGACCCTCCCAGAGACACGAACCTCCGCTCCAGCCCCGCGGGTGCGCTTAGAGACCCACGAGAGTTAGAGACCCGCAACCACGAGGTGCTCACGAACACCAGTTACACTTGACCTCTAGGCACGCACACAGACACACAAGGTAACTCACACGCAGCACTCCAGAGGACTAAAGTCCCTGCAATTGGGTCTGGGGGAGAAGTGAGGGGCGTCGGCCCAAAGTCTTCTTCCCAACCTGTGTGGGCAAGGGGGGGTGAGATCTGACCCCCAAAAACTTCCTAAAGGGGGACGACTCGTGGGGACTAAAGGTCACCCGCCCCCCACAGCGGGAGTTCGGGTGGCGTAGGGGAGAAGGCAGCCCTGGGGGCTTCAACGACACTTCAAAGACCTCGCGGCCGGGAACGCTTCCTGCGGGGGAGGGGCAAACAGAGAGGAGAAGGGAAGACGGGCCGGGGGACTGGGGGTGGAGGAGGCCGCCTCCCCTTCGGCGCACTGCCCCCTGGCAGACTCTTCCGCCGGGTCCGCCTCCTTTTCACCAGCACCTGTTCAACCGGAACATCAAGGGCCTGGGGCCCGCCGCGGCCCCCCGTCGGCTCTTTAGTACCTTTCATCCGGAAGGGAGATGAATCCCCGCCCAGGAGGGGGGAGTAGGGCGGGGGAGAACTTGTCCTTGACCTGGTCTTTGGCGTCAGGGATTTACTCCCTTAATCCCGGAGAGGCGGGAGTTTGGGGAGGTCCAGGAAGCTGAGTTCTGGGCTGCAGCCCCACACCTCTCCTCGCTCCGGTGGACACAGGGAATCTCGGAGGGCTGCCGGGACGAAGAGGCTACATCTACACAGGGCGGTGTAGGGGAAGCCCGTCTCTTCGACCTCCGTGCCTGGGAGTAGGGGCCGAGAGCCAGATTATTGCGATGACCGGAATCCCGGCGAGGACGGCCGCGCTCCGGTTCCTTGGTCAAATTTGTGAATTTCGCTAACACGAAAAGTTAAACAAGACACAGAGGAGAAACTGCACTTAAGGGTTTCTAACGAATTACCTTTACTAGCAAGAATAAAACTGCAAGAAAATTAAACGTAAAAATGTCAGTCCTAAATCATGCACGAGTTTCAGAATATTTGAATATTTCCTTTTGGGGCCCACCGCTGCCAAGGTGGCCGCAGTTTCGGGTTTCGCCGGACAGGGCTCACTAAAACGTGCCTACGCCCCAGGGATGGACGACTTGGAGACAGGGGCCGGGAAGCCTTTGTCTCAGGTCACCCTGCGCCAGGTTTGTCGCCTAAGTTTATGGGATGGACGGGAGACAACATTTGTAAGTTTAGAGTTTTGGGAACGTTGTTTCGTTTAATCCTCCCCACACCGTTTTAGGGTGGCTGTTCATATTTCCCATTTTGTGGATGGAGCAACTGAGGTTTCGACGGGAAAAAGTGACTCGCTCAAAGTCACTCAGGCTGAAATCGGCAGAGTCGGGACTTGAACCCAGTCTGTGCCTCGCTACGACAGGGGTTCCGCTACCACGCGTTGGTCGAGTGCGGGTGCGGAACTGGGATGTCCGAGCCTCCTCTACCAGCCCATCCGCAAATGTTCCCTGCGAGGTCTGGAGAAACCCGGTGCCCCGCGGGCTGGGCTGGATTCGTGGCGGGTACCTAGGGTCGAGCTGTCAAGTTCAATCTCAAGCTTCCAACATTTATTTTCCTGAGCGCCCACTATGTGTCGATCCGCAAAAAACGAGCAAGAGCAGGAACCAGCCAACAAGTGGTTCAAGTTCATCGCGCTCTCCCCGGGGTAACTGAACACTGCTTTAGGGTGTCACGCAGACCCTGGCGGTGCGACTTTCGGCGAGTGACTTCACCTCTCCGAAATCCGGCTTGTCCCTCTGTAAATGGGGCATCAGTACCCCCGGGCAGGGGCTGTAGTGAACATCGAACGAAAATCCTTTTGTAAAGCGTGAAGGCACACAGTAGGTGCTCAATCCCTGCTCGTGCCCTCTCCGCCGCCCTATGCGTGCCAGGGCCGCGCGCTCCCGCTCCTGCTTCCCGCTTCCCGCACCTTCTCCCGTCTCGCGCGTCCCGCGGCGAAGGGACTGGGGCAGAGACGACCAAACAGAAAATTATTTCCGCCCGCTCGCCCCGCCCCGCCCGTCCCCGGAGCCAGAAGGGGATTGTGGGGCCGCCGCGGCCGCCGCCGGAGCCGAGCGGGGCGGAAGCGCGCGTCGCGCTGCTGCTCGGGCCCGACCGCGCCGGCCCGCACCTCCCGGCCCGGAGCTGCGGGCTGCGGTCAGGGCGATCCCGGGGCCCTAGGCGGCTGCCGCCGGGCAAGTTTCCGCGAAGCCTGGCTCGCCGGTTCCGGGAACCAAGCGGGGGAGGCTGGAGGGTGTTGAGGTTTCGTTTCTGCCAGCCGACCGGGCGCTTGGTTTCGCAGGTGCCAGGGGTCGGGGGTGCGACCTCTCCCTCTGGGCCATTAGACAGACCCAGGCTCGGGGAAGAGGCTGCGCCGACGCCCGAGGGTTTGCGTTTCCTTCGCGTCTCGTTTGCACACCATTTTCTCCCCCAAAAGCAAAGCTTCTGACCTTCTGGGGGTTCGAAGAGGTTAAGTCATTTTCCCCCAGGTAATCTAGTCAGCGAAAGGCTTCAGCTGGGAGGGCCTCCCGCCTGGGCGGGGACCCGCTGGAGTCAGGCAAACCTAAGTTCGAGTCCCAGCCCTGCCACTTTCTTGCTTTGACCATGGATTAGTAGTGACTTATCTGGGACCCTCCGTTTCCCCATCGCAGACTGTAGTACTAACCTTAGGGCTGATGTGAGCAGTGACGATGTCAAGTGCCTGGCACAAAGAAGGGTGATTTCCCCATTAAAGGGTATGACTCGGAGGTGATCTATCTAGTAGGCCTGGGTGGCTTAGGAGGGTGGGTGTACAGTTTGTTTCCTAAGTCAGACACCCTGTGCAAGATGGAGGGAGGCTCTGTTTCAGGAGGAACTGGTGGGAGTGAGGGGATTTCCCTGACATTAGGAAGTCAGCAGTCATGATTATTGTGAATAGTGACTCTGCATATGTGGGAGTTTGGGCTTCTCAGGTCTTTCTACAGGAGGAACACAGTACTCAATATCAAATCTTGCCCTCTGCGGTTAGCTAGCTGCCTCAGTTTGCCAATCTCTAATATGGTGATAGTTGGATCCCCCTGCCTCCAGTCTACAGGATTTTGGTAACTCCACCTGGCCAAGGTCCCAGCAAATGCTGTAAGAGCTGTGAGTGAGCCCAGGTAGTTCCCTGACCATGTTAGGGCATCAGGGACCTCCTTTGGGGAGACAGAATGGGTAGGAAGGGAAGAAGTTCATGGGATGAGATAGCATCTGCCCAAACTTTTTCCAGAGCTACGTGGACTCTAGCCCCAGCCCTGCCCCTAACCAGCAGTGTGACCTTGGGCAAAGCAGTTACCGTCTCTGGTATTTGGTCAGGTGACCAGATCTTGAAAGTCCCCTTGGTGGTAACATTCTGTAAGTTGATGACTCCGCTCCTGGGGAAATTTCCAGGGTAAGCAATGACAGTTGACTAGCACATTTGCCCTGCTGTGTTCCACTTTACCAGTTCCTCTTACAGCCTAATCTTTTTTTTTTTTTTTTTTTTTTTTTTTTGAGACAGAGTCTTGCTGTGTCACCCAGGCTGGAGTGCAGTGATGTGATCTCGGCCCACTGCAACCTCCGCCTTCTGGGTTCACGCCATTCTCCTGCCTCAGCCTCCCGAGTAGCTGCGACCACAGGCGCGTGCCACCACGCACGGCTAATTTTTTTTATTTTTAGTAGAGGCGGGGTTTCACCGGTTAGCCAGGATGGTCTTGATCTCCTGACCTCGTGATCCCCCTGCTTGAGGCTCCCAAAGTGCTGGGATTACAGGTGTGAGCCACTGCGCCTGGCCTTACAGCCTAATCTTCATCCCTCCTCTTATACTTACCATCAGGACAGAAGTTGAAAAAGTTTAATTATTCGGTCTTTCAGCAGACACTCACTGAATCATCATGGGCTGGCCATAGGAGATACACAGATAGCACCTGGGGATGACAGACATAGGAAAGTATTAACAGATACATGGAGATACATGGTAGGTACACAGATAGCTAGTAGGGGTGACAGACATAGGGAATTATTAACTTCAGGATGAAAAGGGCTATGACAGTGCTATGAATGATGCTGATACTGCAGGGAGGAAGTAACTGAGTTTATGGGATCAGGGAGGGCCTGAACTAGGACCAAGTGGGTGAGGGAGAGTTTGCAGGCAGTTAAGGGGCAGAAGAGCATTCCAGGCAGGGGGAACAGCATGTTCAAAGGCGCAGAGGCGGCCGGGCATGGTGGCTCACGCCTGTAATCCCAGCACTTTGGGAGGCTGAGGCGGGTGGATCACGAGGTCAGGAGTTCAAGACCAGCCTGGCCAAGATGGTGAAACCCCCGTCTCTACTAAAAATACAAAAATTAGCTGGGCATGGTGGCAGGTGCCTGTAATCCCAGCTACTTGGGAGGCTGAGGCAGAGAATTGCTTGAAACCGGGAGGTAAAGATTATAGTGACCCAAGATCGCGCCACTGCACTCCCTGGATGACAAGAGTGAAACTCCGTCTCAAGAAAAAAAAATACAAAAATTAGCAGGGCGTGGTGGCGCATGCCTGTAATTCCAGCTACTCGAGAATCTCCTGAGGCAGGAGAATTGCTTGAACCCAGGAGGCGGAGGTTGCAGTGAGCTGAGATCACACCACTGCACTCTAGCCTGGGTGACAGAGCGAGACTCCATCTCAAAAAAAAAAAAAGGTGGGATGTTAAGAAGGATGTTCAGATGAACCCCATCCACCAAATCCATCCCCTAGGCTGTACCTCTGGGAGTCCTCCCCTGTCTTGCCTGGTGCAGCCTAGGGTATTTGGTGGACGGGGCTATCTGTACACTGAACAGTAGAACCCAGGAGCGGGGCAGGGTGATGGAGCTGGTAACAAACTGCTTTGGATGTGCTGACGTTGGGTGCCTATGGCAGTAGGCAGTTGACTATTTGTGTCTGGATTAGCAGAGAGGGTGAGAGGGAGAGCCGGATGTCCTGAGCAGCAGGAGAGTTTATGTTATAGAAGTCAAGGACATTTAAGGAGGAAGCAGTGCTAGGGTCACATGCCATTGAGAGGTCGAGGGAAGGAAGGGTTCTACAAGGAGGAGGTCCCTGGTGACCTCAGCCTGGAAGGTTCCAGGCACTGGTGGTGGTGGACGCTGACTGCAGTGGGCCAAACATGAATTGGGAGGGGAGAAGGGAGGAAATCATGGATTGGGAGGAAAGGGAGGAAATAGTGGAGAATAGCACTGGGGGATGGGAGGATCAGGAGGCAAGGAACTTGGAGGCAAGGATGGACACCTGTGATGATGATGATGATGATAATAGCAACGATAACAGCAACAGCTCCTATTCGATGAGAGTTTATTATGTGCCAAGCAATGTGCTAAGCATGTAACATACTCCCTGCAACAAGATTGAGATAGGTTCTATTCTTGTTCCCATTTTCCAGAGCTACTCTAGTCCCAGCCCTGCCCCAGCCAGCAGTGTGACCTTGGGCAAAGCGGTTACCCTCTCTGGTATTTGGTCAGGTGACCAGATCTTGAAAGTCCCCTTGGTGTTAACATTCTGTAGGTTGATGACTGTGCTCCTGTGGAAATTTCTAGGGCGAGGAAAGAGCAGTAGGTGCAAAAGTAGGATTTGCACCTCACTTTTTTTTTTTTTTTTTGAGACAGTGTTTCACTCTTGTTGCCCAGGCTGGAGCGCAATGGTGTGATCTCAGCTCACTGCAACCTCCACTTCCCGGTTCAAGCGATTCTCCTGCCTCAACCTCCTGAGTAGCTGGGATTACAGGCATGCGCCACCACGCCTGGCTAATTTTGAATTTTTAGTAGAGACGGGGTTTCTCCATGTTGGTCAGACTGGTCTCAAACTCCCGACCTCAGGTGATCCGCCCGCCTCGGCCTCCCAAAGTGCTGGGATTACAGGCTTGAGCCACCGCGCCCGCCCTGGCTAATTTTTTTGTATTTTTTTTTTTTTTTTTAGTAGAGATGGGGTTTCACTATGTTGGCCATGCTGGTCTTGAACTCCTAACCTCGTGATCTGCCCACCTTGGCCTCCCAAAGTGCTGGGATTACAGGCATAAACCATCGCGCCTGGCCTGGGCTGATCTTGACTCAGGTCAGGCAATCTTCCTGCCTCAGCCTCCCAAAGTGCTAGGATTACAGGTGTAAGCTGCCATGCCCCGCTAGCACCCCCCCTTTTAACTAGGTGTCCATGGGGTTGGTCTAAATTATCAATCAGGGAGGTGTTCTGGGGCTAATTCAGAACTCATGTTTCCCTGCTCCCCAAGACTCTCCCTGTCTGTGTGACACTACTGTTAATCCACTGTCATCTATGTAATCAGTTACCATTTGTTGACCCCCCGACTATGTGCCGGATAATGGGCCAGGCACTGATACTGCAGGAAGGATAAAAGCAGTTCTGGTCCTGCAGGTGCTTGGGGTTGAAGGGAAGGCCGCTGGACAGGCAGTACAATATGCCTTATATTTGGGGATGGACCACCTGCAGAGGGAGTCTACCATGTTTAGAGGGTACAAGTGTTTGGTGGGGGAGGAAGGGAAGATGAGAGAAGACAGGAGGAAGGGGATCAGGACACCTCACACATGGCCCAGGCTTGATCCCAGGAGGATGAAGTCCCATGGAAGATGCTGAGCAGCTGCACATGTGGTGACTTTTGCTGTGGCCACAGCAGAGTGGGCAGTTAGAGGGGTTAGAATGAAAGATGGAGCCGCTTTTGAAATTACTGCAAGTGCTAGAAGGGAAGCTCTGTAGGGCACTGATTTTTATGTGTTGTGTTTGAGCATCGGGATCAGTGTCTGGCACAGAGTAGGTGCTCAGCTAATACTTATTGAATGAATGAATGCTTGAACCTCTCTGGGAATGTCTGTAGGGGTGGAGAAGGGGGAGTTTTAGAGGGTGAAATCAAGAGAAGGGGATAATTGACAATTGCTGGTCATGGAGTAAGAGGGTAACTCCCAGGTTTCTGCCTGAAGCTGGAATCCTGAGGAAGGGAGGAAGAGCAGGGCTGGCAAAGGGCTGATGAGTTCAGTTTGGGGCTTTCTGAGCCTGAGGTCCAGTGGACTGTGACAGAAGGGGGTTGAGTATACATATCATATTAAAAATTGTAAACAGCTTCTGAAGCATATGTCATATATCCTGTGTCTACCTCTTCTGCCACATCCTTGATACTCTGAAAAAAATATTCAGAGGTATCTTTGAGCATTGTCAGCAATAGATGGTAACTGAAGCCCTGGAGCAGGTGAGATCATGACGGGAGACTGTGCAGGTGCAGAGTGGAAAGCAGAAGACCAGGTCCAGGGGCCCAGGGAATGCCGGCACTGAAGAGGTGTCAGAGGGAGAGGAGCTGGGCTGGGAGCATGAGAAGGAGTATCCAGACATGGAGGGAGAGCCTGAAACTCTCCCTCCATCGCTGGATACAAGCAAGTGGGGTCCTAGGAACCTGAGAGAAGACAGAAAGGAGAGAAGGAGTGTCTCTGCAGGGCAGGTGTCTCAGAGATGGGTGACTGATCCAGCATGCTGAAGGGGAATATAGCCCATCCTTCCTAGGGGCTGGGCTGTAAGGACAGCAGGGGAGATGGATGCAAGGTCAGAGGAAGGGTGGCATGAGTTTTTTTTAGGGGGAACAGTCTAGGCGTGATAGCTTGCATGGACAAGAGGAGGCGCTCTGCCGTGCCAGAGAGAAGGGAGGAAGCAAAGCATGTGGACAGATGGGAGTGTGTGTATGTGTGAGATGAGCGTGTGTGTGTGTGTGTGTGTGTGTGTGTGTGTGTGTGTAGGATTTTTCTGCTTGATAGACTGTTATTTTATCTTTAAAAACAATTTTTTAGGCGGGGTGCGGTGGCTCACACATGTAATCCCAGCACTTTGGGAGGCCAAGGCAGGTGGATCACGAGGTCAGGAGTTCGAGACCAGCCTGGCCAAGATGGTGAAACCCCGTCTCTACTAAAAATACAAAAATTAGTCGGGTGTGGTGGCACATGTCTGTAGTCCCAGCTACTTGGGAGGCTGAGGCAGGAGAATCGCTTGAACCCGGGAGGTGGAGCTTGCAGTGAGCTGAGATGGTGCCATTGCATTCCAGCCTGGGTGACAAGAGCAAGACTCTGTCTCAAAAAAAAAAAAAAAAAAAAAAAAAAAAAACATGCTTAGCCAGGACACGTTTCAGGTCCCTGGTGTAGGGGAAGTGCTCTGTAGCCTCAAAGCACAAATGTGGGGCGCATTACACAGGCTGCCCAGTGGGAACTGTGTGCCCTGGTGGAGGAGGGGAATCAAAGAACAGAAAGGGAGTGGGAAGGAAGAACTGTGGTCACAGAGGGGCCACACAGCCCCAACTTTCTTAGTGGCCCCACCTGCCTCTGCTGTCAGGCTGGTTCCTTGGTGGCCCTGTAGATTCTGGGCCTGTGAGTGAACCAGCCCCTCTTCCACCTGGAATGCCTCCCAGCTGTCCCTTATCTCACTTCTTCCAAGGGAGCCTCTCAGACCTCCCAGCCCTGCTCTAGTCTCACTTCTTCCAAGGGGGCCTCTCAGACCCACCCTCTTTTTTTTAGACGGAGTTTTGCTCTGTCGCCCAGGCTGGAGTGCGGTGACGAGATCTCAGCTCACTGCAACCTCTGCCTCCCAGGTTTAAGCGATTCTCCTGCCTCAGCCTCCTAAGTAGCTGGGACTACAGGCGCCTGCCACCATACCTGGCTAATTTTTGTATTTGTAGTCGAGACGGGGTTTCACCATATTGGCCAGGCTGGTCTTCTGACCTTGTGATCTGCCTGCCTCAGCCTCCCAAAGCGCTAAGATTACAGGCATGAGCCATCCACCACGCCCGGCCCTAAAAAAATTTTTTAAGGCCCGGCATGGTGCTTCATGCCTGTAATCTCAGCTCTTTTGGAGGCCGAGGCAGGTGGATCACTTGAGGCCAAGAGTTCGCGACCAGCCTGGCCAACATGGTGAAACCTTGTCTGTACTAAAAATACAAAAATTAGCTGGGTATGGTGGTGCACCTCTGTAATCCCAGCTACTCGGGAGGCAGAGGCACGAGAATTGCTTGAACTTGGGAGGCGGAAGTTGTAGTGAGCTGAGATCGCGCCACTGCACTCCAGCCTAGGCAACAGAACAAGACTCAATCTAAAAAAAAAAATTTTTGTTTTTTCTTTTTTTTAGGCCAGGTACTTTGAGAGCACAGGGCAGGAGGAATTACTTGAGCCCAGGAGTTTGAGATCAGCCTGGGCAACATAATGAGACCCTGTCTCTACAAAAAATTTAAAAATTAGCTGGGCATGGTGGTGGGTACTTGTAGTCCCAGCTACTTGGGAGGCTGAGGTGGAAGGATCTCTTGAACCTGGGAGGTCAAGTCTGCAGTGAGTCATGATCCTAGTGCTGCACTCCAGCCTGGGTGACCGGGTGAGACCCTGTCTCAAAAAAATATTTAGTTCTCTATTTTAAAAATCAACTTTATTAGGCTGGGCTCGGTGGCTCATGCCTGTAATCCCAGCACTTTGGGAGGCTGAGGTGGGTGGATCACCTGAGGTCAGGAGTTCAGGACCAGCCTGACCAATATGATGAAACCCCACGTCTACTAAAAATACAAAAATTAGCTGGGTGTGGTGGCGTGCACCTGTAATCCCAGCTACTCGGGAGGCTGAGGCAGGAGAATCATTCGAACCCGGGAGGCAGAGGTTTCAATGAGCTGAGATCATGCCATTGCACTCCAGCCTGGGCAATAAGAGTGAAACTCTGTCTCAAAAAAGAATTAAAATTAAATAAAATAAACTTTATTATGGTATAATTTACATATAATAAAATGCACACGTTTTCAATGTACAGGTGATGTCGTTTGACCAGTGTAGACAGCTGTGTAACCACCACCCCTTAGAGATATAGAACATTTCCATCTCTTTGGAAAGTTTCTTCCTATCCCATTGCAATCAGTCCCTTGGCCCCAGACAGCACTGATCTGATTTCTATCACTGTAGGTCACAGTAGGTGGGTGTCACTGCTTCTAGAACCTCCTAAGAGTGTATTATGTGTACTCTTTTGTGCTCAGCTTCCCCCGCTCAGCACCGTGTTTCTCTTTGAGACAGAAAGCAAAGCCCTTGCTGAGATGGGGGCTCTGGTGGAGGGCAGGAGAAGGAGCCACATCACCGGGCTGTGGGATAGAGGGGCCAAAGGGCATTGGAATCAGCAAGTGAACAGTGTCCTCTGATTGTGGCTTGCAACAAAAGCAGAGGAAGCAGTGGTGTGAATTTAGAATCAGGTATGGGGCCGTGCTCAGAGAACTGAGAACTCCAGGGTGCAGCAGGCTTTGGTAAACCTGGACTTAGAGGGGGACAGAGGCCTTCAGGACGCTGGCAGGAGTTGGGATTCAAAATCTTGGAGTTGCGCCTGACTCCTCCCACTCTCCAGCAGCTTCCTGGCCATCTCTGCTGCGCAAATGTCTCTGGATCCTTTCCCCCTGCTCCCTGACGCTGGTCCAGGCCCTCAGTGCCTTGAGCCTGACCCTGTGCTTTTGCAGCCAAGCCTTGGCTGGGATCCATCTCTCCTCCCTCATGTGGAGACTCTATCCTGATCTGCACTCTCTCCCTCTCCTGGCTCTTCCCGGCAGCCTCCACATGGGCTCAGGCCACCACCCTCTGTGTCTCCCAGATCCCTCTGCTCTGCTTCGTAAGTCAGGAGACCAAGCGCGGCCTCCACATGCGCAGCACACTTAGCTGTGTGGTTCCTCCTCACCCTGCTGGAATTGCTCTGCCGCAGGTCACCAGGAACCACCTGTCCTGGGCATTTGCCGGAAGTTGTGGCTGTCCAGTGTCCCCTTTCCTAGGTCAGGGGAGTGCTCCATTGGGTGATCTGCCCTGGAACCCTGGATCTACCCTTGCTTCCCCCTTCCCACCCCACACCCACCGCTTCATCCACAGCCTCTTCCTTCTCAACTGATGGCAATTTCATCTTTCTTGTTGTTCAGGCTGAAAACCTTAGAATCATTCCTGACTCCTCTCCCACATCCATTCTGTCAGCAAATCCTGTTGGCTCTACCTTCAAAATATGTGCAGAATATGATGACTTGCCACCATCTCCCCCATCATTTTCTCCCCTGGATTACTGTGGTCACCTCCTAACTGGTCTCCCTGCCTCCATCCTTGGCCCTGCCATTTATTCCCTGCACAGTGGCCAGAGTGATCCTATTAAGCTGTAAGATAATCAGGTCACCTCTGGGCTCAGAGTCCCCCAGATGTTCTCATGGCATTCAAAGGGAAGCCTGAGGTCCGGGCACGGTGGCTCATGCCTGTAATCCCAGCACTTTGGGAGGCCAAGGCGGGCAGATCACTTGAGGTCAGGAGTTTGAGACCAGCCTGGGCAACACAATGAAACCCTGTCTCTACTAAAAATACAAAAATTAGCCGGGCATGGTAGCACACACCTGTAATCCCAGCTACTTGGGAGGCTGAGGTAAGAGGATCCCTTGAACCTTGGAGGCGGAGGTTGCAGTGACCCAAGATCACACCACTGCACTCTAACCTGGGTGACAGAGCGAGACTCCGTCAAAAAAACAAACAAAAAAACCAAAGAGAAGCCCAAGTCCTTCCAGGGGCCTACAAGGTCCTACGCAACCTACTGTCCCAATCCCTCCAGCTTCTTCTCCATTCCACCCCAACCCCCATCCTCTGGTCACCAGCTTCCTTGCTGTTTCCTGGCATGCTCCTCCCTTCCCGATTAGGCTTTTCTGGACCATCCTATTTATTTATTAATTTTTAGTGAATTAATTTTTTTGAGACAGGGTCTTACTCTGTCACCCACACTTGAGTGCAGTGGCACAATCTCGGCTCACTGCAGCCTTGACCTCCCTGGGCTCAGGTGATCCTCCCAGCTCAGCCCTTTGAGTAGTTGGGACTACAGGCATGTGCCACTATGCCAGGCTAATTTTTGCATTTTTTGTGGAGACAGGGTTTCGCCATATTGCCCAGTTGGTCTTGAACTCCTGGGCTCAAACGATCCACCCACCTCAGCCTCCCAAAGTGCTGGGATTACAGGTGTGAGCCACCAAGTCCTGCAGGACCACCCTATTTAAAACTGCACCCTGGGCCAGGCACGGTGGCTCATCCCTGTAATCCCAGCACTTTGGGAGGCCGAGGTGGGTGGATCACCTGAAGTCAGGAGTTTGAGACCAGCCTGGCCAATATGGTGAAACCCCATCTCTACTAAAAATACGAGGAGATTAGCTGGCGCCTGTAATCCCAACTACTTGGGAGGCTGGGGCAGGAGAATCTCTTGAACTTGGGAGGCAGAGGTTTCAGTGAGTCAAGATCATGTCATTGCACTCCAGCCTGGGCAGCAAGAGTGAAACTCTGTCTCAAAACAAACAAACAAACAAAAAAACTGCACCCTGTTCTCCTGCTGCCCCCATACTCCCCGTCTTCCTTATACTTTCCTTTTGTCCTTCAGCTTTTACATTATTTCCACATTTATGTCTGTGGGTTGTTGTCATTCTTTCCCCTCGGGTGTGAGTGCCATGAAGACAGGGATGTTTGTGGATTTTGCTGCTGTATTCCAGGGCCTAGAACGGTGCCTGGCGCATTCTAGGTTCTCAGTAAATATTTACAGAAAGAACTGAAGGAAGGAATTCTGAGCCTCTGTCTTCAAGCCCTAGGCAGCCAAGATGTGGACATATGGCCCAAGCTGTGCCAGTCTGATGCCCTCCTGGTCTATTCTGAGGAGCAAGTAGCCAGAGGCTAGCAGGGGTCACTCAGTGGCTACACTGGTAGCACCCAGCGGGTGCTGTTTCCTGTGCTTTTTCCGGGCTGAGAGACAATTGTATTATACTTTCTGCTTCTTGGCCCACAGGGCTCTGACACCAAGTGAGTCCTCTCGTTTCTCTGTTTTTGCTGAGAAGCTGGAGTCTCCTAAGGCTTCAGAATCACTAAGGTCAGTAGCTCCTCAAACACTGTCCTGCTTACCCTGTCCATGGCATTTGGTCCCCATGACCATCCCCCTCCTCTGAAAACTCCCTTTCCCTTGCCCTCAAGTCTCACTCTCTTCCTTCCCAGCCACCTTTGCGAGGGCCCTTTTGCCCTGCCCCTCCCACAGGGGCCCACTTCTGGATCCGCTTGGCTTCCCCTGGAAGAGCTTATCCATGTCTGTGGCTTTAACCTTGACCTGTGTGCCTGTGACCTGGTCCTCACCTCTCCAGTCCCAGGCCTCCTTTTCCAGGTCTCCTCTGGCCACTCCCTCCGCATCTAAACTAAGCTCCGCATCTCCCCACCCCAGACCCACCCTTCCTCTTCCAGGTCCTGCCTCAGCTACTAGCCTCCACTTTCTCTGGAGACAAAGACATGGGGGCCTTCTCAACTCTGTCTTCTTCACTCCTTCTCTGAATCAGCCACTCAGTCCCACAGAATCAACCTGGTCAATGCGTCCTAACCCAGAAGCATTCCCATTTCCCCTGAGCACAGCCCTGTTCAGCCTGAAGCATCTTGGTTGTAGTCCTCCACACTGCCTCCCAGGGGATCTATCCCCCATCTTCCTGGTCACTGCCTCCTTCACACACCTCTTGGAAACCAATCTCTGGGCCAAACTCCTGCTAGGCATTGAATGTGCAGGTCTCAGCACCCCCCACACCCTGTCCGAGGGGGAGCCCACACCTTCAAGCCCCAGAGACAGACTTGAGCCCAGTGAGCAGACACTTCAACCACCCCACCAACTTCAGTCTCCAGCCCACTTCAGTCAAAAGAGACAGAGGCACAGCTCTCAGTTCACACTTACCCTGGAACACTCACAGAAGGCAGGCCTCATCAGAATGAATGGAAGAGTGTCCTTGCTTTGAATAAAATGCCAATGAGGGATAACTTAAGCTAATTATCGAGTCATGCCGGAAGCCAAATTATAGACATTGTCATGTTATAAACACCATTTCCCTAGAGAGCGGCTTGGAGACATCTGGGAAGCCTGGAGCCTGAGCTCATTACCTTCCCCCCAAGTTGCTCTGTCTCCTCATGTCCCACCCGAGATGTGAGGGAAGTCTCTGCTTCTGCCAGGGCTTCTGGTTCCCTCCCCAACACAGCCAGTTGTTTGCAGATGCTGCTGATTCTCCTTTGAAAACCCGTCCGTTCCTGTGGCCACTGCCTTCCTTTAGGTCTTAACCATCTCTTGCTGCTTTCTGGGGCGAGTGACTGAATGAGGCAGAGCCTCTGTTTTCCTCATCTGTAAAATATGACTTTTCTTCTGTTCATTAATTTTTTTTAGAGACAGTCTCACTCTGTCGCCCAGGCTGGAGTGCAGTGGCACGATCTCAGCTCACTGCAAGCCTCTGCCTCCCAGGTTTAAGAGATTCTCCTGCCTCAGCCTCCCGAGTAGCTGGGACTACAGGTGCATGCCACCACACCCAGCTAATTTTTGGATTTTTGGTAGAGATGGGGTTTCACCATGTTGGCCAGGGTGGTCTCAAACTCCTGACCTCAAGTGATCCACTGGCCTTGGCCTCCCAAAGTGCTGGGATTACAGGCATGAGCCACCTCGCCCAGCCAAAAAATGCAATTTCTTGATAGAAGGATTGGCTGTTGCCAAGGGGAGCAACTGATCAATATTATATCACTAACAGTGAAACTCAGGCATCAGGGACACCCCAAGGGAACGCAATATGTTGGAGGAAGCTTCACCCACAAAGTGTTTTTGTCAGCATAGTCAACCTGAAGCTAATCAAGCCTGGAGATCTAATTTCCAGTTTACAGAAAATACGGGATAAACAACACCATGAGGAAGCAATCAGAGAAATCTAGAAGGTGGGACATGATGTCTGTAATTTACTTAAAATACTTTAGCAGTTCACCAAGTCAATGGCAAAGGGGGAAAAAGTTATTCTAGATTTAAATGAGACTTAAGGGACATAGCGAAATGCAGTGCGCAGACCGTATTTAGATTTTGGTTGGAGCTAGGCACAGTGGCTCATGCCTGTAATCCCAGCACTTTTGGAGGCCCAGGGAGGAGGATTGCTTGAACCCAGGAGTTCAAGACCAGCCTAGGCAACATAGCAAGAGCCTATCTCTACCAAAATAAATAAATAAATAAATAAATAAGATATACCTAATGTAAATGACGAGTTAATGGGTGCAGCACACCGACATGGCACATGTATACATATGTAACAAACCTGCACGTTGTGCACATGTACCCTAGAACTTAAAGTATAATAAAATAAATAGATAAATAAATAAATAAATTAGCTGGATATGGTGGCACGCGTCTGTGGTCCCAGCTACTCAGGAGGCTGAGGCCTGGAGGTTGAGGTTGCTGTGAGCTGTGATTGTGCCAGAAGCCTAGGCGACAAAGCAAGACCCAGTCCCAAAAAATAAATAAGTAAATAAAGATCTTGGTTGGAACAAATCAAATACAAAAAAAGCATTTTGGAGGACAAGTTGGTAAATTTGAATATGGGCTACATATTGGATGATATTAAGGAATGGGTAATTTTCTGAGGTATGATCATTTTATATATAAACATATATATACATATGTGTGTGTGTGTGTGTGTGGGTATATATATATATATATGTATTTTTTTTTTGACTGAGTCTCGCTGTGTTGCCCAGGCTGGAGTGCAGTGGAGAGATCTTGGCTCACTGTAGCCTCTGCCTCCCGGGTTCAAGCAATTCTCCTGCCTCAGCCTTCTGAGTAGCTGGGATTTCAGGCGCACCACTATGCCTGGTTAGTTTTTGTATTTTTAGTAGAGACAGGGTTTCACCATGTTGGCCAGGCTATTCTTGAACTCCTGGCCTTAGGTGACCCGCCCACCTTGGCCTTCCAAAGTGCTCGGATTAAAGTGTGGCCACTGCACGCAGCCTATGATCATGATATTGTAGTAAGAAAACTTCCTGAAGTATTTAGGGGTAAACTTCCATGAAAACTTTAAATCACTTTTAGCAAATGTTGGCTGTGAGCAGTGGCTCATGCCTGTAATCTCAGTGCTTTGGGAGGCTGAGGAGGGAGGATTGCTTGAGTCCCAGAGTTTGAGATTGCAGTGAGCTATGATCATGCCACTGTACTCTAGCCTAGGTGACAGATGGAGACCCTGTCTCTTAAAAAAAAATAAAAAAGTATTTGGTGGCCAGGTGTGGTGGCTCACACCTGTAATCCCAGCACTTTGGGAGGCCAAGGTAGGTGGATCACGAGGTCAGGAGATCCAGACCATCCTGGCTAACACAGTGAAACCTCGTCTCTACTGAAAATACAAAAAAAAATTAGCCAGGCATGGTGGCGGGTGCCTGTAGTCCCAGCTACTCAGGAAGCTGAGGCAGGAGAATGGCATGAACCCGGAAGGCACAGCTTGCAGTGAGCTGAGATTGCACCACTGCACTCCAGCCTGGGCGACAGAGCAAGGCTCCGTCTCAAAAAAAAAAAAAAAGTGTATTGGGTTGCCAACTCTGTGCCAATTACTAAGCTACTGCAAAATTCAATGTGGTCCCTGTCCCCATGAAACAGAGTGGCGGAGGAGAGGGAGGAGAGGTGGATAATCAGATACACTAATAGATGAATAGTGATTAGCAGATGGAAATCTTTTTTTTTTTTTTTTTTTTGAGATGGAGTCTTGCTCTGTTGCCCGGGTTGGAGTACAATGGCGCCCTCTCAGCTTACTGCAACCTCTGTCTCTTGGATTCAAGCGATTCTCCTGCCTCAGCCGCCCAAGTAGCTGAGACTACAGGCACGTGCCACCACACCCGGCTAATTTTTGTATTTTTAGTAGAGAGCAGGTTTCACTGTGTTGGCCAGGCTGGTCTTGAACTCCTGACTTCAGGTGATCTGCCCGTCTTGGCCTCCCAAAGTGCTGGGGTTACAGGCGTGAGCCACCACGCCTGGCCAGTGGAAATCTTTGAAGGAAATATACACAGCTCTTGAAGTGGGGATAGTGTGGAAACTGACCTGGGCATCATCTGGAAGGGCGAAGAGAGGTTTTCTTAGAGGAAGGGATGACTCAGTGGAGCTCTGAGTAGGAGCAGGCGTTGGCCAGGAGAAGCAATGTGGGGGGAAAGTTTACAGTCTGAAGGAACAGCAAGTGCTTAGGGAAAGAGAGGAAGGAGCTTATTGCTTTAGGCCTAAAGAAGACATGAGTGGCTGAAGGAAGAGGCAAGGGAACTGTCCCCTTCCCTAAGAAGACCTGTGTGTGGCATTGCTAGAGTTAAGTAACACTACCTGTGAGCCAAATTAAGAGTTTAGTCTTTTAGGCTGGGCTTGGTGGCTCACGCCTGTAATCCCAGCAGTTTGGGAGGCCAAGGTGGGCAGATTACTTGAGGTCAGGAGTTTGAGACCAGCGTGGCCAACATGGTGAAACCTCTTCTCTACTAAAAAGACAAAAATTAGCTGGGTGTGGTGGCGCACAACTGTAATCCCAGCTACTCAGGAGGCTGAGGCAGGAGAATCACTTGAACCTGGGAAATGGAGGTTGCAGTGAGCCGAGATCGTGCCACTGCACTCCAGCCTGGGCAGCAGAGTGTGACTCCATCTCAAAAAGAAAATTAAAAAAAGTCTGGTCTTTCTCCTGAAAGCAGTAGGAAACCATTAACAGATTTTTGTTTTTTTGTAGAGATGGATCTCGAACTCCTGGGCTCAAGCGATCCTTTCACCTTGGCCTCTCAAGTAGCTGGGACCACATTTGCTCACCAGCTGGCCCAAGACCAGACTGGGCAACATGGTGAGACCCCGACTCTACAAAAACTTTTTTTTTTTGAGACAGAGTTTCGCCCTTGTTGCCCAGGCTGGAGTGCAATGGCACGATCTTGGCTCCTGGCAACTCCGCCTCCCAGGTTCAAGAGATTCTCCTGCCTCAGCCTCCTGAGTAGCTGGGATTACAGGGACCTGCCACCACACCTGGCTAATTTTGTATTTTTAGTAGAGATGGGGTTTCTCCATGTTGGTCAGGCTGGTCTCGAACTCCCAACTTCAGGTGATCCGCCCGCCTCAGCCTCCCAGAGTGTTGGGATTACAGGTGTGAGCCACCGGGCCTGGCCCCCCAAAAAATTTTAAAAATTAGCTGGGTGTGGTGGCACATACCTGTAGTCCCAGCTACTTGGGAGGCTGAGGTGGGAGGATCAGTTGAGCCCAGGAAGTTGAGGCTACAGTGAGCTGTGACTGTGCCACTGCACTCCAGCCTGGGTGACAGAGTGAGACCCTGTCTCAAAAAGAAAAGAAAAAAGGTTTTGAATACGGGCGTAACAGTCAGATTTGTGGCTTTGGAAAGATGACTGTGGGGTATGATGAGTCTTGCTGAGGCATTGACTTGGAGGGCTGGAGGTGTCGGGATGAGGACTGGGTTTCTGGCTGTGGAAGTGAATAGATGGGGGAGCCACACCTCAGGATAGGTTTCCTGGGAAGAGGGGGTGGAGTGGGTGCTGATGGTTTGGGATGGCTGAGTTTGAGGGGCTTTTGAAATGTCCGAGGTGGACTGAGTGGGCAGTGTGGTGTCTGGGCCAGACCTGAGAGGAAAGGGCCAGGCTGAACCCCGGGGCTCCAATGCTGACTGCAAAGTGAGCAGGGAAGAGTGTCTGGAGAGAGAAGAGAGTTCTGGACAAAGCCTTGAGGAGCCCCGACATTTTGGGCTGAAAAGGGGAGAGTGAGCCTGCACTGAAAAGCAAGAGGAAGCAGCCCCAGAGGCAGGACAGCAAGGGAGCTTGGTGTCCAGAAAGAAGGGGACTGGAAATGTCTCGGAGGAGGAAGTGGCCAGCCAAGCGGGCTGCCCGGAGAGGTCAGGGAGGCTGACAAGTGCCTGCCAGTTTCGATGAGATGGAGGCCACCGAGACTTCAGCAAGAGCTATTCCGGTGGCGGGCGAGGGTGGAAGCAGATGGAAGCGGGTTGGGGAGCAAGTGGGAAGTGAGAAAAGGAAGGCTACGTGCGTAGACAGCTCTCGGGGGAGCTTGGCTGTGAAGGGAAGAAAGGGATAGGGCTGTAGCCTCTGGGGTCAAGGAAGATTTAGCTTTTTAATGGGAGAGACCTCCTGATGGCGAGAGTGATTGGCTGTGCAAGGGAGATGAGATGACTCTAGGAAGGTGGATGAGAAAGGCCAAGGCCAGGGCACCCTGCTACTTAACAGAGGGGTGGTACGCTGATGGCTGGAAGTTGGCAGCACATGGGGCAGGCACTTGCTTGCCTTGGTTCCTTGCTCATATTCCTCTGCAGGTGGAATTCTTCTCTCTTCTCTCCTGCCTCCTTTGTTTTTTTTTCTTTTTCTTTTTGTTGAGATGGAGTCTCTCATTCTGTCGCCCAGGCTGGACTGCAGTGGTGCAATCTCGGCTCACGGCAACTCCCACCTCCCAGGTTCAAAGTGATTCTCCTGCCTCAGCCTCCTGCATAGCTGGGACTACAGGCATGCACCACCACACATGGCTAATTTTTGTATTTTTAGTAAAGATGGTGTTTCACCATGTTGACAGGCTGGTCTCAGGTGATCTGAGGTGACCTCAGGTGATCCATCTGCCTTGGCCTCCCAAAGTGCTGGGATTACAGGCATGAGCCACCATGCCCAGCCCTGCCTCCTTTGTATACTCCTGTTCAGCCTGTAGACATAGGAGGAAGATTACGTTCTCTGAAAAGACCTCCTTCCTCTTCCTCTAGGGTCATCCTCCTCTAAGATTCCAGGACCATGATCATCCCTCTATTGCTACTTCTTAGATCAGCTTGTAATGTCCATCTCCCCCACCAGACTGCGTCTCCAGCATCTCTGAGTCCCCAGGGCCTGGCCTGGGGCTTGCTACATGGTGGGTGCTCAGTAACTGTGAGGTAAATAAATGAATGAATTAACCATGGTCATATGGAGGAAGTACTGCAGGAGGAGGCAAGTCTGGAATAGTTCCTAAGTGAATGCGGAGAGGGATGGGACAAGGAAAGAAAGGAGGAAAGGGAAAAGGCAGCCTAAGCTACTGCCAAAGGCACTTACATTGATCATGAACTTCTATGCACCAAGCATTAATACGTGAGTTTCTCATTTTTTATTTTTTATTTTTTTCCCGAGACGGAGTCTTGCTCTGTCACCCATGCTGGAGTGCAATGGCGTGATCACGGCTCACTGTAACCTCCGCCTCCTGGGTTCAAGCAATTCTCCTGCCTCAGCCTCCCGAGTAGCTGGGATTACAGGTGCCCGCCACCGAGCCCGGCTAATTTTTGTATTTTTAGTAGAGATGGGTTTCACCATGTTGGCCAGGCTGGTCTTGAACTCCTGACCTCAAATGATCTGCTCACCTTGGCTTCCCAAAGTGCTGAGATTACAGGAGTGATCCACGGCGCCCGGCCATGTTTTTTCTTACCTATGGATAATAATTATTTTTTTTTTTTGAGACAGGGTCTTGCTCTGTCACCCAGGCTAGAGTGCAGTGGTGTGACCAAAGCTCACTGCATCCTCAAACTTTTGGGATTAAGGGATCTTCCTGTCCCAGCCTCCCAAGTAGCTGGGGGCACAGGCATGCACCACCATGCCCAGCTAATTTTTACACTTTTTGCAGAGATGGGGTCTTGCTATGTTGCTGCTCAGGCTGGTCTTGAACTCTTGTTGGACTCAAGTGATCCTCTTTCCTTTGTCTCTCAAAGTGCTGGGATTACAGGCATGAGCCACCTCGCCTAGGCTAGGTTTCTTCTTTAATCCTCACAATATCTTCAGAAGGAATATTATTTGCCTGTGCATTAGCTGGCTTCCCGAATCTACTAGAATACAAACTCCTTGAGGTGGGGGTTGTCTGTCTTGCTGCTGTGTCCCCAGTGCTAGAATAGCACCTGGCACATAGAGTTGCCAGATAAAACACTGTCAAATCTGAATTATAGATAAACAATAAGTAAGTTTTTTAGTATAAATAAATATGTTCTGTATATTTTGTGCTAATTTTTTTTTTTTTTTTTTTTTTGAGACGGAGTTTTGCTCTATTTCCCAGGCTGGAGTGCAGTGGCACTATCTCAGCTCTCTGCAACTTCCGCCTCGAGGGTTTAAGTGATTCTCTTGTCTCAGCCTCCCTTACAAGAGCCTCCTCTTTTGTAAGCTGGGATTACAGGCACTCGCCACCACACCCGGCTAATTTTTGTATTTTTAGTAGAGATGGGGTTTCATCATGTAGGCCAGGCTGGACTCAAACTCCTGGCCTCAAGTGATCACCCGCCTTCGCCTTCCAAAGTGCTGAGATTACAGGTGTGAGCCAGTGCACCCAGCTCTGTGCTAAATTTGACAATACTATACATAGCAGGTCCTTAATAAATATTGTTCCATAAATATTGTTTGATTAAATCTCACGGTGGGAATGCAGCCAGTAAATTCCAGACTATGGGAAGTCTAGAAGACAATCGTAGTATCTCCAATGACTAAATTGCAAAGAGGAAAAAAAAAAAGAGAGACAGAGAGAGATAAAGGGGGAATTTATAGATAAAAAGAGAGACATATTAACCACTTGAAATCCTTCTTTGGCTCCTAATTCAAATAAACTAAAAATTGTAAAGAAAAAATATTATAAGATAATTAGAAATTTGAACACTGACTGGCTATTTGATGAAGTTAAAGTGTGATTGTTAATTCTTTTTTTTTTTTTTTTTGACATGGAGTCCCACTCTGTCACCCAGGCTGGAGTGCAGTGGTGTGACCTCAGCTCATTGCAACCTGTGCCTCCCAGGTTCAAGCAATTCTTCCGTCTCAGTCTCCTGAGTTTCTGGGACTACAGGTGCATGCCACCATGCCCGGCTGATTATTTTTTGTATTTTTAATAGAGACAGGGTTTCACCATATTGATCAGGCTAGTCTCGAACTCCTGACCTTGGGTGATCCACCCGCCTTGGCCTCCCAAAGTGCTGGGATTACAGGCATAAGCCACTGTGCCCGGCCAATTGTTAATTTTTTTTAGGTTTGATAATAATGTTGGGGTTATGTTTACTTTTAAAGGGTCCTTATAGAAATATGTATTGAAATATTTAGGAATGAAATTATGTGATGTCTTGGATTTGCCTAAAAATAACATGGGGTTTGTTCTAGGTTGGGCACAGTGGCTCGCACCTGTAATCCCAACAGTTTGGGAGGCCAAGGCAGGAGGATTGTTTGAGCCCAGGAGTTTGAGACCAGCCTGGGCAACATAGTGAAACCCTATATCTACAAAAAAATACAAAAATTAGCCGTGCGTGATGGCACACGTTTGTAGTCTCAGCTACTCAGGTGGCTAAGGTATGAAAATCACTTGAACCCCAGAGGTTGCAGTGAGCCGAGGTCGCATCACTGCACTCCAGTCTGGGCAACAGAGCAAGACCTGTCTCTAAAAAACAAACAAAGCAAAACAAAATAATATGGGGTTTGGGGTTTGTTCTATATCTTATATTTTTCTTTCTTTCTTTTTTTTTTTTTAGATGGAGTCTTGTTCTGTCACCCAGGCTGGAGTGCAGTGGCACAATCTCAGCTCATTACAATCTCTGCCTACTGGGTTCAAGTTATTCTCCCACCTCAGCCTCCCAAGTAGCTGGAATTACAGGCACGAGCCACCACATCCAGCTAATTTTTTTGTATTTTTAGTAGACATGGGGTTTCACCGTGTTGGCCAGGCTGGTCTTGAACTCCTGACCTCAAGTGATCCACCTGCTTCGGCCTCCCAAAGTGCTGGGATTGATTACAGGCATGAGCCACCGTGCCTGGCCATTGTTCTATAATATATCTTTTTTTTTTTTTTTAATTGAGACGGAGTCTCGCTCTGTTGCCCAGGCTGGAGTGCAGTGGCGCAATCGCGGCTCACTGCAAGCTCCGCCTCTCGGGTTCACGCCATTCTCCTGCCTCAGCCTCTCCGAGCAGCTGGGACTACAGGTGCCCACCACCACACCCGGCTAATTTTTTGTATTTTTAGTAGAGACGGGATTTCACCGTGGCCTCGATCTCCTGACCTCATGATCCACCCGCCTCGGCCTCCCAAAGTGCTGGGATTACAAGCGTGAGCCACCGCGCCCGGCTATAATACATCTTAATTGTGGTGGTAACATGGGCATATTCCTTTGGCAAAACCATTTGAACTGTACACTTAAAATGTGCATTTTATTACATAAATCATACCTAAATAAAATTGTGTTGTTATTGTTGTTTTTTGAGACAGGGTCTCGCTCTGTCACCTGGGCTGGAGTGCAGTGGTGATTGCAGGTCCCTGCAGCCTGAACCTCCCAGGCTGAAGGGATCCTTCCACCTCAGTCACCTGAGTAGCTGGGACTAGCTAATTTACATGTTGTTGTTTTTGTTTGTTTTGGTAGAGATGGGGTTTCGCCATGGTGCCCAGGCTAGTCTCAAACTCCTGGCTCTAACAATCTGCCAGCCTCGGCCTCCCAAAATGCTGGCATTACAGGTGTGAGCCATCATACTGGCCAATTTGATTTTTTTTTTTTTTAAGTGAGGAAGTGGGTGGGTAAGAATGAAACAAAACTGACCATGAGTTGGTGAGTGTCGAAGCTGGATATTGGGTACTCAGAGGTTAATTATGTTTATTTACTTTTGTGTAGGTTTGAAATTTTCCATCATATAATACCTTTTTAATTGCATGAGGAAAGATGCTAGTCTTGTTTTACAAATAAGGAAACTAAAGCTTCCTGAGGTTAAGTAATTGCCCCAAAGTCACAAAGCTAGTAAAATGATGGGTCTGGAATGTGAACTGACCCATCTGAGCCCAGAACTTAAGCTGTTAACCCTGGGTGCAAATTCCCAGAGGAGGTAGAGGAACATGTGGGTTTATGCTAGGGGGTGATGCAGCCCTGCTGACTTAGGGAATTCTGGGACCAAGAAAGGTTAAATGATGGTGGCTGGGTGTGGCAGGGTGGAGAAATGGCTTCCCTCTTGGATTCATTGTTGTGGGGTAGCCTTGTGGTTACCAGAGCTAACTTAGGACTCAACTACCTGGGTTTGGGTTCTGGCTCTACCACTTGCTAGCAGTGTAACTTGGGCAAGTCACTTATCTCCCTCAATGTCCTCATTTATACCATGGATTATTTATTTATTTATTTTTTGAGACAGAGTCTTGTTCTGTCACTCAGGCTGGAGTACAGTCCTGCAATCTTGGCTCACCACAACCTCCGCCTCCTGGGTTCAAGCGATTCTTGTCTCAGCCTCCCGAGAATCTGGGCAGCTGGGATTACAGGCGTGCACCACCACACCTGGCTTATTTATTTATTTATTTATTTATTTATTTACAGACAGAGTCTCGCTCTGTCACCAGACTGGGGTGATGTGGCGCAATCTCGGCTTACTGCAACCTCCACCTCCTGGGTTCAAGCGATTCTCCTACCTCAGCCTCCCTAGTAGCTGGGATTGCAGGCACCCGCCACCACGCACAGCTAATTTTTGTATTTTTAGTAGAGATGGGGTTTCACCATGTTGGCCAAATGGTCTTGATCTTTTGACCTTGTGATCTGCTCGCCTTGGCCTTCCAAAGTGCTGAGATTACAGGTGTTAGCCACTGCGCCCGGCCTAGTTTTAAATTTTTTTAGTAGAGACGGGGTTTCGCCATGATGGCCAGGCTAGTCTCGAACTCCTGACCTCAGGTGATCCGCCCACCTCAGCCTCCCAAAGTGCTGGGATTACAGGCGTGAGCCACCGTGCCCAGCCTATATCATGGATATTAATAGGAATGTAAAATGGAATAGCCCGTTTGGAAAACAGCCTTGCAGTTTTTAGTTTAGTTTTGTTTTGTTTTGAGACAGGGTCTCACTCTGCCGCCCAGGCACAGAATGGCATGAATGTGGCTCACTGCAGCCTTGACCTGCTGGACTCAAGTAATTCCTCACCCTCAGCCTTCTGAGTAGCTGAGACTACAGGCACATGCCACCACTCCCGGCTAATTTTTGTATTTTGTAGAGATGGAGTTTCACCATGTTGCCCAGGCTGGTCTCAAACTCCTGGCCTCAAGCCATCAGCCTGCCTTGGCCTCCCAAAGTGCTGGGAATACAGGTGTGAGCTACCATGCCCGACCTTGGCAGTTTTTAAAAGAATTAAACACAGCTGGGCATGGTAGCTCATGCCTGTAATCCCAGCCCTTTGTGAGGCTGAGGCAGGAGAATCCCTTGAGCCGAGGAGTTTGAGACCAGCCTGGGGAATATAGCGAGACCCTGTCTTACAAAAAAAATTTAAAAAGAAATTCGCTGGGCATGGTGGCTCAGGCTTGTGGTCCCAGCCACACTGGAGGCTGAGGCAGAGGATCTCGTGAGCCCAGGAGGTCAAGGCTGCAGTGAGCCCTGACTGTGCCACTGCACTCCAGCCTGAATGAGACTGTGAGACCCTGTCTCAAAAAAAAAAGAAAAAGAAAAAAAAGGTTAAACATAAATGTAGCATATGACCCAGCAATTCCACCCTTAAATGTCTACTTAGGAGAAATAAAAACATATATTCACAAAAGACGTGTATAGCAAATGTTCATAACAGCATTATAGATAATAGCCAAAAAGTGAAAAACACCCAAATGTGATTGGATAAACAAAATGTGGCATATCCCTACAACAGACTACTACTCAGCAATAAAAAGGAACAGGCCGGGCGCAGTGGCTCATCCCTGTAATCCCAGCACTTTGGGAGGCTGAGGCAGGCGGATCACCTGAGGTCGGGAGTTCAAGACCAGCCTGACCAACACGGAGAAACCCCGTCTCTACTAAAAATACAAAATTTGCCAGGCGTGGTGGCGGGTGCCTGTAATCCCAGGTACTCGGGAGGCTGAGGCAGGCGTATCGCTTGAGCCCAGGAGGCGGAGGTTGCAGTAAGCTGAGATTGTGCCATTGTACTCCAGCTTGGGCAACAAGAGCAAAACTCTATCTCAAAAGAAAAAAAAAAGGAACAGATTACCAATACACGCTACAACACAGGTAAACCTCAAAAACATTATGCTTTTGTGAAGCCAGATGCAAAAGACCACATATTGCATGATTCCATTTATATAAAATATCCAAAAAAGGGAACTCTATAGAGACAGAAAGATTAGTCACCCAGGGCTGGGGATGGGAAGGGAGAGCTACAAGTGGGGAGGAGGAGTCTTATAAGCAATGTTCTAAAACTGGATTATGGGGCCGGGCACGGTGGCTCACGCCCATAATTCCAGCACTTTGGGAGGCCGAGGTGGGCGGATCACCTGAGGTCAGGAGTTCGAGACCAGCCTGGCCAACAGGGTGAAACCCTGTCTCTACTAAAAATACAAAAATTAGCCGGGCGTGGTAGCATCTGCCTGTAATCCCAGCTACTTGGGAGGCTGAGGCACAAGAATTGCTTGAATCTGAGAGGCGGAGGTTGCAATGAGCTGAGATTGAGCACTCCAGCCTGGGCAACAGAGTGAGACTCTCAAAAAAAAAAAAAAATTTAGCTGGGCGTGGTGGTGGGAACCTATAGTCTCAGCTACTTGGGAGGTTGAGGCAGGACAATTGCTTGAACCCGGGGGGTGAAGCCTGCAGTGAGCTGAGATTGTGCCACTGCACTCCAGCCTGGAAGACAAAGTGAAACTGTCTCAAAAAAACCCCCAAAACTGGACTATGATGATGGTTGCATAACTGTAAATTTACTAAAAATCATTGAATTGGACACTTAAAATGGGTTATGTGTGGTATGTTCACTTTTAAAAATAGTGTCGGCCAGGCGCAGTGGCTCATGCCTGTAATCCCACCACTTTGGGAGGCCAAGGCGGGCGGATCACAAGGTCAAGAGCTCGAGACCATCCTGGCCAACATGGTGAAACCTCGTCTCTACTAAAAATACAAAAACTAGCTGGGCGTGGTGGTGCGCGCCTGTAGTCCCAACTACTCAGGAGGCTGAGACAGGAGAATGGCTTGAACCCGGGAGGCAGAGGTTGCAGTGAGCTGAGATCGCGCCACTGCACTCCAGTTTGGGCGACCGAGTGAGACCCTGTCTCAAAAAAAAAAGGTCTATTTCATAGGCTGTTATGGGGATTAAGTGACATCCAGTTCTTAGAACAGAGACTGGGCAGTAAGTACTACAGAAGTTACTATGGGGTTGGACGCCTGGGGTGCAGTTCCCCAAAAGGGGCAACCGGGCAGGTCTCCTGCTCCCAAATCCTTGAACACAGTCCTTACTGCCCCAGGTGAGACCTAGATGGGCCAAGGAAAGGGAAGGGCTGGCTTCTGGATCCAGAGGGGCCCTTTCTAGCCTTCACTCTGGAAGTGTTAGATGGGACCCGGCATCCAGCCTTGTCCCTCTTTTTCTCCTATGAGGAGGAGAGGTTCCTGAGAAGGGTGTTGCCGCCCTCATAGCAGGCTGAGGATGGGGTCGAGTGTCCTCTACCGGAGGAAATGGTAATTGCAGCAGCTGGGCCTGCCCACGTGAGTTCTGGTGACTGCTCACATCATGTTTCAACCCTCCCAACAATGTGAGGAAGCCACTGTTGTCCCCTTTTCACTGATAAGGACATTGAGACTTAGAGTGTCTAGGTGACCTGCCCAGGGTTGCACAGCGCCACCCCCGCCCCCATCCAGGCCATAAAGGGTGGTTTGATGATCTCCTTTCAGCTGGAGAGGCACTCACACTATTCTCCTACTGTTTGTAGTGATTCCATCCCTGAGTCCATATTCTGGGGTGCCTGATGAGAGCAAGGGGAAGTAGGGATAGTGGAGGCAGAGAGAAGCACTCACAATCGTAATGACCCCTCAATAAAGCCCCCAAACTCACATGGGGAAGGGGGAGCTGGGAGCTTTTGGAGGCAGAGAAAGAAGAGGCCATTGATCTGCACTGTTATGTAATATTCACTCATTTATTCATACTGATCATTTTCTTGGGCATTCTCTCCTTGTGTCTACACTGTGGTAGGCACAGGAGTGCAAGTAGGCACTGTTGTTGAGGATGAGTCCTCAGCACTGTCCTGCAGAAGAGACAGCCATGAAGATCATCCTTCCAGAACTTTCCGTGTGTGTGTGTGTGTGTGTGTGTGTGTGTGTGTGTGTGTGTGTGTAGAGGTGGGCTTTTTGAGCAATTATGAGCCCTGGAGTCTAGACCCAGCTCAGCTTCATGACTTGGCAGGACCCCAGGATCCCCCCTTGTGACAACTGCCCTGGAGAGCTCTTCTGCAGATGTTAGAGGGTGAGTGTTTTGGGCAATGGAACATCACACCTCCTCCTTCCTCAAACCCTCGCCCCACCTAGGGACTTTACCTCTGGACTTTGCAGGTGGGGGAGGCAGATCCTCCTTACCCCTGTCCTCCCAGATGTTATTTGATGACACATAGGGAAACTACACCTCTGTTGTCACTGCTAGAAGGGCCCGGAGGCAAGCTGCATCATTTGTCCCCGTTCTGAAACCCTCTCTTGTCCTGGCTCCAGAATAAGATATTTATCTGTGGGGCCGCCCCCAGCATTCTTCCACACCTTTACCCCAAGTCATCATACCAATCTCTGTATTTCCACAGATAGGAAACGGCAGTATTCCAATAACCTGATTTTTATCAAGAGAGAAATATCCCAAGGATTCATTCACTCGCTCACTTGCTCATTCATTCATTCACACATATTGATTGAGCACCTATTATATCTTGGCCACTGTTCTAGGCAGTGGGGGATGCACCAATGATCAAGACAAAGTTCTCGTCAACTCATTTCCAGACTAATGGGAGAGACAGACACTAAAGAATAAATCCATTTACAGACTTTTATGTAACAATAAGCTATGCAGAAACTAAAGAAGGTTAAGGGGATAGAACAGGGTGGGGGTGTGTGCTGCATTATCAGAATTTGTACTGGGAATTCACTTTTTCTTTATTTTCCTTGGGGCAGATGAGAGTGAGGGTCTGCGCGTGCCCTCCTCTGGCCTCTTCAACCGGTTTGGCAGATCAAACCTCAGAGGGGGGCATCCTGGGATTGGGGGTCAGGGGTTGCAGAGTCAGCCCTCGGAATTTAGTTGAGGCGGAGTATTTAGATACTGCATCAGAGAAATGGAAATAGATACCGAGACAGCCTATTTATCGGCTTCCATGGATGTAATAACACTCCCACCCTTCCAAATTTATTTTTTTTGTTCATCTTGCATACAAGTACTGAATTATTAACTACTTATACATTACAGCATTTTTGAGCCTACTGTGTGCCACGCACTGTTTTAGGGGCCATTCACGGCCCGCTAGAATCCCTGCTGTGCAAAGCTTGTAAACAACCATTGCCTCATTTCATCTTTCCCCTAAACATTATTTCTGAGATTCATCTACGTTGATTCACATAGCTCTTTTAGTCCCAAGAGGGCAGATATGAACCGTCCCATTTTACAGATGCAAAACCGTGACTGCTCGGGAAAAAACGAGTGGCTTTGCGACGACGAAATCCCAGGACGCCACCGGGCCACGTGCGGCGGCGCATCTGGCCGCTCGCGATCCCACCCGCGCACGCTCCCTCCCGCGCTCCCTCCCAGCCGCCGCCGCGCCGGGTCCACGTGTGTGTGTCTGTGTGCGGAATGGGGACGGGGGCGGTGCCGCCGGAGGGGTGGGGTCCGGGCTAACGTCACGGGCGGTGCGGCCCAATCAGCGGCGGGCTCGCGGCCCCGGCGCTGGTATTGGGGCAGCGAGGGGGCAGTTCTCTATAACGCGGTCTCCGGGAGCCAGCGGGGAAGAAAGAAACCGAGCGGGCGGAAGGCGCCCTCCCCGCCGCCTGGGCCCGGGCACCGGGTGCCGGGCCCGGGGTCCTTCCCGCCTCCCGCGGCCGCCGGCCGCTTTGTTTCCCCTGCCTCTGCGCTTCGGGCGACTCGAGAGGGTCTCCCGCCGGGGTTGCGAAGGGGACGCGGCGGCAGAAGGGCGGCCGACCCCGCCGGGACTCACAGGGACCCAGGAGTCCGGCCGCCGGGAGGGCCGCGTGAGGAGAGCGAAGAGGGAGCCCGAGCTCTGCGGCCCCGGGTGGCGGGCCGGGGGCGCCCGTGAGCAGAGACCTCCCCGTCGACGGGGGGCGATGTTCCCCTCACCCGTGGGCTCTTCGGGCAGCCAGGGCATCCCGCCGCTGGGACCTGGACCCGCTCAGTGGGCACCCCTCAGGCTGCTCCATGGAGACCCTGTGCCCTGCGCCCCGCCTGGCAGTGCCGGCGTCCCCGCGAGGGTCGCCCTGCTCCCCCACGCCCCGGAAGCCGTGTCGGGGGACCCAGGAATTCTCTCCGCTGTGCCTGCGTGCCCTCGCCTTCTGCGCCCTTGCCAAGCCCCGGGCGTCCTCTCTGGGCCCGGGGCCTGGGGAGCTGGCGGCGCGGTCCCCAGTGCTGCGGGGCCCTCAGGCCCCCCTGCGCCCTGGCGGCTGGGCCCCGGATGGCCTGAAGCACCTCTGGGCACCGACCGGGCGGCCCGGCGTTCCTAACACCGCCGCCGGCGAGGATGCGGACGTCGCAGCGTGCCCCCGCCGCGGAGAGGAGGAAGAGGGCGGAGGCGGTTTCCCGCACTTCGGCGTTCGCTCCTGTGCACCTCCGGGCCGCTGCCCTGCGCCCCCGCACCCTCGGGAATCTACGACCAGCTTCGCCTCGGCCCCGCCTCGCCCGGCCCCGGGTCTCGAGCCTCAGCGTGGCCCAGCCGCCAGCCCGCCTCAGGAACCCAGTTCCCGGCCTCCGTCGCCACCTGCGGGCCTCTCCACCGAGCCCGCGGGTCCCGGGACGGCGCCGCGGCCGTTCCTGCCCGGCCAGCCTGCCGAAGTCGATGGAAACCCCCCGCCGGCCGCCCCCGAGGCTCCAGCGGCCAGCCCCTCGACGGCCAGCCCGGCTCCGGCCGCACCCGGAGATCTCCGCCAGGAACATTTCGATCGTCTGATCCGCCGGTCGAAACTTTGGTGTTACGCGAAGGGCTTCGCCTTGGACACTCCGAGTTTGCGCCGGGGGCCAGAGCGGCCGCCTGCGAAAGGGCCGGCTCGGGGAGCCGCCAAGAAACGCCGGCTGCCGGCGCCCCCTCCGCGCACCGCGCAGCCCCGCCGCCCTGCACCGACGCTCCCCACCACGAGCACCTTCAGCCTCCTCAACTGCTTCCCCTGCCCCCCGGCCCTGGTGGTGGGGGAAGACGGAGACCTAAAGCCGGCATCCTCGCTTCGCCTCCAGGGAGACTCTAAGCCCCCGCCCGCCCACCCGCTGTGGAGGTGGCAGATGGGGGGTCCCGCTGTCCCTGAGCCCCCTGGCCTCAAATTCTGGGGGATCAACATGGATGAAAGCTGACCGTGGGACTTCTGCCAAAGGGGAAAAGTTGGGACCATGGCCAAACCGCGGGCTTGAGGAGGGAGCCCCGTTTCTCACATTTGTCCCCTTCCTTTACATTTTAGGAGCTGTGGGCAGAGGGACCTAAATAACAGTGATCTTCATTCAAGCACCTAAGTTTTCGGGGTGACAGTCCCTCCCCCTCATCCTTTGCAGAGGAACCCAGGGCTGGAGTCGGGAGAAGGCTGATGACATAGATTCCAATCCCTGCCTCCTTCCATCTCGGACCGTTGGAGGCAGGGCCTGCACCCCAGTGGGAGCAAAGGAGGCCACCGCTCAAAGACACCCCCCCACCCAAAAAAAAGGGGAGAAGAGAGAGACCTCGGTGATGGACAAACCGGTTGTTACTGTGTCTGTGGGCGAGCCTGGGGTGCGGGGCTGTGGTGGGGGTGGGGAGATGATTGGCAGCTCCCTGGGGGCATCCCCCACCCCCACTGTCCAGGCCTTTAACCCTTTGCTCCCCTCAGGCCTTCCCTAACGCTCCAAGCACCGCTGGAGCCTTTAATGGGTGAGGGAACTTGGGTAAGAGGAAGATCACCCCCTTCCTGTCCCCTTTCTAGGCCCCCTCAAGTGCAGGTGACCCTTAATTGGTGAGATCTTCAGCCTCAGCCGCCGACCTTTCCCTTTTGTCCAGTTTTGGAGTTCCCGTTTTTTCCTTGTTTGCTTTCCGAGTGTAAGGTCTGGCCGGTGAGAAAGATTTCCCCCAACCTTGATTAATCAGCCCCCTCCCCCAACTTACTTCCCTTAGGACGGGTAGGGCTGAGGGACCTCCTCTCCTGGAAAGTGCTTACTTTGCCTGGGGAAGGGGCTAGACACTGTCCCAGGGAAAGTAATAGAAGGTGGAAGAAATCAATAAAATCAGACCAAACAAGTCGCCTTTCGAGGGCCTCCACCGATTTATGGATGAGAGGGGGTGGAGGTGGAAGGCAGGCCCAAGTCCATTCTTTGGACACCCAAACTCAGCCCCCTTAAAGAGTGGAAACAAAACAAGCTGCACTTTGCAGAGGTGGTAAATGAAAGGACTCTTGGCCTAACTTCAAGAGTCCCCTGGGGTTTGAAGGGGCAAAGTTTGAGTCTGGATGGAACCTGGGCTGAGGTACCTTAAGCTTCCCCCCGCAACACCCCAGCCTCAGGGATTGCGGGAGTTGTCAGAGATCTGATGGATCCGAAAGGGGCAGGGCCAGGGGATTAGGTTTGGGGTCAGAGGTTCTGTTTTCCAGGGGAGGGGTGAGATAGGCCTGGATCATGCCCTCTGCCATGCCCTCCAGCTAGGAGGATCTTGAGTCAGAGAGGATTGGAAGTGCTTTCTCCTCCACCCAGGTGAGGTCAGGGGAGCTTAGGTCTTAGGGAGATGGCAAGTTGAGGTATGAAGGGAAGCTGGGGCTTTTGGAGCTGCCGAACAACTGAGGGACCCAGTGCGCCTTCCATCCCGCACTAGTGAATAGCGCCCCCTCTTCCCCCGAAAACGAGGTGCGAGAGGAACAATTCCCACGCTGGGGAAGGACTTGTCTCCTTTTCTGTGAAAATGCTTTGTAAAAAGTTGTTATTGTTTGCATAGAGCAGATTCTTGAGAAAAACTGTTTTGGACCATAAAAGTTTTGTTTGTTTTAAAAACTGTCTCCTTTCATTTTTCTTTCCTTGGGGGTGAGGGTGGGGGTGGGGTGGGTGGGCACTTCTCTCTTTTTCCTTAACATCTGGCCTCTGTGAACCCTGCTGACCTCCCCTCCCCCTCCAGCTGTGTTGTGGGAGGAGGAGGAAGAAGGGGTGGGGGAGTGCCTTCCACCCTGTGCTTCGGGAGTCTCCATCTTATTTTGCCCCCCAAGAATGGAGAACGGGAGGAAGAAGACACAAGGGGTGGGGAGAGAATCGCTGTGAAGAGGGGGGCTGTCAGAAGTCTGGAAAGGCAGACTCCCTGATTTTCAAAGACCCCTTGGTTTTAGTAACGCGCTCCGGGTCAGCGTCTGCCCCACCCGCCTGCCTGGAGCCGGGCACGGGATGATGGTGTGAGCTCTGGGTGAAGGAGGAAGGGCTGGTGGGCATGAAATACTCTTCTTGGACTTTCCTCCTCTTCGGGGCAGGAGGAGATGCTGTTAATTTAGGTTCTTTCCTCCCTGCATCACCTGCCCCCACCCTCACTCCCCCACCCCCGCCCTGCAAGTGAAAGGGTTACAACTCAACCTGGAAGGGGGCGGGGTGGCGAGTTAAAAAACACACCTTTTGGCCAAATAAGATTTAATTCTAGTTATTTTACAGAATAGGGAACTACGTTAGTTTCCAGGGCTGCCATGACAAATCATAACAAACTTGGTGGCTTAAAAGACAGATATTTAAGCGGCCGGGTAAGGTGGCTCACGCCTGTAATCCCAGCATTTTGGGAGGCCGAGGCGGGTGGATCACAAGGTCAGGAGATCGAGACCATCCTGGCCAACATGGTGAAACCCTGTCTCTACTAAAAATACAAAAACTAGCTGGACTTGGTGGCGCATGCCTGTAATACCAGCTAGTCTGGAGGCTGAGGCAGGAGAATCGCTTGAACCCGGGAGTCGGAGGTTGCAGTGAGCCGAGATCATACCACACTGCACTCCAGCCTGGCGACAGAGTGAGACTCCATCTCAAACAACAACAACAAACCCCGATATTTCTTCTCTTCCATTTACTGGGACCAGAGGTCCAAACCTAAGGCATTGCAGGGCCGAACTCCCTCCGAAGGCTCTCGGGAAGGGCCCCCTCCGTGCCTCTTCCAGCTTCTGTGGCCCCAGGTGTTCCTTGACTTGGGGCTGCAGAGTTCCCATTCTCCCATGGTATGGCCCTCCCCTCTCCTGTCTGTCACAAGGACACTTGTCATTGGCTTTAGGGCCCACCAGACAATCCAGGATGATCTCGTCTTGACATCTTTAATTAAGTTACATTTACAAAGACCCTTTTTCCAAATGAAGTCATATTCACAGGCTCTGGGGGAGTGGGGGCTGGGGATTAGGACCTGGACACATCTTTTTGGGTTCCATCATTCAGCCCACCCCAGAAACTGAGTCCCAGAAAAGAAAGAAACTTGCCCAGACTTCTGGGGGAAGCAAACAGGTACTGAGTATTTGGGGTTGGAATAGGGAAAAGCGTGCTTCCAAGCGAGGGCCACAAGTTTCTCCGAACAGGAGCCGCCTGGGGAAAGGGGAAAGGGACCCCTGGCTTTCCCTAGGCTCTGAGCTCCCGGGAATCTGGGACTCCCTCTCCCACGCCAATACGCTGGAGCCCGAGAGGGTCTGAGGAAGTCTGCTCTCCCTCCCAGGTGTCTTCAGCCCCTGCTTCTACCCCTCCCTTCCTCCAGTCCCATGTCCTCTAGGGCTGGTGGCCACCACGTTGGTTTGTCAGGGATGTGGTGGTCATAGTCTTATTTCTGTCTGGGTCTCTAAGCTCTTACAGCATCACCTGTTTTCCTTCTGTCTCAAAGGGTCTCAGAGGGTCTCCTCTCCATGTGCCTCTGGGTCTCTACCCTCCTCTTCAGGGTCTGGCAGGACCCCCAGAGTAACCCCTCGCTCACCTTCCCCTATCCCAGCCCTGCTTACCGTCTCCTCCCTCCTCCCGGGAGCATCAGCCGCCTCCAGCTCCTCTGCCTCTCACCTCTTAGACCTCTGCAGCCTGACTTCTGTCCCTGAAACCGCTTTTGCCAAGGTCAGCCAGGAGAGCCCCCAACCTCAAATTCAACAGTTGCCTCCCTGCCACCACTCCTGGACTTCTGCATAGCCTGTGACACTGCTGGACACTCACAAGGGTCTCTGTCCCCAAAGGTCCCGCCTCTGTCTTCTTCCATCTCCTCCTTCTCTTGCCCCCCTCCCCCAGAAGCTTTAAAAAGACAAAGTCCGATGAAGTCCGGTGGCGCCTGCCCTCCACCCTATCTGCCCGCAGGATTCTGTTTTCCTCCCCTAGGTCATCAGCTTGCACCTATATGGGTAAATGACTCCCACTTGACTGTCCCTGCCTCCTCTCCCTCCAGCACCCCTCCTGAGCCTTGGTCCCGCATCTCCACAGGGACAATGGCAACTCATTTGCCCCTGTCAAAGACCAAGCTCCTGGTCCCTGCCCACAGCTCCCTGCCCACAGCAGTCCCCCTGGTCAAGTCCACATTCTGGTTACAGCTCTGCTTTTCTCCCCATTACTTCCCCTGGACTCAGCACCTTGAATTCTCAGCTGGGTCCTCCCATTTGACCCACAGCTATCTATTTCCAAGCCTCCCCCTGCTTCTCCCCTCCCAAGGATCTCACAATTCTGTCTCTAATCTCCACTCCATCATGGTGCAGTGTCCCCTACCTCTAGGCTGGACTATGACAGTAGCCACCTAACTATTAATAGTTTCTGGGTGTCTGGTTTTTCTCTGATGCCCTCAGATCAGTTTACCTTCTTACTGAGTGGGTCCCCTGATAGTATTAAATGCAGCCTCCTTGGCCTGTCATTTGGAGCCCTCTGTGATTTGGCCTTAACCCCCAGCTCCCTCAACCAACTTGGTTCCCATTACTTCGCTTTATACCAGTGAAGGTATACCTGGTCTACTAGGCTGGAATGCACTTCCTTCCCCAGCGCCCCCAGCATGCCCCTCCCTGCTTTCTTTACCTTCATTCTCCAATGCAAAATGTCATCTCTCCCATGAAGTATTTTTTGATTCCCCCAGTTAGATGTGCTTCATGCCACCTCTAGACCCTCTTCACTCTTCTGTGTCTGGTAGGAAGGGACTGTGGAGTGTGGAGGGCGAGTGCGGCTTTGGGGCCAGACACTCCCGCTCCCCTCTGTCTATGGAGAACCTGGGTCAGGGGACTCGAGGCAGAACCTTCCTGACCTAAGCTTTCATTTTATTGCCTTGGCCTTAACTGAGAGTCATTGACATGTAACAACCATTTCAAAAAAAAATCGCCCCTGCAATTGTAAAAACTTCCTGAGAAGGCTGGCAAGGTAGCTTGTGTCTGTAATCCCAGCACTTTGGGAGGCCAAGGCGGGGAGAATCACTTGAGCCCAGGAGTTTGAGCCAGCCTGGACAACATAGGGAGAACTTGATGCTACCAAAAACAAACAAACAAACAAAAACAAAAAACAAGCTGGGTGTGGTGGCGTGCACCTGTAGTCCCAACTACTCTGGAGGCTGAAGTGGGACGATTGCTCAGCCACTTCAGGGAGATCAAGGCTGCAGTGAGCTGTGATCACTCCACTGCACTCCAGCCTGGGTGACAAAACGAGACCCTGTCTCAAAAACAAAAACAAAAAACACTTCCTGAGAAGACACTGTCCAGTGTGCCAAGTCCCCCTATGCTGTGTTCACATTTTCTCTAAGATAAAAAGTTAGGGTATTGATGACAAAGTTATAATTATTTGTGATTTTTCTTGTGTCCTTCTACAGTGATCTTGTATCTCTTGCTTCATTTTTTAAGGTCCTGGATCAGTGCCTTGCACACAGCAGGCACCTAATGAATACTTGCCCAATGCATTTCACCCCACCTCCGTTCCTCCTGACCCCTCCACCCTTGTCTAAAGCATTTTTAAAAAGCCTCATTTAAATGACTGCACAGCAGCTTGGCGAGTGACCCTTGGCCAGAATGCAGTTCCAGAGCTTGTCCACTAGATGCTGCTGTCTGCTAGCACCAGAAAGAGGATGGCGAGCCAGAGAAGGGTGGCTGGGGAAGGGATTCATTCTCCCAGGCCATGGAGTGAGAGCCCTGAGGGGGATCGATGTGCAAGACGTGGTCTCTGCACACAAGGAACTTAAGCAGGTGTCAGGTGTTTTACAGGCATTATTTTGCTTTCATAGCAATAGATAAGTACTATTTGTTTAGCAGATGAGGAAATGGGACTCAGAGAGGTTAATTAACTTGCCTGAGGTCACACAGCCAGTGGAGGAGCAAAGTAGCTCTGGTCTGTCTGACTAGGTTTCCTCCTGAGTGGTTATCATAGCAAGCACTGTAATGGCATTTCCTTGGAACCAGGCCTTGTTATATTATGCTTAGTTGCTCATGTAATCCTCAGGACACAACATGAGGTAGGTACTATTATTTATTTATTTATTTATTTATTTATTTATTTATTTATTTATTTATTTTTGAGACAGAGTCTCACTCTGTTGCCCAAGCTGGAATGCCGTGGCGCAATCTTGGCTCACTGCAACCTCCACCTTCTGGGTTCAAGTGATTCTCATGCCTCAACCTCCCTAGTAGCTGGGACTACAGGCGTGGGCCACCATGCCTGGCTAATTTTTGTATTTTTTAGTAGAGACGGGGTTTCACTATGTTGGCCAGGCTGGTCTCGAACTCCTGACCTCAAATGATCTGCCCACCTTGGCCTCCCAATGTGCTGGGATTACGGGTGTGAGCCACCGCGCCCAACCGTGGTACTATTAGCTCCATTTTGCAGATGAGAAAACTGGGGTTCACAGAGGTTAAGCCCATACAGCTACGGAATTGTGTCCTTTGAGTTTGTGCTCTAAATGACCACACTGCTGCCATGTTTCACCACCCAGCAGCAACCTGTTATGGGGTGGGAGTAGCCCCCACCAATATGTAGAGGTCCCAGAGCTCTGTTCCAGAGACACAAAGACACAGAGCCTGCCCCCAAGGTCCCTAGAGTGGCATGGGGAAAGCAGGACATGCAGTCCCCTCCTTAGGGTGTGGACTCTCCACAGATGTGCTGAGCGACTCAAGCTGAGTGTTGAGTGTTTTACCCTCTCTGGGGCTCAGTGTCATCACCTAAAATCAGGGGACTCTGTAACAGAAAGTGCCTCTCAGACGCAGACTTGCCATCCATGGTGATTTTTTTTTTTTTTTTTTGAAACAGGCTCTGACTCTGTCACCCAGGCTGAGTACAGTGGTGCGATCTTGGCTCATCGCAGCCTTGATCTCCCAGGCTCAAGAGATCTTCCCATATCACCCTCTCGAGTAGCTGTGACCACAGGCACGTGCCACCATGCACAGCTAATTCTGTTTATTTTTAATTTTTTTTTTGAGACGGAGTCTTGCTCTGTTGCCCAGGCTGGAGTGCAGTGGTGCAATCTTGGCTCACTGCAACCTCTGCCTCCTGAGTTCAAGCAATTCTCCTGCCTCAGCCTCCTGAGTAGCTGGGATTACAGGTGCCTGCCACCATGCCTGGCTAATTTTTGTATTTTTAGTAGAGGCGGGGTTTAACCCTGTTGGCCAGGCTGGTCTCGAACTCCTGACCTTGTGATCCACCCGCCTCAGCCTCCCAAAGGGCTGGGATTACAGGTGTGAGCCACCGTGCCTGGCCAATTTTTTTTTTTTTTGAGATGGAATCTCGCTCTGTCACCCAGGCTGGAGTGCACAATCTTGGCTCACTGCAACCTCCACCTCCCAGGCTTAAGCGATTCTCCTGCCTCAGCCTCCTGAGAAGCTGGGACTATAGGCGTGCACCACCATGCCTGGCTAATTTTTTTTTTTTCTATTTTTTTAGTAGAGACAGGGTTTTGCCATGTTGGCCAGACTGGTCTAGAACTCCTGACCTCAAGTGATCCGCCCACCTTGGCCTCCCAAAGTGCTGGGATTACAGGCGTGAGCTCTGTTTATTTTTTGTAGAGATGGGGGTCTCATTATGCTACTCAGGCTGATCTTGAACTTCTGATCTCAAGGGATCCTCCTGACTCAGCCTCCCAAAGTGCTGAGATTACAGGCATGAGCCACTCTACCCGGCTTCCACGATGATTTATTACAAAATCATGGCACTTAAACAAACAGAGGGAAGTTACCTACTCTAAAATGCACCAGAATTTCAGCTTGATGATCATTACACATGTACATTACCTGTGTGATCGCCACCCAGACCTAGATAAGCAACACTTCCAGCCTTTGGGAGGCTGTGTGAGGCCTGCTCCCAGTTGATCTCCTGACCCGGAGATGACCACCATGCCGGCCTCTGTCACCGAAGATCCGTTCGGCTTGTTTTTGACCCTCATAAGAATGGAAGGTACGTTTTTGGGTCTGGCTTCTTTTGTTCAACATTATGCATGGGATTCATTCATGCTGTTGCATGAAGCTGTAGTTAACTCATTTTATCACCGTGTAGTATTTGATTGAATGAATATTCTGCAATGTATATGTTTTCCTGTTGATGGATGTTTGGGCTGTTTCCAGATTTTAGTTTTATGTATAAAGCTACGTGTTACAGTTTTTATTGTTGTTGTTTGTTTGTTTGAGACAGAGTCTCGCTCTGTTGCCCAGGCTGGAGTGCAGTGGAGTGATCTCAGCTCATTGCAACCTCTGCCTCCCAGGTTCAAGCAATTCTCCTGCCTCAGCCTCCCGAGTAGCTGGAATTACAGGTGTGAGCCATCACGCCTGGCTAATTTTTGTATTTTTAGTAGAGACGGGGTTCTGCCATGTTGACCAGGCTGGTCTCGAACTCCTGACCTCCAGTGATCCACCCGCTTTGGCCTCTCAAAGTGCTGGGATTACAGGCGTGAGCTTCTGTGCCCAGCCTTTGTGTCACAGTTTTAAAGGAGAAGAGAAAGGAGCTAACATTTCTCAAGCGTTAAGCGTTAACTGTCTCCAACAATGGGCTAAGGACTGGAGATGAGAAATAACTAAAACCTCATATTGCTCTCCGACAGCTCACCACCTAGCAGGGGAGAGAGGTAAGTGAGCAATCAGGACAAGACAGGCATAGAGGTGGAGACTGGTGAGGTTGAGGGAACAGTGGAGCATGTGGGAAGAGCATCAGGGCATCAGAGGGGGCTTCTCAGAGAAGGAGCTCTCTGAATTGAGTCTTCAAGGATATAGGAATCCCTGAAGTGAAGGCCGGGAGGCACTGGGGCAGAGCACACACAAAAGTGCCAAGATTTGAGTGGCTGGAGCACAGGGTACATGTGACAAGAGATGAAGTAGACCGAGGTCAGATCACAAAAGGTCTTATATGTTAGGGTAAGGAGTTGATTCTGAAGACAAGAGGGAGCCCCTGAAGGGTGACCCAATCAGACTGTGAGAGAAGAGGGCTCAGGAACAGGCAGGGTGAATACTCACATTTCATGATTCATGGGAGGCTGGTGTGGAGTCCCTGGGGGTAGAGGCAGGGGGGCAGGGGTGGAGGCTGTGAGAACCCATTCGGGGGCGGGGTCGGCGGGGAGAAGGAGAGGACAGTCTCGGTGAGGGGGTCCTTACAAGGTAGACTCACCAGCTTTGGTGACAGATTGAATGTGGGGTGAGGCAGAGGAGGAGTGTGGCTTGAGTCCCAGATTTGGCCCTGTTGCCTGCGTGGGTTTGTGGCTGAGAGAGGCCTGAGCTGGAGGTAGGGAGGCTTTAGGGCATCAGACAGGATTGGACGGGAATGGCCAAGGCATGCATGTGGGGTGAGAAAAGGGCCAAGAACAGAGCCCTGGGGCACATTTACAAAGGGGAGCCAAGTGCCGTGGCAGCTCACGCCTGTAATCCCAGCACTTTGGGAGGGCAAGGAGTACGGATCACTTGAGCCCAGGAGTTTGAGACCAGCCTGGTCAACATAGTCAGATTTTGTCTCTACTAAAAATTAAAAAAAAAAAAAAAATTAGCTGGGCATGGTGGTTCGTGCCTGTAGTCCCAGCTTTGTGGGAGGTTGAGGTGGATCACTTGAGCCCAGGAGGTCGAGGAAGCAGTGAGCCATGATCATGCCACTGCACTCCAGCCTGTGGTGGGCAAAAGAGGGAGGCTTTGTCTCAAAAAAAAAAAACAACAAAAAAAGGCGGGGGCTGGGGAGGAATGGCCAGGGAGAGAGTGGGGAGAGAGAGGGTGGAGAGGAGGGAGAGAGGGGGAGGCTCTGGGGGCTCTGGTGACCACTGCTCATTGTCCACCCAAATCTGAGCTCCCTGTGCCAACTGGGTAGGCACATTTCCCAGCCCCTTTGCGGTCAGGTATGACTATGTGATTTAATTCCCACCACTGGGCTGCGAAGGGGAAGGGGTGTGTGCCTCTCCCAGCCTGGGCTTTAAGACCCTGGGCCTGCCCGCCCCACACTCCCTTGCCCTTCCTGCTGGCTGGAACCCGGCATGGCAGTCACTCAGCTTCGGTCCTGAGTCACTGGCAGGGCCCTAGGGGGCAGCACAGCAGCACATGGAAGGAGCCTGGTCCCCGAATGGCTGTGAGAGCTCCCGGCTGACCTGGAGTGTTCACCTGCAACACAGGAAAGAAGCAAATTTTACATTCTTCAAGCCATCATCTTTTTTTGGATCTCTTTGTTCTAGGAGTTTAGCCTAACCAGTACAACTTAGACTAAGCTAAACAGTTTAGCATAGCCCAAATAATACAGAGAATTAACCTAATGAAAAAATAATTAGCCAAATTAATACAATGGAAAATTAAAACATAATAAAATAAAATATTGGCCTAACGAACACAACTTACCCTAACTCATCCAATAATCAAAGGAGGAGAGTATCAAGAAAGGAGGAAAACAGGGTGGAATGTCACACAAAGATGGGATAGAGCCGGGCATGGTGGATCATGCCTGTAATCCCAGCACTTTGGGAGGCCAAGGCGGGTGGAGCACTTGAGGTCAGGAGTTTGAGACCAGCCTGGGCAACATGGTGAAACCCCGTCTCTACTAAAAATACAAAAATTAGCTGGTGTGGTGGCGCAAGCCATAGTCCCAGCTACTTAAGAGGCCAAGGTGGGAGGATCACTTGAGCCTGGGGAGGTGGAGGTTGAAGTGAGCAGTGATTGCACCACTGCACTCCAGCCTGGGTGGCAGAGTGAGATCCTGTCTTAAAAAAAAAAACAAGATCAGATACAGGATGAGGAAGGTCCACTGGCCTTGGCAAGCAGGATGGCACCAGTGACTCTAGTGAGATCTTCCTGGGGAGTAGGGATGAAACGGGAGGGAAAGAAGCAGATCCAGCCCATGCATCTCTTTTGAGGAACTTGGATGAGGAAGGGCAGAGATGAGGAAGGCTCTAGAACGAACCCAGGATCCAGCACGATTACAGTGCGTTAGGAGAGAGGGAGGGGTTGGGGACACCGGAAAGAAGAGAGGAAGGCCTCTGTGGAGGGCAGGTGCTGGGCTCCAGAGCTCAGGTGGACAGGGATGGACAAGCGTGTTCCCAAACGGGCTCAGACTCCTGCTCCTATGCACATGCACACACACACGCACGTGCACGCACACATGAACACACATGCACACACACCTGACACAAGAGCCTGGAGACAGGCTGGGCACGGTGGCTCACACCTGTAATCCCAGCACTTTGGGAGGCCGAGGCGAGTGGATCACTTGAGGTCAGGAGTTTGAGACCAGCCTGGCCAACATGGTGAAACCCCATCTCTACTAAAAATAAAAAAAAATTAGCTGGGCACGGTGGCAGGTGCCTGTAGTCCCAGCTACTTGGGAGGCTGAGGCAGGAGAATCGCTTGAACCCAGGAGACAGAGGTTGCAGTGAGCTGAGATTGTGCCATTGCCCTCTAGCCTAGATACAGGGCGAGACTCCGTCTCAAAAAACAAAAAACAAAAATAAGAAGAAGAGGGGCTGAGTGTAGTGGCTCACACCTATAATCCCAGCATTCTGGGAGGCCAAGGAGGGAGGATTGCTTGAGGCCAGGAGTTTGAGACCAGCCTGGGCAATATAGTGAGTCCCCCTATCTACAAAAAATAAGCAATTAGCCGGGTGTGGTGACGCATACCTGTAGTCTCAGATGCTTGGGAGTCTGAGGTGAGAGGATTGCTTGAGCCTGGGAGGTCAGGGCTTCAGTGAGCTGTGATTGCCCCACCACACTCCACCCAGAGAGACAGAGCGAAACCCTGTCTCCAAAAATAAAAGTAAATAAATAAATATATTAAAAAATTAGCCAGGCACAGTGGCATGTGCCTATTGTCCCAGCTACTCAGGAGGCTGAGACAAGAGGATCACTTTAGCCCAGGAGTTTGAGGCCGTAGTGAGCTATGATCGCACCACTGCACCGCAGCCTGGGTGACAGAGTGAGAACTTATCTCAAAAAAAAAGAAAAACAAACAAACAAAAAAACACTTTGGGAGGCCGAAGCGGGTGGATCATGAGGTCAGGAGTTCAAGACCAGTCTGGCCAACGTAGTGAAACCCCATCTCTACTAAAAATACAAAAATTAGCCAGGGGTGGTGGTGGGCACCTGTAATCCCAGCTACTTGGGAGGCTGAGGGAGAATCACTTGAATCCGGGAGGCAGAGGTTACAATGAGCCAAGATCGCGCCACTGCACTCCAGCCTGGGCGGCAGAGAGACTCCATCTCAAAAAAAAAAAAAAAAGGCCGGGTGCAGTGGCTCAAGCCTGTAATTCCATCACTTTGAGAGGCCGAGGTGGGTGGATCACCTGAGGTCAGGAGTTTGAGAACAGCCTGGCCAACATGGCAAAACCCCGCCTCTATTAAAAATACAAAAAGTAGCCAGGCGTGGTGATGCACTCCTATAGTCCCAGCTACTCGGAAGGCTGAGGCAGGAGAATCGCTTAACCCAGGAGGCGGAGGTTGCAGTGAGCTGAGATCACTCCACTGCAATCCAGCCTGGGCGACAGTCTCAAAACAAACAAAAAAACCAGAAGGGAAGTAGGGAAGTGAAGTGTCCTCCACCCTTGGTCCCTCCCACAGAGAGACTTGTCCTGGGGAAATAAGCACTGCAGTTCCAAAAGACAGGAGCTTATGGAGAGAAGAGGGGAGACTGGGGATCCATTCCCAGGGTTGCGGTGATCCTTGATCCCATGGCCCTGGTAGTGTGGCAGCAGGACTGCCTTTGCTGTTTTTGTGCCCCAGAGAGTGGGGACCTGGGAGCAGGAGCTGGATAGAGAGTAGGGAACCCCTGTGGGGAATCACGCCTATGGCTTATGAGGTCCATGTGTGTCTGTGTGGCCCTGTGAACAGGGAGCTCTGTCTGTGTGTCTGCTGGAGGGGGTCCTTGGGTTTGTTCGTGAGTCAGGAAGGAGTCTCTGGATATGCATGTGTGTGCACCGGCCTCGAGTGTGCGATCTCCTGCATTCGTCTATCCCACGTGCATGCGTGTGCATCTCTTGGCTCTGCACAGCTCTGTGTCTAGGAGTGTGTAACATGTGTCCCCCCTGCCTTGAAACAGAAACTAGGTCAGCCTGGAGATGTGTGGGCAGGAGTGGAGTTAGGGTTGGATTCTTCAGCAGTACCAGGCTGGATGGGGAGCGTCATCCAGCTCCCCATTCAAATTGGCCAGGTGCAGTGGCTCACTCCTGTAATTCTAGCACTTTGGGAGGCAGAGGTGGGAGGATTGCTTGAGGCCAGGAGTTCGAGACCAGCCTGGGAAACATAGGGAGACTCTGTAAACAATTTTTTTTTTTTTTTGAGATGGAGTCTCGCTCTGTCACCCAGGCTGGAGTGCAGTGGCGGGATCTCGGCTCACTGCAAGCTCCGCCTCCCGGGTTCACGCCATTCTCCTGCCTCAGCCTCCCCAGCAGCTGGGACTACAGGCGCCCGCCACCACACCCGGCTAATTTTTTGTATTTTTAGTAGAGACAGGGTTTCATCGTGTTAGCCAGGATGGTCTCGATTTCCTGACCTTGTGATCTGCCCGCCTCGGCCTCCCAAAGTGCTGGGATTACAGGCGTAAGCCACCGCGCCTGGCCCAAAAAATTTTTAAAAATTGGCTAGGTGTGGTGGCTTGTGCTTGTAGTCCCAGCTCAGCTACTCAGGAGGCTGAACGGGGAGGATTGCTTGAGCCCAAGAGATCAAGGCTGCAGTGAGCTATGATTGTGCTGATGCACTTTGGTCTGGGTGAGACAGCAAGACCTTGTCTCAAAAAATAAATTCATAGTAATGCCCCTCCCTCCATCCCTTCCTCCTCTACATTAACCTTGGCATAAAGAGAAGCTGCAGGTAGCCTCTGAGGGGCTTCTCCCCTTGGTAGGGACAAGGACTGAGAGGCATCTGACCAGAAGCGGGAGGGAGGGCTGGGTTTAGTTAAGACGAAGGTGTGGGCACCTATTTCTAGATCTTGCCAGGGATGTGGGAAGGGGCAGCCTGCATTGTTTTCTGCATTCCTCTGGGCAAGGACACAATAGGGCCAGGGCACTCTGCCTAGGGACCTGGCTGCATCAAAAGGACCTCCAGTGCCAGGAGGGAGAACCCTTCCTCCTCTGGACCCTGAGTGCTCCATTCAGGGAGACATCGGTTTGTCTGTTCCCCCAGCGCTGAATGCTCCTTGATCTGAGGTCCGTAAGTCCCAGACCCATAACCCACCGCATCGCCTGTGTATAATGGGAGCGGGGAGTGTAAATGCCAGGATCCACATGGGCAGTGGGCCAGCCCCCGTGCCAAGCCTCTTTGGGGGAGGAAGTGCTCTCCCCACCCCAGCCTCGCGCCCACCCTGCCTCCAGCTTCCCACTTCCTCCTCCATCTGAGCCTTGCAGCAGCAGCACCTCCTCTCTGGGGCCCAGCCAAGTAGCACTCAGCCCACGGCAGGCAGGCTCACAGCAGCCACAGAGCAGCCTTGCTCCCCGGCACCTGCTCCTCTCCTCTCCCAGCCTCCTCCGGACCCTCCCTTCCTGTCTTCTGCAACCTGGAGTTTGCACGGAGAGCCCCCTGTCATGTCTGGGGCTCTGTGTTGGGTGCCTGGTTGGTCCAGTTGGTCCAAGTCCTGATGAGCTCTATGTCACCCTGAGCAAATGTGGCCATCACCTCTGTTAGTCCTTTCTGAGTTCCAAGTCAGTCCAGACCCCTGTGGCCACTGTGGGTTCCATGTCACTCTGGACCAAAACGGGCACCACTTCAGTCTAATCCCTGTGGGCTCTGTGATTTCCTGAAGCAACATGGGCGCCCTATCATTCAGTCCCACCCCACCAGGCTCCATGTCACTCCAGGCCCTGTGAGCCCTGTCTCAGTGTGGGCTGCTACAGGCTCCCTGACACCCTGGGCTGGGTTCTGTGTTGGTTTGGGCCAAGTTAGGTGTCCTATAGTTCTAATTCCATGACAGGCTGGACACTGTGGACAGACACCATCTTGATCAGCACCGTGGACCTCCCCTTAGGCCAGACGCCTTTGGGCTCAGCCTCTGATCCCACTCTGGACTCTTGTGGGTCCTGTGTTCGCCTGAGCCAAAGGGAGCTCCGTGTTGCTCTAGCTCCTTGTAGTCCCTCGCCACTTTATGGGGGCCGGGAGGCCAGCAGCACTGGCATCACCTGAGTCTTGCTAGTAATGCAGACTCTTAGGCCCCACTCCAGGCCTCCCTAATCGGAATTGCATTTACCAACAAGATCCTAGACGATCCTGGCACATGTACAAGTTTAAGAAGCGCCATCATCAAATGCATGCTGACCTGAATCAAGGCAGGAACCTTGCTGACCTAATTCCACGTGAGCTCCATGACACCTGGGCCAGTGTGGTGACAAGAGACACCCCCCCCCCGCCCCGTGCCCCATGTGAGTGGAGGTGTTCTCCCTCTAGACACCCCTACTCCTGCCACACAGGTCTATGCCTCTCCTCTGTCTCCCCTTCTTTTCTTCCACTCGGAGGCCTTGCCTCTAACCAACTTCCTTCTCCAAAACCAATGCCCATTCCCCTGCCCAGCGTGTCTGGCACCCCCTGCACAGAATCCAAGCACAAAGGGCTTTTGTCATCCCTCACTCTGAGCCTGGCTCTGGGGCTCCTCTTGACCCTCCCTCCCGGCCAGCCTCCTGCCGCCACCTCAGGCCACCCCAGCTGGAGGCTGCTGCGGTACTTTTCCATCCCTGCTGTTCTCTGCCTTACACACACATTGCACAGATAGATCCAAAGTCTATATCTATATATACCTCTCACCCCCCCACCCCCGGACGTCGTGCGTCTCGTTTGCCAGGCTGTGGTCGTGCAGTCTGTCGCTCGTTAAGGCTCTGTCTCAGATTTGCATGTTTAATATTTTATCCAGGAAGTGCTTCTGGCTGGGGCTCCGGGAGGTGGTGTGAAGCCGACAGAATGTCAGGCCCCGGAATGGTTGCTCACGGGTGGTGGCGGTGGGATGAGCGTCTGCGGGACTGGGGATGGTGACGCCAGTTCCTGGCTGCTTGTCTGGGCTTCAGCATTGGGGTGGGGTGGCAGGAGGTGGGCTTGGGGAGAACATGTTGGAGATCAGCTCCCCCAGCTGCACGGACAGCTTCCCTTCTTTGGGCCACATGGCTATCAGAAGGAGGGGCCCCGAATTTGAACTTACTTTTTAGGTTCAGCAGCTCCACTAGGTCTTAGTCACTTCCGTGTCCGGGGATTTTCCAGGAGGAAGAAGCCCTTTGACTCCATGGGGAAATGGCGGTAACTCATCCTCTTCCTGGTTCACCCTGTACCCGGGACAAACCATGTAGGAGAACAGAGTGGGAAACAGAAAATGGGCTGCCACGGTGTGACCTTGGGGAGCCATTGAGCTCTTCTTTTTCTTTTTTTTTTTTTTTGAGACAGAGTCTTGCTTTGTCGCCCCGGCTGGAGTGCAGTGGCGCCATCTCAGCTCACTGCAACCTCCACTTCCCGGGTTCAAGCAATTCTCTGCCTCAGCCTCCTGAGTAGCTGGGATTACAGGCACTCACCACCATGCCCAGCTAATTTTTGTATTTTCAGTACAGATGGGGTTTCACCATCTTGGCCAGAGTGGTCTCAAACTCCTGACATCAGGTGATCCGCCCGCCTCGGCCTCACCTCCCAAAGTGCTGGGATTACACCGTGTCTAGCCAAGGCCAAGGTCTTTTTTTTTTTTTTTTTTTTTTTTGAGACGGAGTCTCGCTCTGTCACCCAGGCTGGAGCGATCTCAGCTCACTGCAAGCTCCGCCTCCCGGGTTCACGCCATTCTCCTGCCTCAGCCTCCCAAGTAGCTGGGACTACAGGCACCTGCCACCGTGCCCAGCTAATTTTTTTTTATTTTTAGTAGAGATGGGGTTTCACCATGTTGGCCAGGCTGGTCTCGATCTCCTGACCTCTTGATCCGCCCACCTCGGCCTCCCAAAGTGCTGGGATTACAGGCATGAGCCTTTTTTTTTTTTTTCTGAGATGGAGTCTCTCTCTGTTGCCCAGACTGGAGTGCAGTGGTGTTATCTCAGCTCACTGCAGCCTCCACTTCCTGAGTTCAAGTGATTCTCCTGCCTCAGCCTCCCAAGTAGCTGGGATTACAGGCACGTACCACCACGCCTGGCTAATTTTTGTAGAGATGGGGTTTCATTATGTCGGCCAGGCTGGTCTTGAACTCCTGACCTCAGGTGATCCTCCCACCTCAGCCTCCCAAAATACTAGGATTACAGGCATGAGCCACTGCGCCCAGTGTATTGAGCTCTTTGGGTTCCTGTGGGTGACAGGAGAGGACCACAAGCATCTTTACCCTCGCTGCCCCCCAGCATGTTAGAGACCTGAGTCAGTGGCAGGCACTACAGAGCACTGAAGAAATCCCTTCTGTTCCCAGATATTTGTAAATAACTCAGCGGGCAGGAGGGGGAAAGGAGGGAGAAAGATGAGGCTCTGGCCCAAGGGCAGATGGAATTATCTGAAGATGGAGAAAGGGAGGCGGGGAGCAGACAGACACAGGCCTTTCATTCTGACCCTTGCCAGGCATGAAGTGCCTGATTGTGCTTGTGTCCAGAGGGCTCAGTGGGGCCTGGAGGTCAGAGGGAGAAGGGATTGCCTGCTCCATCCCCCAGGTCCCTCGGGAACAAGCTCTCCACACAATTCTGCTGCCGTCTGGTGGGGGTCAGACAGAAAGGGATTCTTTTTTTTTTTTTTTTTTTTGAGATGGAGTCTCGCTCTGTCACCAAGGCTGGAGTACAGTGGCGCAGTCTTGGCTCAATGCAACCTCTGCCTCCCGGGTTCAAGCAATTCTTGTGCCTCAGCCTCCCGAGTAGCTGGGATTACAGGCGTGCCACCACGCTGGCTAATTTTTGTGTGTGTGGGTATATATATATATATATAGTTTTTTTTTTTTTGTAGAGATGGGGATTTACCATGTTGTTCAGGCTGGTTTTGAACTCCTGACCTCAAATGATCCACCTGCCTGGGCCTCCCAAAGTGCTGGGATTATAGGTGTGAGCCACCACGCTCACCCAGAAAGGGCTTCTTAGCAACAGAGGGGGCATGGCCCCAGGTCCCACTCTCCCCACCCCTTGCTGAGTTTCAGGGCCTGGAGGTTTATCTGTGCAGAATTTCTGGAGTCAGCCCTGGTTGGGGCAGGAGCAGACGAAGGGGGTGTGAGTGGGAGGATGTATGTGATTATCTCTCAGCCTGCAAAGGGGACCTCCTCCTACCTCAGACAGTTCCACATTTGCTCCCAGCTGCTCCTCCCCCAGGTGCCAAGTTGGGAAGTTCTTCCCGGCGTCTAGCTTCAGCTCTTTCCACTGCCACTGCAGTGCGATTACTCTCTGTTCTGCTATTTGGGGGCCGGAGGGGAGGCAGTTAGGGATCTTCACGTCCTGGGGTTTGTGCCTGATGTGGAAGCCAGGAGTTCAGTCTCCCTCTCCTGTTCGTTCTCTGCCCACATCCATACAGCAATGAGCCCCTATGTAAAGGGATGCCCTCCTGCCGGCACCCCACCATCCACCAGTGACAAGGAGTTAGGAAGCTTAAAGGGCCTCCAAACCGCCGACACCACCAAACCCTGCACCGAAGTACAGGCATTTTATAAGAGGGTGCCCTCTGCTCCTCACAATTCCCTCCATCTAGGTCAGTGGTTTGCGAACGCCTTTCGGGACTTTTTGTACACTTGGGACTTTTTGTTCAAAGATATCATGCAGAAGCAGAGAGAAACAAAACCAAGAACAGCCAAGCTGCTGTGGGGCCACTGAGGGCTGGGGCAGGGCGACCTGCCGCCTCCACTCCTCCAGCCTCCCGGAAGCTCCTCCTCCTCCTCCTACCCCACTACATCCTACGGGGGCTTCTGAGAGGGCCCTGGGGATTCCCAGTGCTTGGCGGGGCACAGTTAGAAAAACACTGATCTGCAAAACTAAGTTCCTTAACTCCTCGAAGCTGCCAATTAAAGGGAATGGGGGCCAGAGTCGATAAGAATATAACGAGCAGTCCCACAGGGCCAATTGGATGACAGGGAAAGAGGAGGTAGAGAGATGCTGAAGAGCAGAAAGAGCAGACTGCAGACCTGACAGGCTCTGCAGGCTGGGGCCATTCCATCTGGGGGCAACGTTGATTGGTCCTCAAGAATCTCCGGGATCTGGATGGAATTATAGCGCATGCTGTGGTTGCGGGGCAGGTCTGGGCTTCAAGGAAAAGAATTACATGATAAATTTGAGAAGAGCACCTTCCATAGTGGTTAAAATACAAAAATATGGAACAACGTGCATCCTTGAAGGCAAGTCCTCAGCCCGCTGGGTCTGTATGAAAAGCTCATAGCCTTAGGGTCTTGAGCAGTGGTTCTTAACTGGGGGGATTTTGCCCTCCCTCCCCACATTTGGCAATGTCTGGGAACATTTTTGGTTGTCACAACTCAGGAGTTGCTAATGGTATCTAATGGGTAGAGCTCAGGGACGCTGCTAAGTATCTTACGATGCTCCGGAAAACCCCCTTCAACAAAGAATTACCCAGCTCCAAATATCAATAGCACTGAGGTTGAGAAAGCCTGGTCTAGACTCTAGACAATACTGGAGTCTTTACTGTATTTATTTATTTCCCCGAGTAGAGGGTATGTTCCTAAAAGTTAGAAATAATGACTTTCCTGCTTGTCTACTGCATCTGCCTGAGCACCTTATGCTCAGCAGGTGCTTTACAAGTATTTGTCAGACAAATGTGAGAATAAAGAACCCACCTTGACATGGTCAGCAGCACTCCCCTTTCTATCCAGAGCTGGGTTTGGCAGAGGCACATGCTACATCTCAAGTTTAGTTAATAGGTCTTGCAAGGGATCCTGACCCCAGGCAACCCTGGGAGAAAGCTGGGGAGGGCCCTCCCAAAAGTGCCTGAGCTATTGACTCAAAAATACCAGATGCTCATTTCTGATGCAATTTACATCTCATATGCATACTGCTTTGAATATGATTTGCAAGCTGCTCCTTTAAAGTCAAAAGACACATGGCCGGGCATGGTAGCCCATGCCTGTAAACCCAGCATTTTGGGAAGCTGGGGCAGGTGGATCACCTGAGGCCAAGTGTTTGAGTCCAGCCTGGGCAACATGGCAAAACTCCATCTCTATTAAAAATACAAAAATTAGCCAGGGGTGGTGGCAGGCGCCTGTCATCCCAGCTACTCGGGAGGCTGAAGCAGGAGAGTCGCTTAAACCCAGGAGGCGGAGGTTGCAGTGAGCCAAGATTGCACTATTGCACTCCAGCCTGGGCAACAAGAACAAGACTCCGTCTCAAAAAAAAAAAAAAAAAAAAAGGCCCAGCGTGGTGGCACGCACCTGTAGTCCCAGCTACTCTGGAGGCTGAGGCATGAGAATTGCTTGAACCCGGGATGCAGAGGTTGCAATGAACCAAGATTGTGTCACTGCACTCTAGCCTGGGCGACAGAGCAAGACTCTGTCGAAAAAAAAGAAAAAAAAAAAAAGAAGAAGAAAGACACAGTCTTCTGGCCTTGTCTTGCTTTTTTCTACTTCTATAGGGACCTCTGTCTGTCCCCACCCCTCTTTCTTGGCTCACTCTCTGGTGAACACCCATCTGTTGGGCCCACATTCACTTAGGTTCCCCAGAGCCTGGCACAAAAAACTTAGGAAATCCGTGGATGGTGAGTTGCAGAAAAACAGGCAGGCCCCTTGAATTCCAGCTGCCCTCTGTGGTCACGATCACGGTTTTTGGTGCCCCACATGGCTGAGTTTCAACCCAGCTTCTGCCATTCCACAAACAGTATGATCTTTTTTTTTTTTGAGACGTAGTCTCGCTGTCACCCAGGCTGGAGTGCAGTGGCACGATCTCGGCTCACTGCAAGCTCCGCCTTCCGGGTTCACGCCATTCTCCTGCCTCAGCCTCCTGAGTAGCTGGGACTACAGGCGCCTGCCACCACGCCCGGCTAATCTTTTGTATTTTTTTTAGTAGAGATGGGGTCTCACCGTGTTAGCCAGGATGGTCTCGATCTCCTGACCTCGTGATCCACCCACCTTGGCTTCCCAAAGCGCTGGGATTACAGGCATGAGCCACCGCACCCAGCCACAAACGGTATGATCTTGAGCTAGTGAGTTAATCTCTTTGTCCCTCAGTCCCCTCATCTGTGAAAGAGGGATAATAATATTTACTTCATGGAATTCCTGTGATGATTCAATAAGAAAATCTATTAAAATGGCAGGTTTTTGGTAATTTGGTAGGCGCTCAAGGAGTGGTAACTGATGTGCTTATTATTATTATTATTATTATTATTATTATTATTATTATTATTTTGAGACAGAGTCTCACTCTGTCTCCCAGACTGGAGTGTGGTGGCTCCAATATCTGACTAATCCTGAAACAGAAGACAGAGATGAAGAGAGCAGGAAACTGACTTTTAATTTAAAAAAAATTTTTTTTTAAAGACAGGGTCTTTCTCCCAGGCAGGAGTATAGTGGTGTGATCATGGGTCACCACACAGCCTGGAACTGCTGGGCTCAAGTGATCCTCCTGCCTCAGCCTCCCCAGTAGTTGGGACTATAGGCACATGCCACCGCCACATCCAGCTGATGTTTTAAATTATTTATTTTTGTAGTGACAGGATCTTGATGTGTTGTCCAGGCTGGTCTTGAACTCCTGGCCCCAAGTGATCCTTCTACCTTGGCCTCCCAAATTGCTTGGATTACAGGAGTGAGCTACAGTACCCAGTTGGAAATTGACAATCAATTTTTTAAAAATTTCACATCCAACCTGAGCAACTTGGTGAAACTCCATCTCTATCAAAAAATACAAAAATTAGTTGGGTGTGGTGGCTCACGTGCCTGTAGTCCCACACGCTTGGGAGGCTGAGGTGGGCAGATTGCTTGAGCCTGAGAGGTCAGGAAGTTAAGGATGCAGTGAGCTGAGATCGCACTACTGCACTCCAGCCTGGGCAGCAGAGCATGACTCTGTCTAAAAAAAAAAAAAAAAAAAAAAAAAAAAGATTCACAGAATTGTAGGACATGAATCTCCAAAATGAATGAGCTGAGCTTCTGCTTCTGTGTAAGATGGAGTAACAGGTAATTGATTTATCTTCCCACTAGAAACAACTAAAAAAACCAGACAGAATATTCAGAACAATGGGGTTCAGATACTGGACATCAGGCAGCACAGCCCAGTGATCCCTGACAGAAGAGAAACAAAGCTCCTACAATTTTTCAAACCTATTACCTGGAGTGAGTTTCCAGCCACAGTACAGAGCAGAGTAAGTCAGTCAGAGTCTGATGGTCTACCTGAGTTGAGGAGGTTAAGTTGGGAGACAAGAGAGGCCCAGAAGTTCACTGGGTAAGGTATTAGAAAAGAGTTCTGCACAGAGGGCTAGGCGCGGTGGCTCACACCTGCAATCCCAGACTTTGGGAGGCCGAGGCGGGTGGATCACCTGAGGTCAGGAGTTCGAGAACAACCTGGCCTATGTGGTGAAACCCCGTCTCTACTAAAACTACAAAAAATTAGCCGGGCATGGTGGCAGTTGCCTGTAATCCCAGCTACTCGAGAGGCTGAGGCAGGAGAGTCGCTTGAACCTGGGAGGTGGAGGTTTTGGTGAGCCGAGATCGTGCCATTGCACTCCAGCCTGGGCAACAAGAGTGAAACCCTGTCTTAAAAAAAAAAAAAAAAGTGCCAGACAGAGGAAGAGAATCCTGAAAATTTGCAGGGGATCCCACTTGAGTCTTCAGCCGAGTACTAATCAGTGCATGTGTGTGAGGAAACCACCTGAGGCCAGGTCAAGACCATCCAACGGAGGAGAGAGAATGATTCCGAGACTCACACAAGGCTGGGAATTGGTTATGGTCCTGCTAGCAGAGAGACAAAACATTATAACTAACAGGGCATCAGATAGTACTCAGAAGGGTATTGACTCAGTAATGGGGCAAAATTAGCCCTAGACTAAAGTCTGTTCTAGTCCCGCCTAACAAAGCTTAAAAATTAGCCTCAAAGGGACCAAACTTTTGTGAAGTAGCTTCGCTTCATCCCAGAACAAAACTCAAGAATTGTTATTAGAAAATAAATCTAGGCCACACATGGTGGCTCACACCTGTAATTCCAGCACTTCATGGGGCCGAGGTGGGCGGATCACAAGGTCAGGAATTTGAGACCATCATGTTGATGAAACCCCATCTCGACTAAAAACACAAAAAATTAGCCCGGCATGGTGGCAGGCACCTGTAATTCCAGCTGCTCAGGAGGCTGAGGCAGGAGAATCACTTGAACCCGGGAGGCAGAGGTTGCAGTGAGCTGAGACCACGCCACTGCACTCTAGCCTGGGCAACACAGCAAGACTCCGTCTCAAAATAAATAAATAATCAATCAATCAATCAATCAATCTAGGCAAGGCACAGTGGTTCACACCTGTAATCCCAGCACTTGGGGGGGCTGAGGCAGGTGGATCACTTGAGCTTAGGAGTTCAAGACCAGCCTGGCAAATATGGCGAAACCCCATCTCTACTAAAAATACAAAAATTAGCCAGGCATGGTGGCGCATGCCTGTAATTCCAACTACTCAGGAGGCTGAGGAAGGAGGATCACTTGAACCCAGGAGGCAGAGGTAGCAGTGAGCTGAGATCGAGCCACTGTACTCCAGCCTAGGGGACAGAGTGAAACTGTGTCTCAAAAAAAAAAAAAAAAAAAAAAAACAGCCAGCTACGGTCGCTCACACCTGTAATCCCAGCACTCTGGGAGGTCACAGTGGGCAGATCACCTGAGGTCAGGAGTTTGAAATCAGCCTGGCCAACACGGTGAAACCCTGTGTCTATTAAAAATACAAAAATTAGCTGGGCATGGTGGTAGGCGCCTATAATCCCAGCTACTCGGGAGGCTGAGGCGCGAGAGTCACTTGAACCCTGAAGGCGGAGTTTGTAGAGAGCAGAGATCGTGCCACTGCACTCCAGCCTGGGTGACACAGCAAGACTCTGTCTCGAAAAACAAAACAAAACCAAACAAAAAAACAGCAAGATGGTGGATTTTAAATAAACAGTTTAATGATACTGAATAAATTTATACAGTTGTGCAACCAAGATGGTAGATTTAAACTCAATCAGATCAACAATTAAAATAGATATACATAAACTAAACAACCCAATTAAAAGGCAGATGAAAAAGCAACACCCATCTATATGCTATCTACAAGAGACCCGCTTTAAAAATAAAGACACAAGGCCGGGCACGGTGTCTCATGCCTGAAATCCCAGTAGTTTGGGAGGCTGAGGCAGGCAGATTGCTTGAGCCCAGGAGTTCAAGACCAGCCTGGGCAACATGGTGAAAACCCATCTCTACTAAAAATACAAAAAAATCAGCCGGGAGTGGTGGCATGTTCTGATAGTGCCAGCTACTCAGGAAACTGAGTATTGGAATTTGAGGTTGCAGTGAGCCAAGATCATTCCACTGAACTCTAGCTTGGGTGATGGGCGTGAGACCCTAGCTCAAAAAAAAAAAAAAAGAAAGAAAGAAAGAAAAAAAAAGAAAAAAGGCACAAATAGGTAGAAAGTACAAGAATATACTAACATTAATCAAAAGAATGCTGGAGGCCGGGCCGCGATGGCTCACGCCTGTAATCCCAGCACTTTGGGAGGCCAAGGCAGGTGGATGACCTGAGGTCGGGAGTTCGAGACCAGTCTGACTAACATGGAGAAACCCCGTCTCTACTAAAAATACAAAATTAGCCGGGCATGGTGGCACATGCCTGTAATCCCAGTTACTCAGGAGGCAGAGGCAGGAGAATCGCTTGAACTCGGGAGGTGGAGGTTGCAGTGAGCTGAGATCAGGCCGTTGCACTCCAGCCTGGGCAACAAGAGTGAAACTCTGTCTCAAAAAAAAAAAAAAAGGAATGCTGGAGTGGCTATGTTAATAGAGGATAGGCCATGCCAAAATGAATTTAAAGGACTCTTATCTTGTTTAGGTATAACATGCATAAGCAAAGGACACAAATCTTATGTAATAGCTTAATAAATTTTCCCATAGGTATATGATATAACCATTCCCAGATTCACAATGCAGAACATTTTTTTTCTTCTTTTTTGAGACAGGGTCTTGCTCTGTCACCCAGGCTGGAGTGCAGTGGCGTGATCTTGGCTCATTGCAACCTCTGCCTCCTGGGTTCAAGCAATTCTCCTGCCTCAGCCTCCTGAGTAGCTGGGATTACAGGTGTGCACCACCACACCCAGCTAATTTTTTGTATTTTTAGTAGAGATGGGGTTTTGCGATGTTGGCCAGGCTGGTCTTGAACTCCTAACCTCAGTTGATTCTCTCACCTCAGCCTCCCAAAGTGTTGGGATTACAGGCGTGAGTGTACCTGACCTAATGTTTGTATTTTTAGTAGAGATGGGGTATTGCCATGTTGGCCAGGCTTGTCTCGAACTCCTAGGCTCAAGTTATCCACCAGCCTCGGCCTCACAAAATGCTGGGATCATAGGCGTGAGACACCCCACCCAGCACAGAACATTTTCCATCTCCAGAAGGCACCCCCATCCCAAACCTGTCCCTACAGGTGACTGTTTCTGTCTTCTATTAACATAGGGTTTTGTTGTTATGTCTCGCTCTGTAGCCCAGGCTGGAGTGCAGTGTCATGATCTTGGCTCACTGCAATCTCTACCTCCTGGGTTCAGGTGATTCTCCTGCCTTAGCCTCCCAAGTAACTGGAATTACAGGCACGTGCCACCATGCCTGGCCAAGTTCTGTATTTTTAGTAGGGACGAGATTTCACCATGTTGGCCAGGCTGGCCTCAGCCTCCAACGTGCTGGGATTACAGGTGTGAGCCACTGCACCTGGCCCACTATAGTTTTGTTTTTCTTGTTTGTGGGTTTTCTTTCTTTTTTTTTTTTGCCTGTTATTGAACTTCATAGAAATGGAATTATTATATAGTACATACTCTTTTATATCTGGTTTCTTTCACTCAACAATTATGTCTGTAAGATTCATCCATATTGTTGAATGTATTATTATTATTTTGAGACAAGGTCTCACTCTGTTGCCCAGGTTGGAGTGCAGTGGTGATGGCAGCTCACTGCAGGCTCAACCTCCCATGCTCAAGCAATCCTCCCACCTCAGCTGCCTGAGTAGCTGGGACTAGCTAATTTATGTATTTTTTTTTAGGTACAGACCATGTTGCAGTTTTGTCATGTTGCCCAGGCTGCTCTCGAACTCCTGGACTCAAGTGATTGCCCCACCTCAGCCTCCAGAGTAGCTGGAACCATAGGCATGTGCCACCCATGCCCAGTCAATTTTATTTTATTTTTTTTGGTAGTGATGGCTTCACACTATATTGTCCAGGCTTGTCTCCAACTCCTGGGCTCAAGCAAACCTCCCGCCTCTGCCTCCTAAAGTGCTGGGATTGCAGGCATGAGCCACTGTGCCTGGACCATTTTCAATGCTGTATGGAATTCTGTTGTGTGACTATAACACAATTTACTTATCTATTGTACTATTGATGGACTTCAGGTTTGTTCTAGTTTTTGGCTATACATGATTTTTGCTGGAAATACACGTTTATGTTTCTTGTGTACTTACCTTAGAGTTGCTAGATAATAAGGTAAGCTTATTTTTATCTTTCACAGAAGTTGTCAAAGAGTTTTCCAGAAGAATGATACCAATTTACACTCGCACCATAAATTTTCAGTTTTTCAAATTTTAGCCATACTTGTCGATGTGCAGAATAGGTATCTCATTGCAGCTGTAATTTGCATTTTCCTGATGCCTGGTGATTTGAGTACTTACATATTTGTTGGGTATTTGGATATCTCTTTTGTGAAATGCGTTCAACAGTTTTGCCTATTTGAATCTAAATCTAGATTAAAATTAAATCTAGATTGTTTAAATCTAAACAATTTAAACAATCTAAAATTAGATTGTTTTACTTTTTAAAATTAGTTAATAGGAGTTATGTATTCTGTGGTTTGATTTTTCATCTTTATGGTATCTTTTGATGAACAGAGCTTGTTTATTTTAATGAAGTCAAATATATCATTAATGCTTATTGTGTCCTGATCAAGAAATCTTTGCCTACCCCAAGGCCATAAGAATATCCTTCCATAATTTTTCTAGAAGGTTTATTGTTTTTATCTTTCGCACTGAAGTCTATTATACATCTCAAATTAATCTGAGTGTAGGCTCGAAATGGGAGAGCCAAGACTCAATTTTTTCTATGTGGCTAGCCAATTACTCTAACACTATTTATTGGAAAGATCATTTCCCCACTGAATTGCAGTTGGGTCTTTGATGTAAATTAGGTGACGATGTATCTGTAGGTCTGTTTCTGCATTCTATTCTGTACCAGTGGTAGTCTATTTGCCCATTCTTGTGCAAACTACTTATTTTTATTTTCATTTTGAGATGGAGCCCGCTCTGTCATCCAGGCTGGAGCACAGTGGATCTCCAATCTCGGCTCACTGCAACCTCCGTCTCCTGGGTTCAAGCAATTCTCCTGCCTCAGTCTCTCAAGTAGCTGGGATTACAGGTGCGTGCCATCACGCCTGGGTAATTTTTGTATTTTCAGTAGAGATGGGGTTTCACCACGTTGGCAGGCTGGTCTCGAACTCCTGACCTTAGGTGATCCTCCCGCCTTGGCCTCCCAAAGTGCTGGGATTAGAGGCATGAGCCACCGCGCCCGGCCACTAACCACTTATTATTTCTAATAGTTTATCTGCAGATTCTATTGGATTTTCTTTCTTTTTTATTTTGAGACGGGGTCTCGCTCTGTTGCCCAGGCTGTAGTGCAGTGGTGCCATCTCAGCTCACTGCAAGCTCTGCCTCCTGTGTTCACGCCATTCTCCTGCCTCAGCCTCCTGAGTAGCTGGGACTACAGGCGCCCGCCACCATGCCCCGCTAATTTTTTGTATTTTCAGTAGAGACGAGGTTTTACCGTGTTAGCCAGGATGGTCTCGATCTCCTGACCTCAGGTGATCCACCTGCCTCAGCCTCCCAAATGCTGGGATTACAAGCATGAGCCACCGCGCCCAGCCGGATTTTCTATATACAAAATCATGTTGTTTAAATAATTATAGTTTTGCTTTTTCCTTTCCAGTCTTCATATCCTTTTCTTGCCTAATTGCACTAGTTAAAACCAATGTGATGTTGAATAAAAGTGGTGAAAGTGGACTTTCTTGTCTTATTCCCAAACTCAGAGAACATTCAGTATTTTATTATTAAGTATGGTGCTAACTATAATTTTTCTTAAACAATTGTTTATATGTATAGATATATATAATTGATATATACTTGATGTGCTACTTACACGATTCAATTTTTTATTGATGTGTAATTTACATACAGTAAAATGTACAGATTTTCCAGTAAATGGCTTTTACAAACCCGCTACCCCAACTAATGTATCAAACGTTTTCATCATCCCAGTAAATTCCCTCATGCCTCTTTCCAGGAAATCTCCAGAGGCAACCACTCTTCTTATTTCTATTCCATAGATTAATTTTTCCCTATTCTAGAACTTCATATAAATGAAATTATTCAATATGTACTCTTTTGTGTCTGGCTTTTTTAAAAAACTAATCATAAGACTTTTGCAATTTATTATGTTCTTGCATGCACCTGTAGTTAGTTCCTTTTTTATTGGTGAGTGGTTTCCCATGAATATATTACAACTTATTTATTCAATCACATGTTGATGGACATTTGGGTTGTTTCCAGTTTGAGCTTATTATGAATATAAATGCTATAAACACTCTTGTCCAGGGGTGGTGGCTCATGCCTGTAATCCCAACACTTTGGGATGCCAAAGAGGGCGGATCACCTGAGGTAAGGAGTTCGAGACCAGCCTGGCCAGCATGGTGAAACCCATCTCTACTAAAAATACAAAAATTTGCCGGGTGGGGTGGTCTGCACTGGGAATCCCAGTTACTTGGGAGGTTGAGGCGAGAGAATGGCTTGAACCCAGGAGGAGGAGGCTGCAGTGAGCCGAGATCGCACCACTGCACTCCAGCCTTGGCGACAGAGCAAGACTCCGACTCAAAAAACAAACAAACAAAAAAAAACAGCAACAATAAAAACCCCAAAAACATTCTTATACAAGTCTTTGTGTGGACTTGTGTTTTCATTTCTCTTGGGTAAAACCTAAGAGTGGAATTGTTGAGTCATAGGGTAGGTGCATCTTCATTGCCAAACTGTTTTTCAAAGTGGTTGTAGGTTGTACTATTTTATAATCCATGTCAGTGAGTTCTGGTTGTCCACATCTTCTCAACATGTAGTAGTATTTTCAGACTTTAATTTTAACCATTCTGATGAGCCTGTTGTTGTTTTAGTTATTATTATTATTGTTATATAATAATATATATTATTTTTTGAGACGGAGTCTTGCTCTGTCACCCAGGCTGGAATGCAGTGGCGCGATCTCGGCTCACTGCAACCTCCGCCTCCCAGGTTCAAGCGATTCTCCTGCCTCAGCCTCCTGAGCAGGCACGTGCCACCATGCCCAGCTAATTTTTGTAGTTTAGTAGAGACTGGGTTTCACCATGTTGTCCAGGCTGGTCTTGAACTCCTGACCTCAAGTGATCTGCCTGCCTCGGCCTCCCAAAGTGCTGGGATTACAGGCGTGAGCCACTGTGCCCGGCCTCAAATATCTTCTTTTGTGAAATGTTTCTTCAAGTCTTTTTTAAAATTAATTAATTTTTTTTGAGACAGGGTCTTCTTGCTCTGTCACCAAAGCCAGAGTGCAGTGGCACAATCATGGCTTAATGCAGCCTTCACCCCTGGGCCCCAGAGATCCTCCCATCTTAGCCTCCCAAGTAGCTGGGACCACAGGCTTGCACCACCACACCTGGCTAATTTTTGTATTTTTCGTAGAGATGGGGTTCTGCCATGTTGCCCAGGCTGGTCTCGAACTCCTGGGCTCAAGCAATCCTCCCACCTCGGCTTCACAAAGTGCTGGGATTACAGGCATGAGCCACTGCACTCTGCCAAGTCTTTTGCCTTTTTAAAAAATTGGATTGTTTGTTTATTATTGAGTTGTGGAAGTTATTCATTTCTTCTGTATATAAGTCTGTATCACATATATGAGGTGATTATTTTCTCTCATTCGGTGTCTTACCTTTTCATTTTATAAAGGTATTATTTGATGAATGGAATTTTTAATTTTAAGGAAGTCCAATTGATCATTTTTTTTCCTTTATGGTTACATTTTTGTCCTAAGAAATCTTTGCCTACTCCAAGGCTGCAAAATCTTATGTTTTCTTCCAGGAGATTTATAGTTTCAGCTTTTTACATTTAGGTCCATGATCTAACTTGAATTAATCTTTGCAAATGGTGTAAGGTGAGAGTTGAAGTCTCTCCCCTTGACGGCACTTTCATTTCCCCACTGAAGTACCTTGACTCTTTTGTCAAAAATGAATTATTATATATGTGGGTTTGTTTATGAACACGCTTTTCCACTAATCTATTTGTCTCTCCTATACCAATACTATGTTATCTTTTTTTTTTTTTTTTTTTTTTTTTTTTGAGACAGAGTCTCGCTCTGTTGCCCAGGCTGGAGTGCAGTGGTGCGATCTCGGCTCACTGCAAGCTCCGCCTCCTGGGTTCACGCCATTCTCCTGCCTCAGCCTCCTGAGTAGCTGGAACTACAGGCGTCCGCCACCGCACCCCGCTAATTTTTTGTATTTTTAGTAGAGAGGGGTTTCACCGTGTTAGCCAGGACGGCCTTCATCTCCTGACCTCGTAATCCGCCCACCCTGGACTCCCAAAGTGCTGGGATTACAGGCGTGAGCCACCATGCCCAGCCTATGTTATCTTGATTATTATAGCTTTGTAGTAAGTCTTAAAATCCAATAGTGTAAGTTTTTCAAGTTTGTTCTTCTTTTTCAAAATTGTTTTGTCTATTCTAGGTCTTTTGTATTTCCATATAAATGATGGAATCAGCTTGTCCATTTCTATTTTAAAAACCTGCTGACATTTTGATTGTGATGGCATTGAATCTATAGATCAACGTGGAGAGACATGACATCTTAACAATATCGAGTCTATTCTATGAACATGATGCATCTCTCTATGTATTTCAGTTGTCTTTTATTTCTTCAAGCAACATTTTTGTATTTTTATAATAGAGGTCTTGCATATCTTTCATAAAATTATTAGTGTTTTTTTAATATATTATTGCCTATGGTGTTTCTAAAATTTGATTTTTCAACTATTTGTTGCTGGTAGACATGCAATTGACTTTTTGGTATGTTGACAATATTGATGCTAATTTCACTCACTGACTATAATATAATAGTTTTTGCAGATTCTTCAGGATTTTCTATGTATATAACCTTGTTGTACAAAGACGGACTTACTTCTTTTTCAGTCTTTATGCTCGTAAGTTGTTTTATTTCTTTATTGAGCTAGCTAGGATAATGTTGAATAGAAGAAATGAGAATAGACATTCTTATTTATTTGTTTCCAGTATTAGCAGCAAAGTTCTCAATATTGTACCATTAAATATGAGGTCAATTGTGGGTATTTTTTTTCTGAGATAACTTCTATCAAATTGAGGAAAGTGCTTTTTATTCTAGTTTTCAAAAATCATGAATAATGACTAAATTTTGCCAAATGCTTTTTCTGCATCTATTGAAGTGGTTGTCTAGATTTTTTACTTTATTTTGTTAATATGATTAATTACATTTTTTGGTATATTAAACTTACTTTGCCTTACTGGACAAAACTGCATTTGGTCATTATTCTGAGTTATCTTTTTAAAAAATGTATACTGGCTGGGCACAGTGGCTCACACCTGTAATCCCAGCACTTTGAGAGGTCAAGGTGGGTGGATCACTTGAGCTCAGGAGTTCGAGACCACCCTGGACAACATAGTGAGACCTAGTCTCTGCAAAAAATACAAAAATTAGCCAAGATTGGAGGATTGCTTGAGCCCAGGAGTTTGAGACAAGCCTGGGCAACATAGAGAGACACTGTCTCTCTAAAAAATAAAAAATTAGCCAGATGGGGTGATGACATACTTGTATAGTCCCAGCTACTTGGGAAGCTGAAGTGGGAGGATTACCTGAGCCCAGGAGGTCGAGGCTGCAGTGAGGGGTGATCGCACCATTGCATTCCAGCCTGAGTAATACAGTGAGACCCTGCCTCCAAAATAATAATAACAATTTTAAAAACTTCAAAATAAAAGGTTAAAAATAAATGTATTACTCAATTTGGTTTGAGATATATATATATTTTCTTTTTTTTTAGATGGAGTTTTCGCTCTTGTTGCCCAGGCTAGAGTGCAATGGCACGATCTCGGCTCACTGCAACTTCTGCCTCCCGGGTTCAAGCGATTCTCCTACTTCAGCCTCCCTAGTAGCTGGGATTACAGGCATGCGCCACCACATCCAGTTAATTTTGTATTTTCAGTAGAGATGGGGTTTCTCCATATTGGTCAGGCTGGTCTCAAATTCCCGATCTCAGGTGATCCGCCCTCCTCGGCCTCCTAAAGTGCTGGGATTACAGGCATGAGCCACCGCGCCTGGCTTTGTTGTTGTCTTTTTTTTTTTTTTTTTTTTTTTGAGACGGAATCTTGCTCTGTTGCCCAGGCTGGAGTACAGTGGCGTGATCTTGGCTCACTGCAACCTCCACCTCCTGGGTTGAAGGAATTCTCCTGCTTCGGCCTCCCTAGTAGCTGGGATTACAGGTGCCCACCACCACACCCAGCTAATTTTTATATTTTAGAAGAGATGGGTTTTCACCATGTTGGCCAGGCTGGTCTCGAACTCCTGACCTCAAGCAATCCATCCGCCTCAGCCTCCTAAAGTGCTGTGATTACAGACCTGAGCCACTGTGCCCAGCCTCGTTTGCTATATTTTGTGTAGGATTTTGTATATACATTTATGAGAGATCCTGGCCTGTGACTTTCCTTTCTTTGTACTATCCTTGTCAGCTTTTGGTATTACAGTTATGCAAGTCTCATAAAATGAATTGGGAAGTGTTCCTTTTTACTCTGTCCTCTGAGTTTGTATAAGATGGTATTATTTCTTCCTTAAATGTTTGGAAGAATTGCCTCAGTGAACCTGCCCGAGCTTGAAGTTTTCTCTAGGGGAAGATTTTATTTTATTTTATTTTATTTATTTATTTTTATTTTTATTTTTTTTTTGAGACAGAGTCTCACTGTTGGCCAGGCTGGAGTACAGTGGCATGATCTCGGCTCACTGCAACCTTTGCCTCCCGCGCTCAAGCAATTCTCCTGCCTCAGCCTCCTGAGTAGCTGAGATTACGGGTGTGTGCCACCATGCCCAGCTAATTTTTGTATTTTTAGTAGAGACAGGGTTTCACCATGTTGGCCAGGCCGGTCTCCAACTCCTGACCTCAGGTAATCCGCCCACCTCGGCCTCCCAAAGTGCTGGGATTACAGACATGAGCCACCTTGCCCGGCCAGGAAGATTTTAAATTAATTCAACTTTTTTTTTTTTTTTTTTTTTCTGAGACGGAGTCTCGCTTTGTTGTCCAGGCTGGAGTGCAGTGATGCGATCTCAGCTCACTGCAGCCTCTGCCTCCTCGGTTCAAGCAATTCTCTGCCTCAGCCTCCTGTGTAGCTGAGATTACAGGCACCTGACACCACGCCTGGCTAATTTTTGTATTTTTAGTAGAGATGGGGTTTCACCATGTTGGCCAGATTGGTCTTGAACTCCTGACTTTGTGATCCAGCCGCCTTGGCCTCCCAAAGTGCTGGGATTACAGGAGTGAGCCACCTCGCCCGACCTTCAACTTCTTTAACAGATATAGGTGTATTGTGATCTCAAAAATCAGAAAATTCTTATAAAATTTTTAAATATTCTTATGACACTTTGTGTTTTCTCTTAAGGAATTTGCCCATATTATCTCAATTTTCAAATGTCGATGTAAAGTTGTTTATAATATCCTGCTATTATCTTTTTAACATCTGTAGGGTCTATAGTAATGTTTCCTTTTTTATTTCTTATTTATTTTCTTTTTCTTTCTTTCTTTCTTTCTCTCTTTCTTTTCTTTTCTTTCTTTGTTTTTTTTTTTTTTTTTTTTTTTTTTTTGTGAGACAGAGTCTCTCTCTGTCATCCAGGCTGGATGGAGTGCAATGGCGCGATCTTGGCTCACTGCAACCTCCACCTCCTGGGTTCAAGCAATTCTCCTGCCTCAGCTTCCCCAGTAGCTGAGACTACAGGTGCCTGCCACCACACACAGCTAATTTTTTGCATTTTTAATAGAGATGGGGTTTCACCATGTTGGCCAGGCTGGTCTTGAACTCCTGACCTCAGGTGATCCACTCCTCGGCTTCCCAAAGTGCTGGGATTACAGGCGTGAGTCACCGTGCCTGGCCTTATATTTCTAATATTTGTTACTTGTGATCTCCTTCCCTCCTTCTCTTTTTACCTTAATCTTTCCTGCTCTTTATTACTTTTAGAGGTCTTTAGTAATTTTAGAGATCTTTCCAAAGAACCAGTATTTGTCTTTGTTGACTTTCTCCATTCTATATTTGTTTCCTATTTTATTGATTTCTTCTCTTATCTTTAACATTTTGTTCCTTCTACTTTTGGGGGAAGGGGAGTGTTAAATGCTCTTCTTCTAAAAATTTCTTTTAATGGATTCTTAAATCATTAATTTTTGTTCTTCTATGACTTTAAGTCTATACATTTCTCCTTAAACATGTTTTGGGCAATATCCCATTATCATTCAGTTCAAAATACTTTATAACTTCCATGGTGGTTTCTTCTTTGACCCCCATGGCCTATTTAGAGGCTTATTAATTAATTTTTGAATATTTGGGGAGAATTCTCTAGTTATCTTTTAGTTATTGACTTCTAGCTCAACTTCACTGAGTCCAGAGAACATACTATGCATGATTTCAGGAACTGGAAATTCGTTAACACTTGCTTTATGGCCCAGCATATGGTCAATTTTGTTAAGTGTCAAAATTGGTACTTGAGAAGCATGTGCCTTCTGTAGTTGTTGGTTTCCTCCTGGTTTTTAAAATAATATCCTATAAATGTCAGTTAGGGAAATTTGTTTAATTACATTGTTCAAATCCTCTACTGACTTTTAAAAAATCGACTTGTCTATCAGTTACTGGGAGAGCTGTGTCAAAAATCTCCAACTATGATTGGGAATTTTGGGGATTTGCCTATTTCTTCTTTAATTTTTTTTTTTTTTTTTTTTTTTTTTTTTGAGTTAGGTTCTCGCTCTGTCACCCAGGCTGGAAAGCAGTGGCATGATCATGGCTCACTGCAGCTTTGAATTCTGGGCTCCAAGGATCCTCCCACCTCAGCCTCTTGCGTAGCTGGGATTACAAGTGCATGCCATCACGCCTACCTATTTTTATTTTTAGTTTTTTGTAGAGATGAGGTTCTCACTATGTTGCTTGGGCTGGTCTTGAACTCCTGATCTCAAGAGATCCTGGCACCTTGACCTCTCAAAGCACTGGGATTACAGGCATGAGCCAACATGCCTGGCCTGTTCATTAATTCTGTCCATTTTTGCTTTATGTATTTTGAGGTTATATTATCAGATGAGTATTTAGAACTGTTATGTCTTCCTGTTGAATTGACCCTTTTATTATCGTGAAATGTCCCTCTTTTTTGTTTTTCTTTTTTTGGTTGTTTGTTTTTTTAGACAGAGCCTCACTCTGTCACCCAGGCTGGAGTGCAACAGCACCATCTCGGCTCACTGCAACCTCCACCTCCTGGGTTCAAGTGATTCTCGTGCCTCAGTCTCCCAAGCAGCTGGGATTACAGGCGTGCACCACCACACCTGGCTAATTTTTTTGTAGTTTTAGTAGAGACGGGGTTTCACCATGTTGCCCAGGCTGGTCACGAACTCCTGAGCTCAGGCAATCCACCTGTCTTGGCCTCCCAAAATGCTGGGATTACAGGCATGAGCCACCCTGCCCAGTTCCTTCTTTGTTTTTAGTAATGCTTCTTGCCCTAAAGATTACTCTGTCTGATACTAATATAGCTACAACTTTATTTTGGTTAGCGCTTGCATTATATCTTTTTTCATCCTTTAATTGTAGTATTTATTTATTTATTTTAATTTTTTTGTAGAGATGGGGTTTTGCCATGTTGCCCAGGTTGGTCTTCAACTCCTGAGCTCAAAGCGATCTGCCTGCCTTGGCCTCCCACAGTGCTGGGATTACGGGCATGAGCCACCACACCCAGGCCTCACCCTTTAATTTTAACCTTTCTGCATCCTTATATTGAAGATGTGGCTCTTGTAAACAGCACATAATTGGATTATTTAATGCAGTCTGACATCTTTTTTCTTTTAATTAGAGGATTTAGCCCCTTTAAATTTCATGTAAATACTAATAGAGTTGGGTTTAATTTACCATATTCTATTTGTTTCCTATTTGTTCCTGTATTTGCAAAGGTCTCTCTCTGGTTGCAGTATGAAGATCTGACTGGAAGAACACACGCACAGATGCAGGGAAACCAGTTAAGAGATCGGAGCAGCTGTCCAGGTGAGTGAAACTGGCATCCTGAATTAGATTCATGGTGGTGAAGATAAGGAGATGTGAACAAACTAGATATTTGGGAGGTAGGAAAAATAGAACTTAGTGATTGTGACCAGGCGCAGTGGCTCACACCTGTAATCCCAGCACTTTGGGAGGCCGAGGCAGGCAGATCACTTGAGGTCAGGAGTTCGAGACCAGTCTCGCCAACATGATGAAACCCGCTACTCTATAAAAATACAAAAAGTTAGCCGGGTGTGGTGGCATGAGCCTGTAGTCCCAGCTACTTGGGAGGCTGAGGCAGGAGAATTGCTTGAACCCAGGAGGTGGAGGTTGCAGTGAGCAGAGATCGTGTCATTGCACTCCAGCCTGGGCAACAGAGCGAGACTCTGTCTAAAAAAAAAAAAAAAACTTACTGATTACCTTTAGAACAGTGGTCTCCAACCTTTTTGGCACTAGGGACCGGTTTTGTGGAAGACAGTTTTTCCACAGATGGTGGGGTGGGAGGTGGCTTTACACTTGATTTTAGCCAAAAGGCCGAGAAGCGATGGGGGGTGGTTTTGGAATGGAACTGTTCCACCTCGGATCTTCAGGCATTATTTAGATTCTCAGAAGGAGCATGCAACCTAGATTCCTTGCATGCGCAGTCACAGTAGGCTTTCTGCTCCTATGAGAATCTAATGTCGCCGCTGATCTGACAGGAGGCGGAGCTCAGGCGGGAATGCAGGCCAGCCACTCACCTCCTGCTGTGTGGCCCTGTTCCTAACAGGCCACAGTCTGTGGCCCGGGGGTTGGGGACTCCTGCTTTAGGGTATAGAGTGCAAGAGTAAAGAATCAAGGAAGACTCTCCTATTTCTGGTTTAAGAGGTTTGGTGGATGGCACCAGTATTTATTTAAAAAACCCAGGAGGAGAAACAGAACTAAGGGGAAAGATAATGAGATCAGTTTTGGACTAGTTGACAACCTAGTGGAGAAAGTCCTGGTATGCAATTCAATATATAGGACTAGAATTTCTATCTGAGCTGGAGATATTAATTGGGACCTGCTAAAATATGGGTGGTAATTAAGGCCATGGGAGTGTCAGGGAGTGAGGATAGAAACAGGCCTAGGACAAAAAACTGAGGAACATTTCATAGTTGGGTTGAGCCAAGGAGACTGAGAAGAAGTAGTCAGAGAGGTTGTGAGAAGGAAACCAAGAAAGTACAGTATCCTGGCCAGGCGCGGTGGCTCACGCCTGTAATCCCAGCACTTTGGGAGGCCGAGGCGGGCGGATCACGAGGTCAGAAGTTCGAGACCAGCCTGGCCAATATGGCGAATCCCTGTCTCTACTAAAAATACAAAAATTAGCCAGGCGTGGTGGCACACACCTGTAATCCCATCTACTCAGGAGGGTGAGGCAGGAGAATTGCTTGAACCTGGGAGGTGGAGGTTACAGTGAGGCAAAAGCATGCCACTGCACTCCAGCCTGGGTGACAGAGTGAGACTCCGTCTCAAAACAAAAACAAAAAACAAAAAACAAAGTACAGTATCCTAGAAGCTGGGAAGAGAGTGTGGGTTTTTTTTGTTGTTGTTGTTGTTTGTTTTTTTTGAGACGGAATTTCGCTCTTGTTGCCCAGGCTGGAGTGCAATGGTGCGATCTCAACTCACTGCAAACCTCCGCCTCCCAGGTTCAAGCGATTCTCCTGCCTCAGCCTCCCTAGTAGCTGGGATTACAGGCATGCGCCACCACGCCTGACTAATTTTGCATTTTTAGTAGAGATGGGGTTTCTCCATGTTGGTCAGGCTGGTCTTGAACTCCCGACCTCAGGTGATCTGCCCACCTCGGCCTCCCAAAGTGCTGGGATTACAGGCACGAGCCACTGTGCCTGGCCGAGAGTGTTTTTGTAAAGAGAAAAATGGGTAACTGCTCTATGCTGCTGAGAGGTCCTATTAGGTAAGGACTAAAACAGGTATGCCACAGCCTAAGGAAGAGTAGTTTGAATGGAGTTAGTGGGGTGGCACCAGCGTGGAGGGCGTTATAAAGTAGGAGATGAAGAAATGAAGACAAATTAGCCGGGTGTGTTGGCGGGCACCTGTAATCCCAGCTACTTGGTAGGCTGAGGCAGGAGAATTGCTTGAACCCAGGAGGTAGAGGTTGCAGTGAGCCAAGATCGCACCGGTGCACTCCAGCCTGGGCAACAGAGCGAGACTCCGTCTGAAAAAAAGAAAAAAAAATTATATAATGGATTTTGGAGACTAAGAAGCAGAATGGGTGGGTACGGGGTGAAGGATAAAAAACTATGTGTTGGGTACAGTGTACACTATTCAGTTGAGGGGTCCACTAAAATCTCAGACTTCACCACTATATAAATCATCCATGTAACCAAAAACCACTTGCACCCCCAAAACTACTGATTTTTTTTAAAAAAGCATTGACCTGGAAGTAACACACATCACTTCTGTCCAACTTTCGTTGACCAAATGAAGTTGCGTAGCCATTCTAACTTTTTTTTTTTTTTTTTTCGCTCTGTCGCCCAGGCTGGAGTGCAGTGGTGCAATCTCGGCTCACTGCAAGCTCTGCCTCCCGGGTTCATGCCATTCTCCTGCCTCAGCCTCCCAAGTAGCTGGGACTACAGGCTCCCGCCACCACGCCCGGCTACCTTTTTTTTGTATTTTTAGTAGAGATGAGGTTTCACCATGTTAGCCAGGATGGTCTTGATCTCCTGACCTCGTGATCTGCCTGCCTCAGCCTCCCAAAGTGCTGGGCTTACAGGCGTGAGCCACCACGCCTGGCCGACCATTCTAACTTTAAGGGAAATAGCATCTTGCTTTGTGCCCAGAAGGCAGAGACACAGAATAGTCCTAATGACAATTGTAATCACTCCTTTTGAGAAGGAGTCTTGCTCTGTCACCCAGGCTAGAGCGCAGTGGTATGATCTTGGCTCACTGCAACCTCCGCCTCCCAGGTTCAAGCGATTCTTCTGCCTCAGCCTCCTGAATAGCTGGGATTACAGGTGCCCACCACTGCACCCGGCTAATTTTTGTATTTTTAGTAGAGATGGGGTTTCACCATCTTGGCCAGGCTGGTTTCGAACTCCTGACCTCGTGATCCACCCACCTCGGCCTCCGAAAGTGCTCGGATTACAGGCATGAGCCACCGGGCCTGGCCCCAGCAATCACTCTTTTAAACAGTTTAAGGAAGGAGAATGGGAGATGTTAGAAGTTGTCACTTTGAAGAGCAGGTAGGGAGTTAATCACTGAAGCATAGCCAGGATTGTCAAGCCACATTCAGGTTCCATATAACATCGAGGACCACCATTTTCTTTGGTCCCAGTCTTCTCAGCTATGTGCTTTTCTCTAGTGATACTCAGCTGCCCGGATGCAGGCACGATAAAAGCCAAGAGTTGGGTTCATCAATTTTTAACATTTTATTTTATTTTAATTTTTGAGACGGAGTCTCACTCTGTCACCCAGGCTGGAGTGCATTGGCATGATCTTGGCTCACTGCAACCTCCGCCTCCTGACTCCAAGCGATTCTCCTGCCTCAGCCTCCCAAGTAGCTGGACTACAGGTATGTGCCAGAATGCCCACCTAATTTTTTTGTATTTTTAGTAGAGATGGGGTTTTCCCATATTGGCCAGGCTGGTCTCGAACTCCTGACCTCAAGTGATCCGCCTGCCTCGGTCTCCAAAATTTTTGGGATTACAGGCGTGAGCCACTGCACCCCACCTAGATATCATTTTTAAAATATATTGATGCCCCCTCCCATCATGAAAGCAAGGATTTTGTCCGTTTTGTTTAATGCTATGGCCTTAACCTAGAACAGTGATTGGTCAAGACAGGTCCTATTTAAATATTTGTTGAATGAATAATTCATTGCTCTTTAGAAAAATTCAAGCTGGGCATGGTGGCTCATGCCTGTAATCCAAGTACTTTGGGAGGCCGAGGCGGGAGGATCACTTGAGGCCTAGAGTTCAAGACAAGCCTGGACAACACAGCAAGATCCCATCTCTACAAAAAAGAAAAGAAAAATTCAAATCATAAAGATGTGTATAGGATTAAAAGTGGATTCCTTTGGGGCTGGGTGCAGTGACTATGCCTGTAATCCCAGCACTTTGGGAGGCCGAGGCGGGCAAATCACTTGAGGTCAGGAGTTTGAGACCAGCCTGTCTAACATGGTGAAAACCCGTCTCTACTAAAAATTAAAAAAGTAGCCAGGTGTGATGGCTCATACCTGTAATCCCAGCTACACGGGAGGCTGAGGCACGAGAATCACTTGAATCCGGGAGGAGGAGGTTGCAGTGAGCTGAGATCGTACCACTGCACTGCCTGGGTGACAGAGACTCTGTCTCAAAACAAACAAACAAACAAAAAACACAAAAAACACACAACAGTGGATTCCTTTGGCTCCCATTGCCACTCCCTTAGGGATAATTACTGCTAATAGTGTGTGTGTCCGTGTGTGTGTGTGTGTGTGTGTGTGTGAGGGTGTGGGGATGTGTGTGTCTGTCTATATTTCCAGACCTTTTTGTATGCATAGACATACAGTAGTTCCACTTTATTCACAGTTTCACTTTCTACAGTTTTAGTTACCCAAGGTCAATCGAGTTCTGAAAACAGGTAGGAGGAATACAATAAGTATATTGTTATAATTGTGCTATTTTATTTTATTTTATTTATTTATTTATTTATTTATTTTATTGATCATTCTTGGGTGTTTCTCGCAGAGGGGGATTTGGCAGGGTCACAGGACAATAGTGGAGGGAAGGTCAGCAGATAAACAAGTGAACAAAGGTCTCTGGTTTTCCTAGGTAAAGGACCCTGCGGCCTTCCGCAGTGTTTGTGTCCCTGGGTACTTGAGATTAGGGAGTGGTGATGACTCTTAACGAGCATGCTGCCTTCAAGCATCTGTTTAACAAAGCACATCTTGCACCACCCTTAATCCATTCAACCCTGAGTGGACACAGCACATGTTTCAGAGAGCACAGGGTTGGGGGTAAGGTCACAGATCAACAGGATCCCAAGGCAGAAGAATTTTTCTTAGTACAGAACAAAATGAAAAGTCTCCCATGTCTACCTCTTTCTACACAGACACGGCAACCATCCGATTTCTCAATCTTTTCCCCACCTTTCCCGCCTTTCTATTCCACAAAGCCGCCATTGTCATCATGGCCCGTTCTCAATGAGCTGTTGAGTACACCTCCCAGACGGGGTGGTGGCCGGGCAGAGGGGCTCCTCACTTCCCAGTAGGGGCGGCCGGGCAGAGGCGCCCCTCACCTCCCGGACGTGGCGGCTGGCCGGGCGGGGGGCTGACCCCCCCACCTCCCTCCCGGACAGGGCGGCTGGCCGGGCAGAGGGGCTCCTCACTTCCCAGTAGGGGCGGCCGGGCAGAGGCGCCCCTCACCTCCCGGACGTGGCGGCTGGCCGGGTGGGGGGCTGACCCCCCCACCTCCCTCCTGGACGGGGTGGCTGGCCGGGCGGGGGGCTGATACCCCCCACCTCCCTCCCGGACGGGGCGGCTGGCCGGGCGGGGGGCTGACCTTCCCACCTCCCTCCCGGACGGGGCGGCTGGCCGGGCGGGGGGCTGACCCCCCCACCTCCCTCCCGGACGGGGCGGCTGGCCGGGCAGAGGGGCTCCTCTCTTCCCAGTAGGGGCGGCCGGGCAGAGGCGCCCCTCACCTCCCGGACGGGGCGGCTGGCCGGGCGGGGGGCTGACCCCCCCACCTCCTTCCCGGATGGGGCGGCTGGCCGGGCAGAGGGGCTCCTCACTTCCCAGTAGGGGCGGCCGGGCAGAGGCGCCCCTCACCTCCCGGACGGGGCGGCTGGCCGGGCGGGGGGCTGACCCCCCCCACCTCCCTCCCGGACGGGGCGGCTGGCCGGGCGCGGGGCTAACCCCCCCACCTCCCTTCCGGAGGGGGCGGCTGGCCGGGCGGGGGGCTGACCCCCACCTCCCTCCCGGACGGGGTGGCTGCCGGGCGGAGAGGCTCCTCACTTCCCAGACGGGGTGGCTGCTGGGCGGAGGGGCTCCTCACTTCTCAGACGGTGTGGCTGCCGGGCGGAGGGGCTCCTCACTTCTCAAACGGGGCGGTTGCCAGGCAGAGGGTCTCCTCACTTCTCAGACGGGGTGGCCGGGCAGAGACGCTCCTCACATCCCAGACGGGGCGGCAGGGCAGAGGCGCTCCCCACATCTCAGACGATGGGCGGCCGGGCAGAGACGCTCCTCACTTTCCAGACTGGGCAGCCAGACAGAGAGGCTACTCACATCCCAGACGATGGGCGGCCAGGCAGAGACGCTCCTCACTTCCCAGACGGGGTGGCGGCCGGGCAGAGGCTGCAATCTCGGCACTTTGGGGGGCCAAGGCAGGCAGCTGGGAGGTGGAGGTTGTAGCGAGCCGAGATCACGCCACTGCACTCCAGCCTGGGCACCATTGAGCACTGAGTGAACGCGACTCCGTCTGCCATCCTGGCACCTCGGGAGGCCGAGGCTGGCGGATCACTCGCGGTTAGGAGCTGGAGACCAGCCCCGCCAACACAGCGAAACCCTGTCTCCACCAAAAAAATACGAAAACCAGTCAGGCGTGGCGGCGCGCGCCTGCAATCGCAGGCACTCGGCAGGCTGAGGCAGGAGAATCAGGCAGGGAGGTTGCAGTGAGCCGAGATGGCAGCAGTACAGTCCAGCTTCGGCTCAGCATCAGAGGGAGACTGTGGAAAGAGAGGGAGAGGGAGACGGTGGGGAGAGGGAGGGGGAGGGGGAGGGGTGCTATTTTATTAATTGTTGTAAATCTCTTTTTGTGCCTTTTTTTTTTTTTTTGAGATGGAGTCTCGCTCTGTTGCCCAGGCTGGAGTGCAGTGGTGCAATCTTGGCTCACTGCAGCTTCTGCCTCCTAGATTCAAGGGATTCTCCTGCCTCAGCCTCCTGAGAAGGTGGGACTACAGGCATGTGCCACCACGCCCAGCTAATTTTTGTATTTTTAGTAAAGACGGGGTTTCGCCATGTTGGCCAGGCTGATCTCGAACTCCTGACCTCAGGTGATCCACCAGCCTCAGCCTCCCAAAGTGCTGGGATTACAGGCGTGAGCCACTGTGCCCAGCCTCTTGTGCATAATTTTAAAATTAAACTTTGTCATAGGTTTGCATGTACAGGAAAAAACATAGTACATATATGATTTGGTATATCTGCAGTTTCAGGTATCCACTGCGGGTCTTGGTGTATTTTAAAATTAAAAACGAAGGCCGGGTGTGGTGGCTCACACCTGTAATCCCAGCACTTTGGGAGGCCGACACAGGTAGATCACGAGGTCAGGAGTTCAAGACCAGCCTGGCCAATATGGTGAAACCCCGTCTCTACTAAAAATACAAAAATAAGCCGGGCATGGTGGCGCATGCCTGTAATCCCAGCTACTTGGAAGGCTGAAGCAGGAGAATTGCTTGAACCCGGAAGGCGGACATTGCAGTGAGCCGAGATTGCTCCACTGCACTCCAGCCTGGGCAACAGAGCTAGACTCTGTCTCAAAAACAAACAAACACAAAATAAAAACAAAACAAAAAAGAAGTAGTATTTCCACATGGTTCTAAGAAACTTTTTCCCCCTCAAGTATTTTATTATTTATTTATTTATTTATTATTTTTGAGACAAGATCTTCTCTGTTGCCCAGGCTGCAATGCAACAGTGTGATCTCGGCTCACTGCATCCTCGACCTCCTGGGCTCAAGTGATCCTCCCACCTCAGCCTCCTGAGTAGCTGGGACTACAGGTACACTCCACCATGCCAGGCTAGTTTTTGTATTTTTTGTAGATATGAGATTTCACCAAGTTGCTCAGGCTGGTTTCAAACCCCTGGCCTCAAGCGATCCTCCTGCCTTGGCCTCCCAAAGTGCTGGGATTACAGGCGCGTGCCACCACACCCGGCTAATTTTTGTATTTTTAGTAGAGATGGGGGTTTCACCATGTTGGCCAGGCTGGTTTCAAACTCCTGACCTCAAATGATCTGCCCACCTTGGCCTCCCAAAGTGCTGAGATTACAGGCGTGAGCCACTGTGCCTGGCCATGGAGGGTGTTTTATTGGCTCATATCACTCAATTCCTAGGGACAGCTGAATTCAAGTATAGCTGGGTCCAGGTGCCCAAATTTTGCCTTCATAATCTCTCACTAGCACTTGGATTTCCTTTGTTTTGGCTTCATTCTCAGATCAATTCTTGCATGGAAAGTCAAGATGGCCACACTCCACCTGCTCTTCTCTGGGAGGCTGGAAAAGTCACAGGGCGGTCTCTAATTTGGCTCTCACTTAGATCACATGTCCTGCCCTAAACCAATCACTTTGCTTGAGGTGGGGGATGGAATACACTGATTGGGCAAGTTTAAGTCACAGAACTCACCCCCGCAACTGGGAGGCGGAGCCAGCCCCAGCAAACTGCTTGCTGGACAGTAGGAGACAAGTGGTTCTGCAGACAATCTGGGGTGAGGGAAGGGCAGTTGCCAGAATTCTGAAGGGGTAATGGGTGCTGGGAAAGCTAAAACAACAGATTTTTACTAAAAAGGAGTAGCTTTCTCAAAGGGTTTGTTTAACATTTTGGTGAGTACAGATCAATTGCCTCCCAAACTGTCGTATTGTTTTGTATATTCGTCAACAATGTTTGAGAGTTCCCTTGTATCTGCGCTCATGTGAACACCAAACATTATCAATTGCATTAATTTTTTACCAACTTAATGGACAAAAATGTATCTCTACCAGGTGCAGTGGCTCATGCCTGTAATTCCAACATTTTGGGAGGCTGAGGTGGGAAGGTTGCTTGAGCCCAGGAATACAAGACCAGCCTGGGCAGTATAGCAAGACCCTGTTTCTACAAAAAATAAAAATACTAAAAATTAGCTAGGCTTGGTGGTGTGCACTTGTAGTTCTAGCTACTTGAGAGGCTGAGCACAGGAGGTTAAGTCTGCCATGAGCTATGATCACACCACTGCACTTCAGCCTGGGCAACACACTGAGACTCTGTCTCAAAAAAACAAAAAAAGCATAAATTGTCCTGTCATTACCTTCGCCCTTTGTCCTGTTGGATTTTCTGATCTTTTCTTACTGATGTGTAGGATCCTTTTGTATATTAGGGATAATAATTAGCAGGTAACTCTATCTGTGCTTTAAATATTGCAAAACTCCTACTTTAGCATTCACTTTTTTGTTGTTTTTGAGATGGAGTTTCACTTTTGTTGCCCAGGCTGGAGTGCAGTGGCACGATCTTGGCTCGCTGCACCCTCTGACTCCCGGGTTCAAGTGATTCTCCTGCCTCAGCCTCCTGAGTAGCTGGGATTACAGGCATGTTCCACCACGCCGAGCTAATTTTTATATTCTTAGTAGAGACAGGGTTTTACCACGTTGGCCAGGCTGGTCTGGAACTCCTAACCTCAGGTGATCCGCCCGCCTCGGCCTCCCAGAGTGCTGGGATTACAGGTGTGAGCCACCGCCCCCGGCCTAGCATTCCCTTTTTTTACTTTATGGTGTCTTTTACTGTAATCAAATCTTTTGATATTTTTCATTATAGTTTATGAATTTCATGTCTTATGAAAGTCCTTCTTATCCCCAAATTACAAAAAATGTTCTCCTTCTTCTGGCACTGTCTGATTAAAACAAAACAAACAAAAAAATAAAAAAATAAAAACAAAAAAAACCAAACCCTCCTGTATTTCTTCCTGGTGCTTTTGTAGTTATTTATGTACTTAGTTAATCCATCTGGAATTCATTGTTATGTATAGATCTGACTTAAGTATTTATTTTTCATAGATGGATAGCCACTTATTCCAGCACGGTTTCTTTTCCTTGCTAGTTTGAAATGCTGTTTTTATCATGTGCTAAATTTCCATGTGGTGGGAGGTGGAGATTGAGAAATATCTTAAAAGGTAAAACTGAATGAGAGAGTGAGTGGGAGGAAAAGGAGGGATCCAGGGTGACTACTTTTCCTGGTTGAGTGATTGTCTGGAACTGTGGAGTAGGAAGAGGTGCATGAATAAGAAGGTAGGTCAATCTGGGGCATGTTGCTTTTGAGGGACTCATGGATATCCAGGACATATTTAATAGAAATACATTAAATACAGGTGGCTCAAGCCTGTAATCCCACCACTTTTGGAGGCCGAGGCGGGTGGATCACTTGAGGTCAGGAGTTCAAGACCAGCCTGGCCAACATGGTGAAACCCCATCTCTACTAAAAATACCAAAATCAGCCGGGCATGGTGGTGGGCACCTGTAATCCCATCTTCTTGGGAGGCTGAGGCAGGAGAATCACTTGAACCAAGGAGTCGGAGGTTGCAGTGAGCAGAGATTGCACCACTGCACTCTAGCCTGGGCAACAGAGTGAGACTCCGTCTCAAAAAAATAATAATAATAAAATAAAATAAAAAAATAAAAAAAATAAATAAAAATAATAGAAATACATGATAAGTCTTTATGCTAAAATATTCACTACATGAAAAACGTTTTGGAGACTGTCTCTGTATGATGCATTCTATTGTTCTGTTTGCCTATTCATTTACTTGGTTATTTCGTAAATATTTGTGAACTAGGAAAACAAATCCATGCTTGCTATAATAATAATTGTTTTATGGTACATTTGGATTAGTGGTAATGGAAGTAATTCCCACCTGGTCCATTATCCTTATTTTTAACTACTTTTTTTGTTGTTGTTGTTCTTGGTACCCATTTACTCTTCCAGATGAATTTTAGAATTATCTTCTCTAGTTTTGGTTAAATAATTCCACTGGAAATTTAAACTGGAGTTGCAATGAATTTATAGAGTAATCTGGGGGAAAATTGAGAGCTTTTCCGGAGTGTTCTTCCATTTTGAGAAGATGGCATAGGTCTCTCTGTTTATTCAGGTCTTCTTGTATGTTCTGGGTAAAGTTTATTCCTGGGTATTTCATAGCTTCAATTGCTATCACGAATTAGATAATTTTTTTCTAACATTTTAAAATTGTTTTTGCTTGGTAAAAAAGAAAACTATTGATTTTTGTATATTTTTCTTTTGGCCATCTTACTGAACCTGCTGATGTGATCTAAATGGCTTCAGTTGAATCTTTGACTTTTCTAACTAGACAATAATGTAATCTGCATGTAGTGATGATTTTGCTCTTTTTGTAGTATTTATATCTCATTTCTTTTCTTAGACTAACTCTTTTATTTGATTCTTGCTTCTTTTTATTTACCTTTTTATAGCTTTATTGATGAACAATTGACAATACAATAAACTACACATATTTAAAATGTACAATTTGATAAGTTTTCACATATGAACATATCCTCAAAGCCATCAAGTCAAGATAATGAACATATTTATCACCCCAAAAGTTTCCCCATGCCCCTTTGCTCCCCCAACTCTCCCCTCATCTCTAGGCAACCATTGATCTGTTTTCCATCCCTATAGATTAGTTTGCATTTTCTTGATGCAGTCATACAGTAGATACTCCTCTTTTTCATTTTTCTTCTTTCATCCAGCATAATAATTTTTTATTATGTGGCCGGGTGCAGTGGCTCATGCTTGTAATCCTAGCACTTCGGGAGGCCGAGGTGGGGGCATCACTTGAGGTCAGGAGTTCGTGACCAGCCTGGCCAACATGGTGAAACCCCGTCTCTACTAAAAATACAAAAATTAACGGGGCGTGGTGGTGCATGCCTGTAATCCCAGCTACTCAGGAGGCTGAGGCAGGAGAATCGCTTGAACCCAGGAGGCAGAGTTTGCAGTGAGCCGAAATTGCACCACTGCACTCCAGCCTGGGCAACAGAGCAAGACTCCGTCTCAAAATAAAACAAAACAAATTAGCTGGGCTTGGTGGCAGGCACCTGTGGTCCCAGCTACTCGGGAGGCTGAGGCAGAATTGCTTGAAGACAGGAAGTGGAGGTTGCAGTGAGCTGAGATTGCGTCACTGCACGCTAGCTTGGGCAACAGAGCGAGACTCTGTCTCAAAACAAAAACAAAAACAAAAAACAAACAAACAAACAAAAAAAACCCCCGCCAAACTAATTTCCAAAGTGGTCGTACCATATTACATACCCACCAGCAGCGTATGAGTTTCATTTTCTCCTCATTCTCACCAGCGCTTGATACTGTGGTATTCCAATAGTGATGTCTCATTGTGAAACCACAATTTGCATTTCTCTAATGACTAGTGATGGGTCTCTTTCCATATCCATCTGCATATCTTCTTCTTTGTTGAAGTATCCAAAATCTTGCGCTTTTTTTTTTTTTCCTGAAACAGGATCTTGCTCTGTTGCCCAGATTGGAGTGCAGTGGTGCAATCGTGGCTCACTGCAGCCTTGACTTCCAAGGGATCCTTCCACCTCAGCCTCTCAAGTAGCTGGGACTACAGGCGCGAGCCACAGTGGTCAGCGGTCAGCTAGTTTTTTAAACTTTTTTTTTTTTTTTTTTTTTTGAGACAGACTACTGCTCTGTCACCCAGGCTGGAGTGCAGTGGAGCGATCTCAGCTCACTGCAACCTCCGCCTCCCGGGTTCAAGCAATTCTCCTGCCTCAGCCTCCCCAGTAGCTGGGATTATAGGCGCTTGCCACCATGTCCGGCTAATTTTTGTATTTTTTTTTAGTAGAGACGGGGTTTCACCACGTTGACCAGGCTGGTCTCGAACTCCTGACCTCAGGTGATCCACCTGCCTCAGCCTCCCAAAGTGCTAGGATTACAAGCATGAGCCACCGCGCCCAGCTTAAACATTTTTTGTAGAGACAGGGTTTCATTATGTTGCTTAGGCTGGTCTCTAACTTCTGGGCTCAAGCAATCCTTCTGCCTTGGCTTCCCAAAATGCTGGGATTACAGGTGCGAGTACCGTGCCCGGCTCTTGTGCCCATTTTATTTATTTATTTATTTATTTATTTATTTATTTATTTATTTGAGAAGGAGTCTCACTGTGTCACCCAGGCTGGAGTGCAGTGGCACGATCTCGGCAACCTCTGCCTCCCAGGTTCAAGCGATTCTCCTGCCTCAGCCTCCAGAGTGTTTAGGACTACAAGCGCACACCACCACGCCCAGCTAATTTTTGTATTTTTAGTAGAGACAGGGTGTCGCCATGTTGACCAGACTAGTCTTAAACTCCTGACCTCGGGTGATCCACCTGCCTTGGCTTCCCCAAGTGCTGGGATTACAGGCGTGAGCCATTGCCCCTGCCTCCGTGTGCCCATTTTAAATATTGGGTTGTTTGTTTTCTTATTATTGGGATTTTAGAGTTCTTTATATATCCTGGATAAAAGTCCTTTATCCATATATGCTTGCAAATATTCTTTCCCAGTCTGGCTTGCTTTTTTATTCTCTTTTTTTTTTTTTGAGACCGAGTCTCGCTCTGTTGCCCAGGCTGGAGTGCAGTGGCGTGATCTTGGCTCACTGCAATCTCTGTCTCCCGAGTTCAAGTGATTCTCCTGCCTCAGCCTCCCAAGTAGCTAGGATTACAGTCACCCACCATCATGCCCGGCTAATTTTTGTGTTTTTGTAGAGATGGGGTTTCACCATGTTGGCCAGGCTGGTCTTGAACTCCTGACCTCAGGTTATCTGCCCGCCTCGGCTTCCCAAAGTGCTGGGATTACAGGCGTGACCCACCGCACCCAACCTTTTCTTTTTTCTTTTTATTTTTTTTTTAGGCAAGGTTTTGTTCTTGCACCCAAGCTGGAGTGTAATGGTGTGATTGTAGCTCACTGCAGCCTTGAACTTCTGGGCTCAAGTAATCCTCCTGCTTCAGCCTCCCGAGTAGCTAGGACTACAGGTGCGTGCCACAACAACCAGCTAACTTACTGTTTATTTATATTTTCTTTGAGACAGGATCTCGCTCTGTTGTCCATGCTGGAGTGCAGCACCATGACCACAGCTCACTGCAGCCTACTTCCTGGGCTCAAGCGATCCTCCCGCCTCAGCTTCCCAAGTAGCTGGGACCACAGCTGCATGCTACCATGACTGGCTAATTTTTGTATTTTTGGTAGAGACAGGGTTTCACCATGTTGCCTAGGCTGGCTTCAGACTCCTGAGCTCAAGTGACCCAACTGCCTTGGCCTCCCAAAATGCTAGGATTACAGGCGTGAGCCACTGCACCTGGCGAAAAGACAGTCTTTCTTCCACTAGATTGCCTTTACATCTTTGTTGAAAATCAGTTGAACATATGTGCATGGATCTGTTTACAAGCCTTGATCTATTTGCCCATCTTGATGCCAATATGACACTGTCTTGATTGTGCCGTCGCTTTATAATCATCTTAAAGTTAGATAGTGTAAGTCCTCCAATTTTTCCCCTTCTTTTCCAAAATTGTTCTGACTATTCTAAATCCCTTGTGCTTTTCTTCTTTGTCTTTCTTTCTTTCTTTTATTTTTTGAAACAGAGTCTCGCTCTATCGCCCAGGCTGGAGTGCAGTGGCGTGATGTCGGCTCACTGCAACCTCCACCTCCCGGGTTCAAGTGATTCTCCTGCCTCAGCCCTCCTGAGTAGTTGGGATTACAGGCATGTGCCACTGTTCTGGCTAAGTTTTGTATTTTTAGTAGAGAGGGGATTTCACCATGTTGCCCAGGCTGGTCTTGAACTTCTGACCTCAGGCGATCCGCCAGTCTTGGCCTCCCAAAGTACTGAGATTACAGGCGTGAGCCACTGCGCCCAGCTTCCATCAGATTTTCTACATAGAAATTCATGCCATCTGTGAATAATGATCATTTTGCTGCCGCCTTTCAAATCTGATGTCTTTTTCCCTTTCTTGCACTGGCTGAACTACAACACTGACTAGGGATGATATTCAGGTCTTTAATTCCTCTAAGCAAATTTCATAGTTTCTGGTATCAAGTCTTGTATATCCTTTGTCAGACTTATCCCTAAATATTTCATATTTTTTGGATGCTACTATACAGAGTTTTTTTTTTTTTAATTTCAATTTCCAATAGTTCACTTGCTAGTATATAGAAATGTAATCGATTTTTATATATTGATCTTATCTCCTACAATCTTGTTAAACTTACTTATTAGTTGTAATAGCCATTTAACAAATTCCATCAGATTTTTTACATAGAAATTCATGCCATCTGTAAATAATGATCATTTTGCTGCTGCCTTTCAAATCTGATGTCTTTTCCCCTTTCTTGCACTGGCTGAACTACAGTGCTGACTAGGGATGATGGGGGTGGACATCCCTGCCTTATTCCCATGCTGAGACACAAGTCTAGGGCTCTTCGGGGAAAATTCACTCTCTTAGTGGAGCCCTCTATGATGTCATAGATTCCTTCTCTGTTAGGTTGTGCTATCAGTAAATCAAGCCTGTTTTAAAACCCCAGGATATTTTTTTGTGTCATTTCAAAGGGATTGTCCAGGATGGAGGGGCAAACATACGTGTTAAGGGTAACCATCTTGAATCAGAAGTCTAAATGTTAGGGTTTTGTCAGGGAAGTGTAACCCCAAAATACAGAGTGTGGGGAGTTAAGATGATCTGACAAACCAGGGACTCTGGGCTGACAAGAGAAGAAAGAGTGGGCCGGGTGCGGTGGCTCACGCCTGTAATCCCAGCACTTTGGGAGGCTGAGGCAGGTGGATCATTTGAGGTCAGGAGTTCGAGACGAGCCTGGCCAACATGGTGAAACCCTGTCTCTACTAAAAATACAAAAATTATCCGGGTGGTAGTGGCGCATGCCTGTAATCCCAGCTACTTGGGAGGCTGAGGCAGGAAAATTGCTTGAGCCTAGGAGGCGGAGATTGCAGTGAGCCAAGATCTCGCCACTGCACTCCAGTCTCGGTGACAGAGTGAGACCCTGCCTCATTAAAAAGAAAAAAAAAAGAGTGAAGGCAGAAGGGAACTGATGGATGGGGAATGCACCTCTGGATCAGTTGGTGGGAGATTGAAGAACGGTTGTATGACGAATAGTTGAATAGAGGGAGTGGACGATGCTCCAGAGAGGAAAATATGAGCACATACAGATGGTAACAGTGTCTAGATGGAAACAAGGCTATGGGTACAGTGGAAAGTGATCAGGCATGTGAAGGTCACAGCACTGAGAGGCTGAGGCTTTGAAGTTACCCAGGATATGCTAGGAATTGGGATGTCAAAAGGCTTCAACAAATAGAGGCAGTATTGCGAGTTCAATGGACAAGGCCACTGTAGGTGGCACGGTGAGGGTGGCACAGATGGATAGAGCAGAGGCTTTTGCAAGAAAGTAACAGAATGATGTTTTGGAAACAGCGATGGGGACCTAGGAAGGGCCTGATCCCACCTCCCAACGGTGGCCCCACTTCCTGACCCTGAGGTTGGGGGTGAAGGAGACTGAGCAGCAGCTGTTCCTGAAAGGGACAATGTGAGCCGCAACAGCCATGGGGAGGTGCCAGACTCTTTCTCCCCAGTCCTGGGGTCCCAGATCCCCTGCCTCTGGTTACACTTGGGGACTGGAGTCCAGCCACGGCCTGGAAGTTGGACACACAGTCCAGGGATTCAGAGCCAAGTGTTTCCATCAATCTGGAAGTAAAGAAGAGAGGGGCTTTGGATGCCTCAGGCAAGTCACTTCACTTTTCTGAGCCTCAGTTTTATCAACTCTAAAATGGGGTTTTATACTCGCAGATGGAACTAAATAAAATAATATCCTAAGTGCTTAAGAATTACCCCAACTATGATTATTTTATGTTCCTAGAGCTAGACCTTGATTTCCTTGTCTTTCTGTGAGGAGCTCCTTGATTTTGGCCAGAAGTGCAGCCCAACCCTTGGAAGTAAGGAGTTGGAGCCCGACGCTCAGGGCAGCATCAGGGCCTCAAAGGTGTCCCCTGAACACCAGCCCTTACAGCCTCCGACAGGATGCTTGCGTCGGATTCAGGGCTGGGCCTGGACGGGGGCTGGGCAGCTGTGAGTCTGCAACAGGACAAGGAGCAGAGCTGTGGGTCCTGGAAGGGAGGGAACAGAAGGCAAAGCGTGCACCCGTCTGCCTGACCCAGATGTGGCCAAAAACAGAGCAGGGTTGGGAAGGGCTTTGCTGGTCTCACAGGGGTTGGAACAGGGCTGCTCACCACAGAGGCTGGCAGTGATAGTAATACATAGCGGCTACACAGTGGGGAGCTTCTTCCGCCTTCTTCCCAATTTCTAGATCCACACGTAGAGCACACCAGAGAGACTTGCTCAAGCTCCCACAGCCAGAAGGTGGGACTCAGTGGGAGCATTTATGGGGCACATTCCCTGTGCCTCTGGCCCATTCTCCTCTCAATCCTCATCTTAATATCCACTTTGGAAGAGCAGATTATTTCTGTTTCTGGTTGTGCCCCAACCACTGAAAGATGATCTTGCTCCTAGTAGTTGCTCAATAAATATTTGTTGAGTGTTGAGTGCATACCAGTCACTGTGCTGAGTGACTTGTACCTGTGCACTCTCACTAACCCTCCCAGGCCCATTTTACAGATGAAGAAACTGGGAAACACAGAGGCTGAGCGCTCTCAAACATGCCAGATGCCCCCTCCCGACCAAATAAACTGCCAGAGACACAGGGCTGAAAGGCAGAGTGGGTAGGTGTGAGAAGGGATCTGGCTCTGAATTCTGCCTACGTCACAAATTAACTTGTGTCGTCGGGCAAGTCACTTGATGCTTCTGAACCTGTTTCTTTTTGTTTTGTTTTGTTTTAGAGACAGAGTCTCACTCTGTCACCCAGGCTGGGCAGTGGCACGATATCGGCTCACTGCAACGTCCACCTCTGGGTTCAGGTGATTCTCCTGCCTCAGCCTCCTAAGTAGCTGGGATTACAGGCACCACCACACCCAGCTAATTTTTGTATTTTTAGGAGATATGGGGTCTCACTATGTTGGCCAGACTGGTCTTGAACTCCTGGTCTCAAGTGATCTGCCCACCTTGGCCTCTCAAAATGCTGGGGTTACAGGTATGAGCCATTGCTCGGCCTCAGTTTCTTTATCTGAGTGTAGTTAGGGTTGTGGGGTTGCCATGGGGCCCTGGAGCCCTGGATCTGGGTAGAGACAGTGAGAGGGGGTAAAGGTTGGGGCCCTTCTTTGGAAGGGAGTCGTGGCTCTGTTCTGGGAGGTGGTAAGAGATGAAGGGGATAGGGCCAGGCACGGTGGCTCACACCTGTAATCCCAGCACTTTGGGAGGCTGAGGCGGGTGGATCACAAGGTCAGGAGATCGAGACCATCCTGGCCAACATGGTGAAACCCTGTCTCCACTAAAGATACAAAAAATTAGCCGGGCATGGAGGCGGGCGCCTGTAGTCCCAGCTACTCGGGAGGCTGAGGCAGGAAAATGGCGTGAACCTGGGAGGCGGAGCTTGCCGTGCGCCGAGATTGTGCCACTGCACTCCAGCCTGGGCAACAGAGCAAGACTCCGTCTCAAAAACAAACAAACAAACAAAAAAGAGATGAAGGGAATGTACTGGGCTCTGGAGACACATGGATCCAAATTCTTATGCCACTTACAAACTGTGGGACTTTGGGGATGGGACCCGAACTTCCTGAGCTTCTGTTTCCACATCAATAGAAAGGAGGGAAGCATGTGCACCACTTGGCCTTGTTGTAAGGTTAAATAAGGCCATGCTGCCAAGTGCCTATAGCAGGTGGTGCTTAGTAAACAAAAGCATGTGGGTGTCCCCTGGGCCAGCCTTTCCAGGTGAATCCCCTGAAATGCATCCCTGACCTGACCTTGGTCCCCTTGAGCTAGTAAGCCTCTATCATCTCTATCTCTCTCTCTCTCTCTCTCTTTTTTTTTTTTTAAGACAGGGTCTTGCTCTGTTGCTCAGGCTAGAGTGCAGTGGTATGATCATGGTTCACTGCAGCCTTGGCCTCTTGGGCTCAAGTGATACCCCCACCTCAGCCTCCCGAGTAGCTGAGACCACCATGCCTGGCTAATTCTTGCATTTTATTTTGTAGAGATGGGATTTTGCTATGTTGTCCAGGCTGTTCTCAAATTCCTGGGCTCAAGTCATCTGCCCGCCTTGGCCTCCCAGAGTGCTGGGATCACAGGCGTGAGCCACCTCACCTGGCTGTCACTAATACTTTTACAAGGAATTTATTTCTTACATTGGCCTCTCTCCCCAGTCAGGAGAGGTTACCCTGCTAGTGGACTGGAGAAGGATGTGGTCAGGGTGTCTGGTGTCCAGAAGGGACACTCACTCAACCTCTGCATCCCTGCCCCTCCCAAGTTGACTCCTTCCTGCCCATAGCTACATGTTCTTCCTGAATCACATCACTTAAAAGCCTCCGTGGGCACCTGCAGGGCCCACCTGAAGCTCCTTAGCTGGGCATCCACCATTCACAGCTCCTCCAACGCTAGCCTGCCACCTCCCAGCCTCTCCTGCTGCCACTCCCTGGGCAGCCCTCTACCCCCAAGCCATACCAGCTCCCGCACGCTGGCCCCGGCGCGCTGGCCCCAGCTTTCTCAACATTCTCCCTTGGCCAGAGACACCCTCCTCCTCTTTTCCACTCAGCAAAACCCTGCTTTGCTTTCAAGGCCCAACTCAGATGTCAGCCACCTCTGTCATAAAGCTTTTCCAGATCCCTTTCCCTGAGGACTGATTGCTCCTTCCTCAGTGCCCCACCCACAGGCTGGGAGGGCACACTGTCGCAGGGCAGTGGAATGGTGTCTGTAGGTCCCAGCTGTTCTGCTCCCGCTGCTCTGGGAAGAGGACAGACACAGCTGGTCTCCTGTCCCGCCCTACCCTGACTGCTGGATGCCTGGCCCTTCAGAGTCCCCTGTGTACGTCCCCAGCCCCCATCTGGGCTCTGAGCCCCAGAGGTAGCAGGTGTATTCCTCATCCGGCAGGAAGCCTCTGGCTCCACCCCGGTAGGCTGTGTGCGAAGCTATAGTACAGATGGGGTTGTTGAAAATATCCGTGACATATTCCAAACTGGCCTACTTTCCTATCACGAGAGTCTGAGACGGAGACGGGCGAGGACAAGTGAGATGGAAGTTTGGGACCTGTTCCCACCTCCTTCCTCCCTCAGTTCAGTTGTTAGGAGAGGGATTTGCAGCCTCTCCCCGCGGTCCCTGCCCTGTTCTGGGGCTGTGTGGCTGGGGTGTTGGTGGAGAGGGTGGCATGGGGGTGTGGGGGTGCAGAAGGCCTAAGGAAGTTCACAGAGCCACCAAGAAAGGAGGCCTGGGTCCTATCTGGGAAGCTTCTGGCCCCAAGAGGCAGGGCAGTGGGGGTCATCTCACTGGACTGAAGAACTGAGGGTCTGGGCTCAAGTCCTGGCTCACCTGTGAGGCCTCAAACAAGTTTCTTAACTTCTCTGGGCTTCAGTTTTCTCATCAGGAAAACAGGTTATTCGTAATCCTGGCTTGCCTCCTTGAAGCCTTGATTATGGGGTTGCTTTGAAGACTCTAAAGCTCTGGACCCTGCCTTAATAATCCGTTTCTCAGCCTCTCCCTGTCGGCGAGGCTCTGCCCTTGCATGGCAGCTTAAGTGGTCACCTGCTCCGGTCCTCTGCCTCCCAGCAGGCCTGGCTGGGCCTCCACCCTTAATCCTGGTTGAATGATCTCTGAATAGGAAGTCACCCAGCATCCTCCCCCTGGTGCCAGGCCTTCATCATCCCTCCTGCACTGCCAGGAGGTTCACACTCAGAGCTAATTTCAGTCTCTCTTGCTGACATGAAACCCCTAGAGTGTTCCCTGGCTTGTCTCCTCCTTCACACACACGGTGATCATTATTTTAGTTTCTCCCTTTTCAGATGAAACATGCCCTCCTTCCCTCTCTTTCTCAAGGTGGGCAGAATTCTTGAGGCATTTTTCTAACTCTGATGAAGCTGAACTGCTTCTTCTTCCTTCTTCTTCTTCTTCTTTTTTTTTTTTTTTTTTTTTTTTTTTTGAGACAAGGTCGCACTCTATTGCCCAGGCTGGAGTGCAGTGGTGTAATCATGGCTCACTGCAGTGTCCACCTCCTGGGCTCAAGTGACCCTACTGTCTCAGCCCCTTGAATAGCTGGGACTACGGGTGTGCACCATCACACCTGGCTAATTCGCATAAATAGAAAAATGTGGCCAAATCGAGGAAGATTGGTTGCTATGGATCCACTAATCAGGGCAAAACTAGAAATAATGATTCATTTGAAACACTTATGGGCTTGGCGCAGTGGCTCAGGTCTGTAATCCCAGCACTTTGGAAGGCCAAAGCGGTTGGATCACCTGAGATCAGGAGTTTGAGACCAGCCTGGCCAATGTGGTGAAACCATCTCTACTAAAAATACAAAAATTAGCTGGGTGTAGTGGTGGGCACCTGTCATCCCAGTTACTCAGGAAGCTGAGGCAGGAGAATCACTTGAACCTGGGAGGTGGAGGTCGCAGTGAGCCAAGATTGGGACATTGCACTCCAGCCTGGGCGACAGAGCAACACTGTCTCAAAAAATAAAATAAAATAAAAAATAAGCAAAATGTATTATTTTACTTTCTTTTTTCTTTCCTTTTTTTCTTGATAGTCTCAGTCTGTCGTCTAGGCTAGAGTGCAGTGGCATGATCTCGGCTCACTGCAACCTCTGCCTCCCAGGCTCAAGTGATCCTCCCACCTCAGCCTCCTGGGTAGCTGGGACTACAGGCATGTGCCACCATGCCCAACTAATTTTTTGTATTTTTAATAGAGACAGCGTTGGCCGGGTGCAGTCGCTCACATCTGTAATCCCAGCACTTTGGGAGGCCCAGGTGGGTGGATCACGAGGTCAGGAGTTCAAGACCAGCCTGACCAACATGGTGAAACCCCGTCTCTACTAAAAATACAAAAATTAGCCGGGCGTGGTGGCACATGCCTGTAATCCCAGCTACTCAGGAGGTTGAGGCAGGAGAATCGCTCGAAACCGGGAGGCAGAGGTTGCAGTGAGCTGAGATTGTGCTACTGCACTCCAGCCTGGGTGACAGAGCAAGACTCTGTCTCAAAAAAAAAAGAGAGAGACAGGGTTTTGCCACGTTGCCCAGGCTGATCTGGAACTCCTGGGCTCAAGCATCTGCCTGCCTCGGCCTCCCAAAGTGCTGGGATTACAGGCATGAGCCACCACGCCCTGCCAGTATTTTTTTACAGTGTTTTTTTTTTCGTTTTGTTTTTGTTTTTTGAGACGGAGTCTCGCTCTGTTGCCAGGCTGGAGTGCAGTGGCGCAATCTCGGCTCAATGCTTAATGCAACCTCTGCCTCTCAGGTTCAAGCGATTCCCCTGCCTCAACCTCCTAAGTAGCTGGGACTACAGGTACGCGCCACCACGCCCAACTAATTTTTGTATTTTTAATGGAGATGGGGTTTCACCATGTTGGCCAGGATGGTCTGGATCTCTTGATTTCATGATCTGCCTACCTCAGCCTCCCAAAGTGTTGGGATTACAGGTGTGAGCCACCGCACCCAGCCTTTTTTTACAGTTCTTAACATGTCAAGATGTCACTAATTTTTGGTCCCAGTCATATACCAGCAGTTATTGCTGAGAGGGTCGGATCTCCCAGGTGATGAGGTGAAGTCAGGAGTGGGGCAGGGAGTGGGATGGAGTCCTTGCTGAGGGGAGCTCAGAGGGGCCAGCACAGAAGATGGGTGGACACAAAGGAGCAACCACAGGAGAGGCCAGGGGAGTGGGGTACAAATCAGGATAGCAATGCCCAGAATCCATGCAGCGAGGTGCTGGACATCCCAGAGCGGGAGAGGCCAGGAGGCACCGGCAGAGAGGACCACAGCTCTGCCTTGGCTAGGAAGAGACAGACGGCCACAAAGAAAGCTACATGGGTGTTAGGAAAGCCCAGGGGAGTGCAAAGTTCAGCTAGAATATGTTTGTGTGTTTGCTTATGTGTGTAAGGAAGGAAGGGGGTGGAATTTGGAAAGGCTTTACTGAGGAAATGGAATTTGAGCTGGGCTTTGAGGCCAGAATCAGGTGTCAACAGGTGCAGAGGAAGGAAAGGACAACCCCATGGGGGAGGGGAACAGTATAGGCAAAGACATGGAGTGTGAAGGGAAGATTGTGTGTGTGTGTGTGTGGGTGTGTGTGTGTTGTGGGAGGTAGCCAGAAATAAGGCTGGAAAGATTAGAGGATGGGGTCGTGGAGGGCCTGGAATGCCAGCCTGAATTTATTGAGTAGGTCAGCAGTGAAAGGGTCCTTAGGGTAGTGTTTCTCAAACTCTGTAATGAAGGACTACCCCCGCCTTTTAAAAAAATTTCCAATTGATTGCATACCCATATTTTTGTAAAATACAGTAAAAGTGGTCATGTGCCTAGATGTACAGGCAATCGCTATAAAGGTTTCTCAGTGCTTACTCTCCATTTCTGTATTCTTGTGAACCAGTGGCTGGCACTGGTCTATGGACCACACTTTGAGTAGCTCTGCCTTAGAGGTCCTTGGATGGGCTGCAGAGGTCAAAGAGGCCCACTCATTTCTTGTACATGGGCACATTTATTTATTTACAGAGAATGCAAAATTCTTGTTAGGACCTCAAAGGGTTCAGGTTCCTATAATCCCTTGGTGTGAGAATGGGGAGCCATGGAAGATCTTTGAGCAGAAGGGGCTATAGGAAGCTTTGGAGCAGGGAGGAGCAGTGAACAGCCTGATTCACCCTGGAACTCCTCCCCACTCTGCTGCACCCTGAGCAGGCAGCCCAGGGCCTGGCATGTGGGGAGAGTGCTGTGGGGAATGTGAGATTCCAGAGAGCAGGAGGTTCACTTAAGGGGTGATGAAAACAATCTGTGGTAGGCCTGTACTCCCAGCACTTTGGGAGGTCGAAGTGGGCAGATCACTTGAGGTCAGGAGTTCAAGACCAGCCTGGCCAACGTGGTGAAACCCCATCTCTACTAAAAATACAAAAATTAGCCGGGCGTGGTGGCACGTGCCTGTAATCCCAGTTACTCAGGAGGCTGAGGCAGGAGAATCACTTGAACTCGGGAGGCAGAGGTTGCAGTGAGCCAAGATCGCATCACTGCACTTACTAAAAAAAAAAAAAAAATTGTGGTAAAGAAAACTAGAGGGCTTTGAAGGCTATGTTCGGAGCAAAGGATCAGAGAGGGGTGGACCTGCCACTGGGGCAGATGGCACGATGTTAGCTGAAGATGCGAAGCACAGATCAACTGTCTGCCACCTGCTTGGGAGGCAGGAACCTGAAAGGGAGGCCCCCATGGAGTGAGGGCTAGGCAGAGGAAGAGGCTTCGGGGAGCAGCCTGGGGCCAGAAAACATCTCAAGGTCCTACGAGCATCCTCTGAGAGTCCTCAGAGCAGTGCCCAGTGTTCCAGCACACCGGGAAAGGCTGTGACTCATGTGGGCACAAGCTCTTTTGTTCCAAAGAAGATAAGCTGAACTTTTCAGATGGTTCTACTCATTGAATTCCCTGGCAGACTCCTACTTTCATTATTACTTTGTTTTCTGAGGCGAGATTTGCATAGTATATTAATAAAACTAACCATTATAAAGTGAACAACTCAGTGGCATTTAGTGCTTTCATAATACTGTGCAACCATCAACTCTATATAGTTCCAGCACGTTTTCATCATCCCAAATGGAAACCTCATACCCATTAACAGTTGCTCCCTGTTCTCCCGTCTCTCCAGGCAAATCTCTGTGGATTTACCTATTCTGAATATTTCATATAAATGGAATCACACAATATATGACTTTTAATGACTGGCTTCTTTCACTTAACATGATATTTTGGTGGGGACTGGGGATTTTTTTGTAAAGATAGGGGCTTGCTACATTGCCCAGGCTGGCCTCGAACGCCTGGCCTCAAGGAATTATCCTGCCTTGGCCTCTCATAGCACTGGGATTACAGGCCTGAGCCACGGTGCCCAGCCAGCATGATGTTTTTGAGGTTCATCCATGTTGAAGCATGTATTAGTACTTCATTCCTTTTTATGGATGAATAGTATTCCATTGTATGGATATACCACAATTTGTGTATCCATTCATCCACTGAAGGACATTTGGGCTGTTGGATCATAGGGTCATTCTATGTTTAAAGAACTGCCAAACTGCTTTCCATAGCTGCTGAACCATTTCACATTCCCATCAGCAATGCACGAGAGTTCTTCCTACTTTCATCATTAACTAGGGGATTGCTATAACCTTGGAAGGCAAGGAGATGGTTACTAGGTGCTAGCAGGGGTAAAACGGATCAGGATAGTACCGGCTCCATGCCCTGCACCTTCTACCACAGTCTTCTAAGGCTGGTTGGCAGGCCTGGGAAGGCAGCTAGCTGGAGGTGGAAGGAGTCTTCCATTTTTTTCCCCAAGACATGTGAATCAGATGGTGAAATCTAGAGCCTTAAAGTCAAGCTGGGTGTGGCCCTGCAGGAGTTGGGCTTGTGGTCTACCTGGGCCTCAGTGGCTCATAATATGTCCTGTTAAGGACAGATACAGACTGTACCTTCCTTCTCCTCCTCCCTGCCCTGGCCTCATCTTTCTTGTCTTTTCCCTTTCCCTGTCAAAGGCCTTCTTTCACTCTTTCCATCTCTCCATACATCCCTCCCTCTCTTCTTCTCTCTTTCCTCCCCTCCCTCCCTCCTGCTTCCCCTCTTCTTCCCTTTTCTTCTGTTTTTCTCCACCTCTCATCTTCTCTTCATCCCAATTCTGTTTGCCCCCTCCCCTCACCCTCCATCTCTTCACTCCAGCTCCAGTCTCCTGTCTCCCTCCTCCCCCAACTAGAGCACTAAGGTTGCAGTTCACTCACCCACCCACCCGGGCAATTCTTTTTTGTTTGTTTGTTTTTTGAGAAAAAGTCTTGCTCTGTCACCCAGGCTGGAGTGCAGTGGTGTGATCTCGGCTCACTGTAACCTCCGCCTCCTGAGTTCAAGTGATTCTCGTGCCTCAGCCTCCCGAGTAGCTAGGCTTACAGGCGCGTGCCACCACGCCCGGCTAATATTTGTATTTTTAGTAGAGATGGCGTTTCTCCATGTTGACCAGGCTGGTCTCAACTCCTGACCTCAGGTGATCCACCTGCCTTGGCCTCCCAAAGTGCTGGGATTACAGCGTGAGCCACCTCGCCTAGCATGAGCCACCTCGCCCGGCCCCACCCCGACAATTCCTTTTTTTTTTTTTTTTTGAGATGGAGTTTCACTTTTGTTGCCCAAGCTGGAGTGCAATGGCGCGATCTCAGCTCACTGCAACCTCTGCCTCCCAGGTTCAAGTGATTCTCCTGCCTCAGCCTCCCAAGTAGTTGGGATTACAGGCACCTGACACCATGCCCAACTAATTTTTTGTATTTTTAGTAGAAACAGGGTTTCACCATATTAGCCGGTCTGGTCTCGAACTTCTGACCTCAGGTGATCCGCCTGCCTGGGCTTCCCAAAGTGCTGGGATTACAGGGGTGAGCACCGCATCCGGCCCCATCCCGACAATTCTTATGCCTAAGGGACCAAGTGGGAAGGGAGGAGGTGGGGAGCTGCAGGCATGCTTATGGACTGTAGCCACAAGCCCCTCTCCCCACTTAGGCCCTGGGAGGTCACCCAGAGTGAGGTGGGTGCTAGGAACCCTCTCCCTTGCGGTTATTCTCCCCTCCTACAGAGAAAGGAGATCCACTGGCATCAGCAGCACCGAGCATGGACCTGGCACACAGCAGGGGATCAGGGATCCAGTTCCGGTCTCCAGTTTGGGCAACAAAAGTGAAACTCCATCTCAAAAAAAAAAAAAGAATTGTCAGGGTGGGGCCGGGCACGGTGGCTCACGCCTATAATCCCAGCACTTTGGGATGCTGAGGCGGGTGGATCACCTGAGGTCAGGAGTTCGAGACCAGCCTGGCCAACATGGTGAAACCCGGTCTCTACTAAAAATACAAAAATTAGCTGGGCATTGTGGTGGGTGCCTATAATCCCAGCTACTCGGGAGACTGAGGCAGGAGAATCGCTTCAGCCCGGGAGGCAGAGGTTGCAGTGAGCCGAGATCGAGCCACTGAACTCCAGCCTGGGTGACAGAGTGAGATTCTATCTCAAAAAAAAAGAGAAAAGAAAAGAAAAAAGAAATGCGAATTCTCAGGCCCCTCCTCAAATCTGTTGAATCTGAGACCTTGAGGGGAGGGGAGCAATCGCTGGTTTAACATGCCCTCCAGGCAACTGGGCTTTTCCAATTACTTTCAGAGCCACTGCCCTACCACAGGGGGAGCCCTGGCTTAATGAGGGGGGCAAGGTGCCTGACTCAAGGAGCTCCCAGTCTGATGGGACAGATGGAACCCTTGCCATCTGACAGGGAAGACAGCCTTGTGCTCAGGAAATTCCCACTGGGAGGGGAACACCTCGGCTTTTCACTCCAAGCCCCTACGCTGGTCCCTCCCTGCCAGAAGCAACGGGATAAGGTTCTCTGGAGGAGGCTGGCTACGGCTCCGACCCCAGAGAACCTGCCTCCACTTTCTGTCTCCATTCTTCAGAAAGCGGGTTTGATGTGCTAATGAGGGCATCAGTTAGGGAGCATCATTAGCATTCATTACAATAACAAGCAGGGAAGCGGGGAGGGTCTTTAGAAATTTACTGCCACTCACTCCTCTCCTATGGAGTGGGAGGAGGAGCAGGAGGGTGAGGAATGTGAGAAGGGAGGCTTAGGGGCTCTGGGAGACCAGGCTGTGTTCAGAAAGCCCCAGAAGCAGGCCTGGGGCAGCGGGAAGCACCCTCCTCCTCCTTGGCTCCTCCCCCACCCCTCTTGTGCCCCAGGTGCTAGGTCACTGCCCCTGGTTACTTGACCCAGAATAGGACCAGGTCCCCAGGCCCTCACTGTCTGCAGGCCACCCTTAGTGGAATGTGGATGGTTCCTTGGGGTCTCATGAAATGCCTGGCCAGACAACAGCCCCATGGACCGGGGGCTTTCTCAAGGATACTGGGCTGGGGGTGCTCCAAAGCAGCAGAGTGACCAGTTTGGGGTGTCCCAGCCATTATTTCCACGTCACCTTTTCCCTGTGCCTTCTCCTAGAGGCCCAGATGCCCTTCTCTGCCCACCCCAAGGCCCATCTCCCTTTGCCTGCCCAGATGTTTGTCCAGATGCAACCCCTGTTCCTATTGCATCTTGGGGAAGGAGAGGCAGGGCTGAGAATTCTCTCCTCTAGGGTGCACCCCCATAACCTCTCTCTCGCAAGCTCCCAGGAACAGGTGAGGGCTGGGTGGGATGTTTGGGGAGGCAAGGTGAGTGGTTAGGATCTGCTGTTCCAAGCCCCAAACATGCCAGCTGCCCCCTCCCCACCAAATACACTGCCAGAGGCACAGGAGAGGAGGACCAGAGGGAAGTTACCTGTTGAGGAATGAGAGCGGGGGCGGGGCGGCACCTGAGGCATCTCAGGTGGAGGCAGCTGGCAAATTGGTTGTGCCTGGGCACCATGCCAGCTTACAGGAGCAATTCTCATCTCTCAGCTGAAGTAATACCTGTGTTGCTTTTGCCCTGATCAGTGGAGATGGTGTCCCCAGCCTTCTCTCTCCACCAGGAACCCCTCCTTTTGAGACCTGGTGGGAGGAGGGAAAGGCACGTATTTTTCTTGGGGTCAATGAGGGGCGATGATGCCAGGCCATCTGTCCTCTGGCTCCACTTTCAGCCTTGGGACCTTGGGTTCTATTCAGGGAGCTGTATCCCTTCTCACCCCTCCAGGAGACCCATGGAGTCAGCTGGGCAGGGTGGGTGTGGACAAAGCATCTTTGGGGAAGAGAGGGCAGAAGGGTCTCAAATGAGCTGATAGCTATGAAGATGATCAGAAATGCTAAGGATTCATCATTAAAAGGTGAGCTATACAAATTAAAAATATTACATAAATCTGATTTAAGCTCCTCACTATGGAGGTGGCCTTCATGATGAGCGAGCTCACCTTAGGGCGGGTAAAAATGGATGCTTCGTTCTGCTGACACCTTTGGAACTGTTCCAATCCCTGGGGGCTGCATCACAGAACCTTTCCCACCCCACCCCAAGCCACTGGGGTTGGGCAGGCAAATCTCCACATGATGGCACAAGCATCTTTTCAATTGTCAACTAGAGGTAATGCCTCAGGTCACTCTCTCCACAATAGGACCAGATCCCTGTCTCCTTCCTGATTATGGCATGGCTATACATCTTAACTCTCAGCCACATTCCTGATCTCAGTTCTCTTCTAACGACTATATGGTTATGAGACTTTGTGTCCCAGGGGTTGTCCCTGCTGTGGCGACCCACAGGGTTATGAGATGATGGTGATAGAAGAAAGGCAGGGAGCTTTGACATAAGGCAGATGTGGGTTTGAATTTCAACTTTGCTGCTCTTACATTGGGCAATTGGCTATATCTCTCTGATAGGGGGTTGAAAATGCTCACTTCCATCAGGCTGTCGAAAGGGTAAAATTAGAGATTATGGTAGAGCACCTGCTAATTTTCTTCCCCTTAGGCACAAAGTGGGGGAGGGAAGAAATCTTGTCCCTTGGGGGGAATCTGAGTTGGGGGCAGGTGAAGGGCAGGAGTCCTGTGCAGTCAGTGGGTGAGGAATCTGAACGGAGGAGCGACCTGTGCCAGAGCTCTGGGCTCCCAGCCGCTTGGGAGGTGGTGTCCGTGTGCTGAGGGGAAGCTACCCTTGCCTCCCCTGAGCCTCCCCCACACAGAGCCTGCTGCCTCCCATGCCCATCCTGGGCAGGCAGCCAGGCAGGGCACTGGATGGATGCCCACTGTGCGCTCAGAGGCCAAAAGATGGGCACCATCCAGTTGGCAGAGGGAGAGGCAGTTGGCCCAGGAGGGAAGAAGTCAGGGTGCCTGCCGCTGGGGTCGTGTGCCCAGACTGTGTGTCCAGGACACAGCTCTTGGCTGTCCTCCTGATCTGTCCCACTGGAGCTGGGAAGGGCCTCTCCTCTGGTCCTGGCCCTGGCATCTGAGTTACTGCAATTGGTTATTTATCTCTAAGGGGAATCTGGGACCTTGTCCCTAGCTGGGCATGTGGTTGGCTCAGGGGCAGGCCTGGGGGTGGATAGGAAATTGGGAGAGCCCAGATTAAGGTTGCAACTGGGTAGACCAGGAAGTGGGGAAACCGGTTTGTCATTTGGGCCACTTGGGGTGGGGTCTCCTCTCCTGGGCTCTCTGCCTGCCTGCCACTCTGCCTGATGGCCCACAGTGAATAGAAGTACTGTGTCCACTCTCTTGCTCACCTAAACTGCTTTTGGAAACTCCAGAAGTAAATAAAAGGGACAGGGGACTCAGCCCACCTTCTCCTCCGCAAGAAAGCTTGAGAGAGAAGGGACTGGCCAGAGCATCGGAGCGAGGGAGGGAGGGGGCCGCTGGAATCACGAGGTGTCGGCGCGGGCCTGGGTCTGGGTCTGGGTCCGGGTCAGCGCTGGAGAAGTCTGCGGAGCCAACAGGTAGGCCAACGAAGGTGGGACGCGGAGGGGCGGGGGACGGCAGGGTGGAGCCGAGCTAGTGCTCTGCGGGCTGAAGTAGAGGCGGCAGTGACGCCGCCAAGCGAGGCGTGAGCAGGGACCGTCGCTGGAGCGTCCTACGGTGGGGTCTCACTGGCCGGAGGGGCGCGGACCTGCCTGCAGTTCCCGCGCACGCCTGCAGGAGGGGCTGCAACCCGGAGCGGGGGCGAGGCGGCGGCCCAGCAGGGGGCGCCGGGGAGCCCAGACCCTCCGACCGAGCCGCGTCTAGGCGCGCTGGGGTGAGGGGTCGCGAGGCAGAAGCAGAGGAGGATCCGGGCGCTCCCAGCATGGGGCGGCTGTTGGTTTCCGCGGTCACCTTGGCTGAAGGGAGCCCCCAGTCTCGCCGCCCCGCCTCCCCACCCAGCCCCGAGAGCCTTTCCATCCCTAGGCGCGCCCGGGCTTGGAGACCCAGGAGTCCTCCACCCTCCAAGTGTCCCCGCTTCCCCGGGTGCCTCCTCCGAGCCGGTCCTCGGTCAATGTATTTGTCTCTATCGTGGCGCGAAGACTACTTGGGGTGGGACGAAGCAGGTGGCGCGGGAAGGAGAGAGTGAGCGCGCCCCGCGCCCGGCCCCGGCCGCGCGCTGCGGGATCACGCGGTGAAGCTGGAGGGCGCGAGAAGGCGCAGTGCCCCCTCCCCTCCCCCGCCCCCGCCGCCCCGGGCGGCCCTTTGTAAGTTCCGGCCACACGCGCGCGCCCGCGCCGCGCGCGCGCCCGCCCGCAGTGACACACCCGCGCCGGCCCGCGCGCGCGCAGACACACACTCAAACACACACACACTCGCTCTCGCACACTCGGTGACACGCCCGCGCGCGCGCTCACCCACACGCCCGGCCGCCGGCGCCCTCCCAGCTGGTCCACCCCGGCGGGGCCCGCGCCCCCGGCCCGCCCGCCTGGCACCGCGCCCCGGGGCTGGGGCCGAGCGAGGAGCCCGCGAGGCGGCGAGAGGGCGAGCGCCAGGCAGGCCGGCCCGGGGCCCCCGCCCCCCGCGCCCCCGCCCGATGGGGAACGCTCCGTCCCAAGGCATGTCCCTGTCTCTCTCCTCCCTAATGTGCCTCCATGCTTAAGTGGAAGGTATTTCTGTTTTCTTTGTGTGTTTTCCCCCTCGGCCGGGGGCGGGGGCGGCGGCCGGGCCGGGGAGGCGGTGGCCGGCGGGGCGAGGGATGCTGGGGCGCAGGTGTGTGGGGGCAGGGGACCGCTGTGCGCCGGGCTTGGGAGAAGGACCCGGGCGAGAGGAGTGCTGGGACCAGAGAAGGGGGCAGGGTGGCGAGGCAGGAGACTGGGTGGGGAGGGCCTCACTACGCCCCGGGGTGGGGGCCAGAGGGGTTCAACTGTAAAGGGGCTTGTGTGGAAGGGGGAGGGGTGAGGAGAAGAAGGGGGATGGATGGTGAGGAGGGTGGGGGGAGAAGGGCGTCCCTCCGAGGTGGGGGAAGTGGAGGATGCAGGGGAGGGGAAGGGGATGGAGAAGTGAGGGGTGCATCAAAGGCCTCCCTCCCCCAGCTCCCAGAATGGGGTGCACGGGCTAGGATGGTGGTGGTGGGCCCTTTGCGCCAGCCTCCAGGGAGGGAAGGGGATGAGTGCGTTCTGGGGTTGGCCGCGTTGCCAGGATACAAGCCTGTATTCCACACACCCCCCCTCCCCGCACCTCGAGGCCCTAGCCCTGGAGACCTCTGAGCCTCAGCAGCAGTTGCAGAAACTGGGGACCAGCTCCCCGCTCTACCAGCGGGTAGGGAGGGCCACGAGAGGGAGGGGTTTAGGGAGGGGCTATTTGATCTTAACCCCTCCCCCTGCAGAGGCCAGGGGGCAGGGGAGGGCGCCCCCAGCTGGGGAGGGCATCTAGGGTGAGTGAGAAGATAGGGAAGGCAGGCGGCTGAGGGGTGGAGGGTGGGGCTGGGAAGGGGACGCACCGTGGCCCCCCCTCCCCTCCCACGCACCCCCCTGCTACGTCAGAAGCTCCCGGGCCAGCTCCGAGTCCTGTCGGTGGGGGCAGCAGGATGCTGGTGGAAGCAGAGGGGACAGGCCGGGTGCCTCCGCAGCTCAGCTGTCAGGGCCCGGCGGGGCGTGTGCGGCTGCTGGTGCTCGTCCCCCAGCCCCACGCGTCCCCATGCAGCCCTGGCAGTGCCTCCGGCGCTTTGCCCTGGCCTGGTGGGAGAGGACGGCGGAGGGCAGAGCCCGCTCTCCCAGGGAGGAGGCTGGACCGAGGGACCCTGGGGGCCGAGGGGAGCCAGGTGAGCAGGCGCGGGGAAGTATGCAAGGAGGGGGATCTTCCCAGCCCCCCTCCTCAAATGTTGTGGGACAAGGAGGTCCTGCAGCACCCCAACTTTAAGGAAAGTGGGCTCCCCGAGCTGGGGGTGGGGGTTTCTGGCAGCAGCCTTTCAAAAGGAGATGGAGGAGCTGCTGTCTGTTTTGGGGAAGGGAGAAACAGGTGAGGCTTGGGAGTGAGGGAAGCTGACCAGACTTCCAGGTTTGTGGGCCTGAATGTTCCTTTGGGTGGGGTTTGAGCACTTTTGGGGGGTCGTCAGGATACCTTCTTCCCGACTCTTGGTATCTTGGTCTGGGTGACCTTGAGCCAACTGCTTTGCTGTCTAATTCCTTGCCTCAGTTTCTCTTATTCCCATCCCTTTCCCTCTTGTTGATCTTTAAAAATTGATGATGCATTTGATGGAGATTGTGAGGCTGTCGCCACTGGTGGCAGCTGTGATGGTGGTGGTTTCTGGTGTGGTTGTATGTGGGGAGCAGCTATGGTGCATTTGAGGGGTTTTGCTGGTTCTGGTTGGTGATGGGCCACTCCATACAGGTGTCAGGGACATGGGAAGGAACATTCACACAGGAAGGAGTGCTCCAGGCAAGCTGAGAGTTGCTGGGGACAGAGACTTAGCTGGTGGCCTGGGGTAGAAGCAAGGGATGGGGTGAGGGCTCTGGGCATAAGGGGAGGGTTTCCAAGAATAAGATGCACCCCCCCTCCACCCCGCTGTCCCCACCCAGACTGCCTGGCACCCAGGCACCACTGGCAGCAAGTGCAAAGGCTTTGCCCTGGCTTCCTGCCACCCTGCCTTGGGGACAAGAGGGTCTTTGTCCAGTCCCCCCACAACAATTCCTGCTTCTTCTGCCCTTTCCACGATGGCTGGTTCTCTGTGATGACCCTCAAGGCTGGGATGGAGGCACAAATCCCCCTTCTGGCTCCCACTGTCTGTGCCCTGGAGCTCTATCTGGAAGAGGCAACTGTGGTCCTCGGGGAGTGCTGAGTGGAGAGGGATGCTCCACTAGGGGAAGGGTCGCTCGAATGAACCCCTCAAAGAGCTACCCCCACCCCAGGCTTTCCCCTGCCCCTCTACTTGCCTCCTTGCCTAATGCGGAGGGTCTGGGGTCTTCGTGGCCTCATCCCTGCTGGGTTCCAGGCGTCTTAAAGATGTGCAGGATACTGGGTTGGGCACTGGGATGCAGGGCCTCTCTGATGCACTCTCGCGCTCTCTCTCTCTCTTTCTCTCTCTCTCCCCCTCTCCCCCCTCCCTTCCCTGTCTCTCTCCCTCTTCCCTCTCTCTCGCCAGGGACCCACCCTGGAAAAAGGGTTTAATTAGAACCATTGATTCCTTCTTTGGCTGTGGGCATCGACAGTGTGGTCAGAGCTAGAGGGTGGGGGTGGCATGGCTGCCATCTGCCTATGCCAACCTTGGAATTCTCTGCCAAAACCCCAGCCCTGGAAGTGCTTAGGAGGGAGGCGGCTGGGCTCTTTGAAGTACCCAGTTTGTTGAGCCCCCACCCCCACCCCAGGTTAGGTTTTGGGGAAAGAAGGGAGACAGTGTTGAGGATTTGAACTGAGGGAGCTGAGTTTGGGGCTCAAGGAAGAACAGTTCATGGCGTCTGTCATCCTGGGTAGCAGGCCTGGGGCACATGAAGAGGCAGCTGTGGTGGGGGGTGCTCTTGCAAAGGGGCCTGTGGGTGCTGGGCAGGCAGGGAGTTCAGGGGAAGGATCCAGGGCTTGCCATAAAAGCTGCTCTTTCGAGGAATCTCAAGCATTTATCTCCTCCAAGCCCTGGCAAGGAAATCTGTTTTCTTTCTTCATTTATGTCCTTGAGGCCCAGAGAGGGACACAGACTGCCTCAGAGGCCCAGCAGACTTAGGTCTAGCTTTAAGCCTGGTTTCCTGACCTAGGGACCCCTGCTTGGGCACAAGCTGCTGAGGGTGAGTCTCCTGGTAGCTGAGGCTCTGGACTCTAGGATTTGTGGGGGGTGGGGGACAGGTTGTGCCCCCCAAGTCCTGGCTGCCTGCTGTGGGTGGGCTGGTGCAGGTGCAGGCTTCAATGAGGCACTCAGATGCTCTTTGAAGAATCCCTCACTGGCTTCCTAGGGCCCATTCGAGCAAAGATAATAAAAATCTGGCCGTCAGCGGGTTTGAGGGCTGTACTCGCTTCCCCTTCTTTCATTCCAAGCTCTGAGTAGCGGAGATGAAGGCTTCGGATTTGGCTGGGAAGCAGTGCCTGCCCCGAGGGAGGAAGGGAGGGAGGCAGTGAAGGAGGGAGGACTGAGTTCCTGGCAGCCAGGGGAGTTTCTGGGGGAGGTGGGCAGAGGGGCAGGGGCATGGTCCCCAACTCCTGCCAAGCAGCCTAGAACCTCGGGGTCAGGGTTCCTCTACCCGATACCTGGGCTCCAGAGCACTCCCCTGGATGCCCTCAGTCTTCGCCCCTCCCCCATCTCTCCTCTGTGCCTTTCCGTCTTCCCATTCCTCCCCTCCCGCTCCCTGTTCGTCAATTTCTCCTGCGCTGCCCTTCCTGCTGTCTCTCTCTCTAACCCTGTCCTCGTCTCTTCTTCTGCCTCCCCCTTCCTCCCTCTGACCACCCCTCCCATTGTCTGCCTCCCCTTCCTTTCCCCAGCTCTGGCCCTGCTTTCGAGGACTGTCTGGAAGGTTGAGAAGCCAAGCTGGGGGCGGGGAAGTGGCCTCAGAAGGGATGGGCCTGGGTTAACTATTATGGTCTGTCAGGTGCCATAATTGTCAGAGTCCAGGAAGGGCTGCAGAGCACTTAGCGATGTGTGTGTGTGTGTGTGTGCGCGCGAGCGTGTGTGTGTGTGTGCGTGTGTGTGTATGTGTTGAGGGCGCCATCCCCCTCCCCACACCACAGCAGGCACCTTGCCCTGACATTGGGCTCTTCCTCCCCTGCCTCAAACACCCCAGGTTCCCTGCTCTTCTGCCCTGCCCCTCATATTTCTCTTTGCCTACCTCCAGCCTCCCGCCCCTCCAACCGCGCGGCCCCCCAGGTGCTATGCTGCCCTTGCACTGCCCCTCACACCCACCAGACCATCTCCAGGTGCAGAGGCGGTAAGGGAGGCATCCAAGAAGCCTCTCAGCTCCATCTCCCACCCATGTCTCTGATGGGCCTGCCTGGAGCCCCATCCACGCCCTGGGGCCCCTTTGCAATGTTATAAACCCCCCAGCAGAAAGACAAGACCCTGGTGGAAAAAGCACTGCACTAAGTCAAGAGAGCTCATTCTTATCCTTCCTCAGTGCCCAGATGTCTGCGTGACCTTGAGCAAGTCCCATCCCAGCGCGGGCCTCTTTCCTCACCTGTGAAATGAGGGGGCGTGGGCTGGCTGATCTCCAAGGTTTCTTGTGACATTCCAGCGGTGTTGTGTCTCTCTTCTGGGTGATTTGCATATGCTTTGCATATATTAATGGTGCCTGCTTGAAGGGGGAGGGTGCCGCCCACACCCGGCCCAGAGTCCCACCCACCATTCCAACTCCCCTTGCCCATTGGCCCATGCTTTTGCTGCTCCGATTTCCCAGAGGGGTGAAAGCTGGGCTTGAGCATTCCCTGGGGAGGTGAGTCTGGCCCCTGTGTTCCAGCCATGCTGGGGGCAGGGTTGGGGGGATGGCTGTAGTCGAGGGGACCCCTGCCCTCAGCACTTCTGCTCCAAAAGGTCAAAACAGAGAAGCCAAGTGGTGGGTGAATTCACCAAAGTTGCCTGTGGCTAGCTAGGATGGGGTGTGCAGAACCCCACGGAGGCCTGATACTGCAGCCGGCAGAGGGGCTTGAGGCTGTGCACCCTCCAGGGCCTGCTAGCCCTCTGCCGGGAGCTTAGCCAGGTGTCAGAGCTCCTCCTCCGGCTTCACCTCCCAGGCTCAACCCATGGCAAGTCCTGCCCTTGTGCCCCTGCCTGCTTTTGCCCATTCCCCTGGGCTCTGGGGATGTGTGTGCTGAAACCTGGGCCTCAGAGATGGTCAGTGAGAAGGACTAGGTCATTCATTGCCTCTCTGGGCCCTCTTAGCTACCACACAGAAGATGGGGCCCAGGCCCCCTGCAGGGGTCATGGACATTATGAGGGAGGAGAGCCTGCCACCCTAGTCCTGCCCGTACCTCCAACAGCCCTGCCTGACCTTTTGGGGACCTCCCCCAGAGCCTCTTCGCATGCCTTGGTCGCTTTTACCTACATATCTACCCCGTCCTGGGGCAGGGCTGGGTAAAGGTTGATAGCCTGGAAAAAGATCATGTAGGCCACTGAGTCATGAGAAGAGTCTCTGAAGACAGGAACAAAAATGCCACCAAGGAGGACTGGGCCAGAGGAAATGCAGCAAGAGAGATCAAGGTTAGACTTAGTCTTAAGGAAGGATGGTCCCAGGGGACAGATTCGTTTCTGATCCTGGAATTGTGAAGATTAAATGAAACAACAGATGAAAACATCCCGCACAGTGCCGGACATATACTAAACAATCAACTTATTGTTGGGATAATAAACAATCAATTATGAGGGGATAGGGGACAGACATCTCTGAACCCAGAGAAGATAATAATCCTTAGAGAAGTCTAAGCCTGAGACTTAGTTAGGATTTTGCAGAGGATGAGGACTTGGAGGGGCGATTCCTAGAAGAGCTGTTTCCCCCATACCCAGGCTGCTGTTCCCTCATCCCACCCTTCGGGCCCCACGCATGCACTGGGCTTGGGCCCAGCCACCCAGGGACACCCTGCCCTCATCCTGTCTGCTGGGGGTGGGCAAACATAAGGGTGTGGAGGCTGGAAACCTGCTTTTCTCCCCCTGCCTCCATCTCTGCATAGGACAGCTTGAGAGGAAGCAGGCCCACGCTGTAGTAGGAGGAATCGAGGTTAGATAGGAAGATAAACCTCCCAGCGTGTGGCCACTTCAGGATGGGAGGCTCCAGTGGTATTTTTGCATCTTTCACCTCAATGACGGTGGTCTGTGAGCACCCGTAGACTAGTGTTGGACCTAGCGGCAGGGGACTGGTCAGCGTGACCTTTCAGATGAACTTTGGGCATCCTGAAGAGTTTGGCTGGTGTGGTTGCCAGAGTGCAGGGGACCCTGCTGGGGAGGGATCCAGTGCTCCGGGAGAGGGAGAAGAGGAGGAGAAAGAGAGAAGCTGCTCCTCTGCTCCTTAGGGCAAAGAAGTAAATTGTAAAGAACAAGCATTGGGCTGGAGTCAGCTTGCCTGTCTCCCCTACTGCTGTGTGACCTTGGCAATTTAGTTGCCCCCTCTGGTCTTCAGTGTCCTTGGTATAAGAAAAGAGGGTGGGACTAGAGGACCTTCAAGCTCCCTTCCAGAGCTCCCAGGCTCTCTCTACCTCCTCTCCCTTGAGATAATATTGCTTTGCCACATGGAGGGTGGGAAGACTGTTTCCCAGCTTAAGCTAAGAAAAAAAAAATGGGGATTTGGCCCAAGAGAATATTGGAATACACACACACGTACGTACACACACACATACACACACACACTCATGCCTTACAGACAGCCCCCTCCTGTTCCGAAGGCACACCTTGCCTACATCTGCCCTCCCAGCCCAGGGGATGGAGAAGGGAGTGGCTAGAGGATTCAGCTGTCCTCTGAATTCTAAACTCACTGTTTTCCTCCCACCCCAGCAGAACTGGCTTTGCCACACTCCATTCCATCCGGGGACTATAATCCAATTCGGGTTTTCTCCCACAAGGCACTTCAAGCTGGTGGCTCAGCTCCCCCACAGCCTTATCCTGGCTCCTGGTAGCCCAGGCCACCTGCCTCGGTTGCCTGCATGTCCTGATGTGGAGTAACCCAAGACTGGAAGGGAGTTGGGTTTTCTCATGCCTGCCTTCCTCACCTGTGCAAACACACGCATTCCAGGGCACTGGCTTCTTTTCCATTCCAGCTGGCAAAGCATGCTGGAGACCCCAGACCCAGGGGCCCATAGAGGGGCCCCCAGACTCAGCTTATAGAGAGACCCCAGACCCAGAGACCCCACAGAAAGAGCCTAGCTGTTTCTGCTTGTGCAGAGCTGGGGAGATTGCGGGGGGGACGTGTTCTGCAGTCTCCCCTCACCCCTAGGATGCATGATAATTGCATACGCAGCAGACATCACTCCAGACACCAGCCTCTGCTTCTTATGGGAAGAATGAATGACCCCAGCTCGTAGGGAAGGCCTTCCATGGTTCCTTGAAGCCCTTGGGATGGGCCTTGCTGTCTTCTCTCCTGGGCTGTCTGCTGCCTATTCCACCCCACCCAGTGACCAGGCTGGCCTGATGAGTCCCCCATTCTTGTCCCCAGCCCCCTTATCCATGGAAAGTTAGGACTCTGTGCAGAGGCAAGGGCTGTGGGGACTGCCGCAGACTCTCACTTTGTCCACCCCAGAACTTCTGGGCTCTCCTCTACCTGGGCACTATGGGAACTTCTGGTTGGTAAAACGTGAAGGGGCTTGTGCGGGGCTTCCTGGAGCTTCCTCTCTCCTGGAAGTGGGAGGGGCAGGAAGGGGCTATTAGAGAGGCAGAAGTCACCTAAAGATAAAGCTCAGGAAAACCTAGACCCACCTCTCTCCTTAACCTGATGGCTCACCCCCTCCTGGTCCACTGGCAGCCTGGGGTTAGAACAGTCTGCCTCCCACTCTTAGGACGAGGCAGAGCCGAAGAGAAATCTTCTCTTCTACCTTATTGCCCATAGGAGATAATTTCTTTAGGCAGAACTTCCCAGAGGCCACCAAAAGGAAGATAGCCAAAGACTGAGAGAGGGGTGGGAGTGGATAGGAGACAGTTTAGCTCCTGGGTCAAGAGCTTAGGGTCTACAGTCAGACAGCTCTGGGCTGCAATCGCAGCCCTGACAGTCATTTGCTGTGTGGTTTGGGGCAAGTTGCTTCACCTTTCTGAAGCTCAGTTTCTGTTTCTGTAGATCAAGAGCATTAACACTGGCTTCCTCACAGAGTGGGTAGTAGGATTATATGAGGTAATTTAGGCAGAGTTCCTGGCACATAGTAGACATTCAATAAATAGTCATATCTTTATCTTCCTCCTCTTCCTCTGTCTGACTGAATGATTGAATGGGGCCCACTCTCCACTGAGAAAAGGGCATACATAAGAAACCTCTTTAGATTTTTTGAAAACCCAGATCCTCACCTCAGCCTGTCTGGGGCTGGGCCCCTGGAGCTGCCACTTAGGGCTGGTGGTAAGAAGGAAGCTGGAGCTCCTAAGCCTTCACTTTTGTGCCTCCCACTGCCTCATCCAGGAAGTTCTCTGGGGCTAGACACATCAATGAGCATTCTTAATATTTTCTCCCAGTCCGTGTCCCAACAGCTGTTTCTCCCTGGGATGTCGATGTTTTAGGTAATCGGTGGGAAAATTGGAACCATGAGATTGGCAGGGGGCTCTGAGAATGCTTGTAGCCAGACGTGTTGTGGGTATGGATGGGTCTGAGCCAGCCCAGGGAGGGCTGTGCCTGAGTGGGTGCTGGCCACAGTGTCTCCCGGCAGGAAGGGTCTTAACTGCTGCATGCCCCAGGGTAAAAGGCTAATAGGTATTGCAGCATGAGGGAGGTGGAGTAGGTTTAGAAAGGACTTCTAACCTTTCTAAAGGGTGGGGCATGGTGGACAGCTGTAGGGGACCCTGCCATGGCAGGTTGAGGGTTGGGGGTGTGGAGGCAGTAGCTAGGTGAAGGACTTCAGGCAGGTCTGTGCTCCTAGCACAGTGTGAACCTATGAGTGCCTTTTGGGTGGGGAATGCCTGTCTCCTCTAACACAGGCAGGGGAAGCTGGGCATTCTCAGGGTTAGTGGGGAGTGGAGCAGATGGGGGTCTCGTAGGCTGGGGAGAGGGTTGTCACCAGGGGAATGATGGCAAGCCTCTCTGACCCTGAACCCATCAACCTTCCAGAATGGCATAACCTGGCATGAAGGAGGCAGGCGGGCTATCATTTGGGGTCTAGGTTGGGCACCTCAGTAAAGTGTCTGCCCCTGTTTCTGGGTGGAGAACCAGGCATGGCTTGTTGGCTGTCTGTCCTGGGAACCCAGTTCTGGGGACCCCATGTTTTCTGTGTTGTCCTGCTGTTTGTCCCCCTGTCTGTCTCCCACCAGTGTCTCTACCCCCTCAGTCCCTGCTCTTCCTATGACACCCAATCTCTATCCTGTCTGCCCTGGGGGGCCCCAAAGGGAGAGCTCCTAAGGCTCTGCCTTGCTCTGTACCTGCTTCACCTCCCCCAACCCCATGGCCCATGGCCCTGCCCCTGACCTAGCCCACTTTGGGAGCCCCTGCCCCGGCCCCCTCCTCTCTCCAGCTCCTCTGCAGCCGGGCCTTTCTGGGCATTCATTCACGACTTTCCTCCTTTCCTGTCCCTCACCCAGGGCTCCAGCGTGCGGCGGGAGGGAAGCCTCCAGGACTCTGTTCCCTCTGTTTAAAGTCTCCAGGTTAGTAAGCCAGGAGGAGGGAGGCCCCCCACGATTCCTCCTCCTGCCAGCTCTCCAGCTCTCCGTAGTCAGATGCTCCTCCCCAGCCTGGAGGGCCAGAAACGGAGAGGGGGCTATCCCTGGTGGGCCCAGCCTTTGCCAGGGGAGGGGGCAGCAGATACCTGACTCTGGGGGGGGCACTTTGGCTGGTAGAGAACATGTCTGTATGTGCACGTGTGTGCATGTCAGTGAGTGTGCGTGTACAAGCACGCGTGCATGTACATGTGTGTGCAGGCTGCAAAGCCGCCATGTAAGCTAGGGCTGGGGTGAAGAGAAGAGGCGGGAATCCTCTGCTGAGGGGGCTTGTGGCCTGGGGAGAGGGGTCAGGAGCAAGGGGCACCTCTTATGGGGGGAAGCCCATGTTCCAGTGATGCCCAGAGGGTGGGGGATGGGAGAAGATGGGACCATTTTGTTTAGCTTACAGTCACATGCAAACTTGTGATCTCGTTTCATTTATTCAATTGTTTGCTTGTTTATCTATTCATCCATTTATTCAATAAAGACTTATTGAAGGCCAGGCGCGGTGGCTCACGCCTGTAATCCCAGCACTTTGGGAGGCCGAGGCAGGCGGATCATGAGGTCAGGAGTTCGAGACCAGCCTGGCAAACGTGGTGAAACCCTGTCTCTACTAAAAATACAAAAATTAGCTGGGTGTGGTGGCGGGTGTCTGTAATCCCAGCTACTCAGGAAGCTGAGGCAGGAGAATTGCTCGAACCCGGGAAGCAGAGGTTGCAGTGAGCCGAGATTGCGCCACCGCACTCCAGCCTGGGTAACAGAGCAAGACTCCATCTCGGGGTCGGGGCGGCGGGGAAAGACTTATTGAACACTTTCTCTGTGCCAGGCACTGGGCTAGGCTCAGAGTCTAACAGCAACCAAGGCAGATAGGTTCCTGGATGCTTTGCTTAAGTGTTGAGCAAGTAGAGGTTGAAGAGTTGGAAGATATCCTGGCTGTGGGGGCCTGTCCTCTGTCTATCTGCCCCTGTTCCCCCTGCTGGAAGCTGTTTTGTAACTTTATGTCCCTGTAGAGTGTCCTCTCATAATGTGCCCCTGCCAAGCAAGCAGTTACTTGGCCTCCAAGTCCCTAGTGACCTTGATGGCTAAGGGCAACATCATTAGGCTGCTCCTGAGGCTGTTTCAGAGGACATCAAACAGCCCGGCTGGAGGAGGGTGTATGGGCAGGGGAAGCCGCCCCCCAAAATCTGGGCCCAGGACCAGCAGCCTGGAGCATTGGACTTGAGAGTCAGCCTGCCCTGGGTTCAAACCCCCACTTCAGCCATTTCCTAGCTGTGTGAGCCTGGACGAGCCACTTTCCCTCTCTGAGCCTCAGTGTTTGTGCCTGTAAAGTGGTACAAGAACACCTCCCAGGCAGCATTGTTGAGAAGAGTAAAGAAAAAGTAGTGATGGGCCCAGACTTGGCCCACAGCAGGGGCTGCCTAATTGCAGGTGCCCTTTGCGTCCCCACCTGCTGCCCAGGGTTGGGCAGGCTGTACCCTGGGTACTATCTGGATGCTGCCCTGCCTTCTTAGGAGAGGGGCTATTTTCAGGTTCCACGTCCTCCAGCCCTTTTCCAGCTCTCTGAACTGCTATTCAGCTACAATCTGGGTGGGCAGCTGGGGGAGGCAGCTCTCCTTGCCACCGTGGCTGCCGCCGCCTTGATGGCTTTTTAATAACTTTGCTCTGAGACAATCTGCAGAGCGCTCATTTGTCTGCCTCTTAATTAAAATTACCGTTTTCCTAAAAGAGCAACGACACTGCTCCCCTCCCTCCCCCATCCTTGGCTGCTGCCGGGAGAAGCCAGGAGAACGCGGAGAGACTTGAGATTGGAGCCCTTTCCCTCCTTGCTCGCGTGAGTTACCCCCGCTTCCCTGCACAAACAGCAGAGGGGCCAAGGCTCAGCCTGCAGGGTGGGCTCAGGGGCAGTGAACCAGGCAGAGGGGGCCAGGGCAAGGGCCTCTGAGACCTGAATGTTCTTCTCTTTCACCCACCCTTTTCTGGAATACCCCCAGTGATGGGGAGCTCAGTACCTTACAAGACTTACTTTCTGCCTCCGTAAAAAGGTGAAGCAGCCCCGTCCTGGCTTTACCAGCCAGAGTGGAATAAGATGTGGATGGGTTTTGGAAAAGTGCTATGAAGGAGTATTGCAATGCCTAGTGAGGGTGTAGGGGGTGGGAGTCGGGAGGAGGCTACCATGGTAGTGGACACCGGGGTCAGCCCCTCACTGTTGACTCTGGTTTTGGTTAGAAGAGACCTGTGCTCCCTCTGTGGGCTTTCAGGGGATGGGGCTCATTTAGTCATTGCTGAGTTTTGAGAAAAAAAATCATCACTGGTAATAATGAAAACACTGATGGCCAGTATTTATTGGGTGCTTCCTGGGAGCCAGATGCTGGGTTGTGCATTGTACAAGTGTTAGTTCATTTCATCCTCACAACTGTCCTGTGAGCTCACTGCTGCTGACTGTTTTGTGGGGGAAGAGACGACAGACCTGAGGGGTTAAGTAGCATGCCTGAGGTCAGAGAGAGAGTCCCAGTCTCTAGCAGGGCAGCCTCAGCCCTACACCCTCCCTTCCCCTCCGCCTTCACCTGAAGCTTTGTATGGGTCTTGCCCCATTCCCTCGTGCCCCTTTTCCTCACTCTCTGCACTCTGGCAGCAGGGCTCCTCTGTGGCCCAGCGCCATGGAGAATTCACACTGAGATTCATCACCTTCCTCCCCAACCCTGTTCCTCCTGAGGAGTCCGTGCTGCAGCCAGGTGGGGGCCCCAGCAGCTCACCTTGGGTCTGGCCTCTTCCCTGTGGGCCTTTGCCTCTGTGGCTCAGCTCCTCTTCATCACCTCCCATTCCTGCTCCTCCCTGAAATGCCCTTCCCCAACAACCGCCTCTGGGCTCGCCCCTCCGATCTCCCAGAGCACTGTCAAACCTCTGGTGGCTCCTAATGTAACCTTTCTTGAACAATCACCAGTTCTGGACATAACTAAGCCCACTAGCCTACTTTTGCTTGTGGGGGCAGCAAACTCAGTACCTTCAGGGACAGCAAATGAGGGAAGCGATGCATGAGGATGATAGGGAATGGTGGGGGCTGTGGTGAGGAGAGGGGTGCCTTGCAGCCTCTGCAGCCCTCCCTTCCTTACCTCACTTCCTGTGCTCCTTAGAGGTATTAAAATTCAAAGAAATAAAACCAAACACCACCAGCCCCCCAACCCCCCCAACAAAAAAAGCCTGTGCTTCAGTGTAGCCACAGTGTGATCCTTGCTAAATCATCTCATTCATCTTGGCATCCCCACATTGCCTAACACATTAAAGTAGCTGTGTATGAATTGTTTGTTGAATGACTACATGATGACACATGTGCCAGGCACTGTGCTAGATACTTTACACACCTTATTTCTTCCCATCTTCACAAGGGAGGCACTATTTTTTCCATTTTGCCATTGGGGAAACTGAGGCCTGGAGGACTGAAATGATTTGTTCAAGGTCACACATATGGGAAGTGGCCAAGGTGAGATTTGAGCCTTGGCTTGCTGTGTCCTTCTGCCTGTTCTGTTTGGTCATGGGGATGCATACATGGGACACATGGCACCTGCTTTCAGTACCTGTCCCGGGTAACAGGGAGCACTTGTGTGGCTGGTGACCACCTGGTTGAGGTGCACTGCTCACCTTGGGGAGGCAGGGCAGGGAAGTGAGGGCTGCAGAGGCTGGAAGGGTGCAGATGCCCCTCACCCCAGCACAGCCCTCCTCCCTCAGCTTCCGATCCCATCCCAGCAGCCTGGGGATGGCGGCGTGGTGACAGGTGCCGAGCTGCAGAGATGACGGCACTGCTGATTCCCCCATAATTACTGTCTGATGAGACACCAGAATTAGCCACTGCGCAAGCATGGGATGCAGACACGGGGCACTTGCAGGGAAGCAGCTGAGGGTGGGGGAGCCTCTCCTTCCAAGCCTGGGGCCCTCTGGCAGCAGGGCAGGGAGGAGGAAGTAGGTTAGCAAGGAGGAAGCACTGTGTGGTTAATATGCCTCAGATATTATCATGTGGGCTTGTGGTTTTCCACTTCTCACAGTGACTGGCTGCCAGACAGGGGCATCCTGGGCCTCAGGCCACTAGCCAGAGAATTCCAGGCAGAGCGGGCTGCCCACTCAGACTCCTGGGCACACCCTTTGGTGTCTGGAGCTGGGGCTCTGAGGGGCATAGTTGCTGGGAGGTGCTAAGATTCAGACCAGACCCCTTAAGTGACATTAGCAAGGCCAGGCACCAGAAAGCAAATGGAAGTGACTGGAAGGAGCAGTTTCAGCTGACTGGGCCAGGAACTTCACCCCTTCCAGGCAGGAGGAGTCAGGCTGGCCCCCTGAGGTCTGAGGCTGGGGGAGGCCTGAGCGTTAGGAGCAGGAGGCAAGGAAGGTATGTTCTGGCCCTGGAACAGCGCTCTTAGGCCCTGAGCATTTGTTTTTCCTGGCACATGTGCTGTGTGGGCAGGAGGGGCACTAGCGAAGGCACTTTAGTAACAGAAGCAGAGAGGAGTCACCTGTGCTGCTCATACCTCATCTGGACCATTAGAGCAGTTCTGAAGGCCAGCAGCCAAGAGGGGTGGTGACATGGGGATTACCCAACAAAGGGTGGTGCAGATGGCTGGGGGGCTGGGCCACACAGGAAGGACCTGAGGGCTTATGACAGAAGGTTCCGGTTCAGGAGCCTCCACTCTGCTCCAAAGGGAGAGGTCATGACCTTCCCCCAGGTTCCCCTGAGGGCCATGGGCACAGACTGTGGCTCATGTTAAGGAAGGAGAAACCCCACAAGATGATTGGTGCTTTGGATGTAATGAGTTCTCCTTTCCTGGAAGTATCTAAGACCTGACTGGCTGGAGCTCCTGATTTGCAGTTCTGTCTCTGCACAGCCTGTGGCAGGGGCTGGGAGGGCTTCGTATCCAGCATAGGTACAAGAAGGCTACGAGTAGGGCTGTGGAAAGGTGGATCCCCTAGAAGGTCTTTCAGGACTGTGGGACCCCCACTTCCAGCCTAAGTTTCTGTGATCTGGGGGTGGCTCTGCTTCCTCCCTCTCCTCCAGCCCTGGGGAATAGGCCCCCCCAAGAGGACTGGGTGGATGGCGCCCAAGATTAGCTGGGAAGGAGGGTTGTTTCAGCGTTCTCTTCTTAGGGTGTAGGAAGGACAGAGGGGACCTGTGGGGCTCTGGCCTAATGGCTTAGATGAGTACTCACAGATGACCTGGTGGCAGAATCAGCATCTTCCTCAGGGGCAACAGAGTGTAGGGGAAAGAAGAAGGACATGGGCTAATGGGCTAAGCACCCCGGCAGTTGAGATCAGCCTCTTCCACTTATCAACTCTGACCTTGGACAAGTCACTCCTTCCTGAGCCTCAGTTTCTTCACCTGTAAAATAGGGGGTTTGCAACCTCACAAGGTGACTGTGAGAATGAAGAGAATGATGGCTGCACGAGCCCTTTGAGATCATCATGAATATGTGTGGGTGTTCAAGGGTGGTTATCATGGCTGGGTGCAGTGGCTCATGCCTGTAATCCCAGCACTTAGGGAGGCCAAGGCGGGCAGATCACCTGAGGTCAGGAGTTTGAGACCAGCCTGGCCAACACAGCAAAACCTTGTCTCTATTAAGAATACAAAAATTAGCCAGGTGTGGTGGCACGGGCCTGTAGTCCCAGCTACTCGGGAGGCTGAGGCAGGAGAATTGCTTGAACCCGGGAGGAGGGGTTTGCAGTGAACTGAGATTGTGCCACTGCACTCCAGCCTGGGCGACAGAGCAGGACTGTCTCAAGAAAAAGAGTGGTTATCATTTCATGGCTGGTCCATATTTCCCACAGCTTCCAGAAAGCCCGATGCTGGGTTTAACCCTCGTCACTCAAGATGGATGTGTGGATTGGAGAAGGGAGGGTGGGAGTCTTTGTGTCTTTCGCAGAAGGGGAGACAGTTTATTTTTCCTTGCCTTGAAGCCTGTGCTCCACATTCCCAGATGCTGCTCTGATGGGAGAGCTCAGGTTAGACAACAAAGAGAACTTCCACAAGATGCCCCTGCTATCTGACCAGGCCCTGGCTTCCAAAGACTGCCTGACCCAGAGGCCAAGCCGACTTGCCAAGTCTCCTGCCTTTTCCAAACTGTGAACTCCGGGCTGCCCTCGCCCCATCCTCCAGAGTCTCTCGGGATACTAACAGGGTGTCCCTAGGGAGAGAGAATCATGGGCTGCAGATTCGGCTGTTTGTTCTTAGCTAGCTTGCAGGGTGGCAGAGAAATTAACCCATGAGGTGAGAGCTAAGCCTTGGGTCCCAGCAGCCCTGTCCTTCCCCATCAGCAGAGCTGGAAGCTGGGCAGAGGCTCTCCGGCCCCCTCGCCCTGGTGGAGGCGCTGAGCACCTACAGAGGTGGAATGAGGGCTGGAGGCAACCAGGTCCCAGAGGAGGGTCTCACTCATGAACATCGCCCCATTGGCTAAGCATTGGTCAGAGTAGGTGGCCTTGAGGTTACTGGGCTGACTCCTGTATTTTAAGACATTGTGTAAACACCTCAGCAAGGGAGCCCCGAACCTGGCAAAGTGGAAAAGGAGCTGAAGATGTCGCCTCCATGAGGGACTCAGGATGGGCAAGTCCCCACTGTCTTTCACCCCAAGCTGGAGATGCATCCACCTGGCGCTTTAGCGAGCCCCAGATGCCCTGCATGAGCTGCGTGGACTGGCATGACATTCTCCCTGTCTGCGTGGCATCTAAGGTGGCAGAGTGGGGCACCCTGGTGGGCCCAGGTATGTAGACCCCTGCATGTAGACTGTCATGAATACGTGTGGGTGTTCAAGAGTGGTTATCATGGCTGGGCACGGTGGCTCACGCCTGTAAGCCCAGCACTTTGGGAGGCCGAGGCAGGTGGATCACCTGAGGTCAGGTGGAGAGTGCTGGTGAGGCAGGCTGTGACTGGGCCCATGTCAGTGAGCAAGTACTGGGCAGCCAGGCGCATGCCGAGGTGCACAGGTTTGACGTAGAAGCATGAGTGAGCAGATGTGTGTGCCTGGGCGACTGAGTGTGTGCTGGGAACCCGGAGGAATCCTGCTGGTTCTAGCGGCCGAGGGAGCTGTCTGAGTGCTACTAGGTCATAGGGCTGGGACAAGGCCTCCTAGGGAGAGCCTGTCCCCATGAAAGGTGGTGTCTCTGAGGAGGATATCAAGGGCATCTTGGCAAGGCTGGGTCTCCTGCCCAATATTGATGAGCCCGTTGATGAGTACTTGGTGTTGAAAATGCTTCCCTGTGGGGAGGCAGGATGGTGGGTGGGGCTTCCACCACTCACTTCCAACAGATTGGAGTCTCTTCCCCTGGAAACAATATGCTTCCCCCTGGGCACGCTTTCAGCCTGAGGCAGCTGCAGGGAGGGAGGAAAGATCCCTTTCACACACAGAGGGGCGCAGCACTCAGGCTGGAGTGCCCCCTGGGGAGAAGACGCCCTGGCAGCCTCCTCAGAGTGATGGCAGAGCTGAGGACAGGCACCGGCCTTCCTCCCTTCCCACCCTCCAGTGTTCCCTCCTCCCCTCCCGCTCGGCCTGTGTTCCCCTCGGCTGCCTCTCCAAGGAGATGTGGAGCTGACAGGACACCTTCCCTGGGCGCGTGAGCAGTGGAGCTGCCACACAGGAGTTAGCTGGTTAACATAGTGCCGCGTGGGCACATGCCAGGGCTGTTCTCAGCATTTCCAGCTCCAGCTTCAGACTGGGGGTGACATGCTGCCCTCCATATCTCTGCCCCCTTCCTTCCCAGGGAAGCCAATTAGCCAGATCTTCATTAGAAGCCAAAAATCACAACCCCACAGTCCTGGGTCTGATACAACTCTGACAGTGGGTGGAAGGAAATCGGGCTCCGGGGTAGATCAGAAGAAACTGACTCTGCTCACCCAGGCTCTGCAGTCTGCATGCCTGTTGCCTGTTGCCTGTTGCCTGTTATTAGCTTCTGCTTCTTCTTCTTCTTCCTTTTTTTTTTTTTTGTTAAAGCAAATGAGAGGACTGAAGCTCTGAGCATCCCCTGACCTACTCAAGGTCACATAACTAGTCAGTGGATGCAGTGGTTTTTGGTAATGTCACAGATTTGCCTGCTGTGTGTGAAAGAGGAGGGGCAGGGGGAAGAAAGAGGGTTGTATATCTGGAATTCTGGGCACGGGGCTGATTTGCACATTTTGCAAGGATGGGGAGTCTTGTCTGAATGTGCAGTTCGGATGCCCTGCGGGGACCCTGATTTCTGTGTGGTGAGCATCCCCCTGGGCTGGGGGCATCACTGGGCCATGGACCCCAGCTTTTCTCCCTGTCGGCCGGGCTGCTGCGGTGTTTCTGCCTTGCTGCTGATCCTTCCTAAGGAGGTTGTTAGTCTGTGTCCTCCTGGGGCCCGTGGCCTAGAGAGGGGCTCCCCAGGCAGCTGCTTTCTGGGAAGTGGCATCGTGGAATGGAAAAATCCTTGTCCCTGAGGGCCAGGACCCCTGGGTTCCACTTTGGGCTCTGCCTTCAGCTCCTGCAGATTGGGTCAGGCTTGTACTCTGGGTGTTGGTTTCCTGCCTAGGAAAGGCATCTGGCTGGAGAGAGAGCACTGTGGTTTCCCGACACAGGACGGGTAAGGAGGGGGCCACCTCTTCCCGAGAGCTGAGAGCTGAGGGGAGGCCCCACCTCACCACCAGAGTCTGAGAGCTGCTGTGCTGTGTGGCCTGGGGCCCTGGGGGAGAGACAGCTGCAAGCAGAAGGAAGCAAGGACTCAATAGCCATGCAGAGCCAGTGCAGTTGGTGGAGGTGGCACCGAGGCCAAGCCTGGGATCTTTGAGAGTCCCCAGGACCCCACCCCACTCCTGATGTGGTGGGTGGGCCTCCTCACCCCACCCAATTCTGCCCTTCTGGGTGGAATGGCCCTTCTGCCATAAGGGAGGCCCCAGTCTGAGGGAGGAGGTGAGGGTCCTGCCCTGGGAGTGCCCAGGTCTGTGCAAGTGGACACAGTCAGCCTGGGATGGGCGAGGAGGAAGAGCTGGGCTGGGGAAGCATCTGATGCCCGCCCCCCTCCCCGGGTGCCCACCCGCAGGGAGCTTGACCCCCTCAAATCTGCTCTCCCCATGGAAAGCCCCAGCAGCTCCACCAGTAGCAGCCAGGGCCCAGGCCCCCAGCCTCACCGCTCCTCCTAGGCAGGTGTCAGTGCCTTCCCCCAGCCTCGAAGAGGTCCTTTAATTAGATTCTGACTCGTTTACCAACTAAGTGGCCTTCAGTGGGTTTTAAATCTGCACAAATTGGTTTGTGTTTTTCTGCCTACACAAAGCTGTGACTGGCAGTGCCCTGCACCCTCCCTAGCTGCCCTTTGCATCACCTCTGCTCCCAGCTCCCTCCAGGGCTCCATCATCCCCCATCCCATTGGATGCCCAGCTTCTGTGGAGCTTGGGAAGGGGGTGGCAGTATTCCCTGGGCAGGGGGATGGAAGAGACCACAGGGTCATAGGCCACAGTCCTAGTCCCCCTTCTTACCCCCACCCCTGGGGAAGGGAGTCCATGTGGTGACTCAGATTAGATCACTCGACCTCCCTGAGCCTCAGTTTCCCTTGCTGTATGATGAGGAGAATCAGCCTGCTCCAGACCCTTCTCCATGGTGGCTTTATAGATCAGGGCTGGGAGGTGGAGGAGGGGACAACAGGTGTATCACCTGCCAAGAACCACCTGACACCTCTTGCCTTGTCCATCTCCCCCCGCCCCCATCCACTACAGTGCCCAGGGAGTGGGCAGGGCCCACGCTGGGGGGATGGCCTCGATCCTCCCTGGCCTCGACCCTCTTCTCTGTCCTCCTTGTCACCCTTGGTGGGGAGGGGAGCTGGCATTCCTTGAAGACAACTTGCCTGGCCTTGCCCCATGTCCCTAGTGCCCTGCCCTAGTCACCAGGAGTCTTTATTTTCTAGCCATCTCCTCCATGCCTTCAACTCAGCTCCTTCTCCTCCCAGGCCCTGTCTCAGGCCTTCTGTCCAGTGGGCTCCCTTCCCACTTCCTCTCTGTCTTCCCTCCTAGTCCAGGCAGACTCTCCTGAAGTGGAGCCTGACATTCAGGGGGTGGGGCTGGGCTGGCAGGGAGTGGGGATCACCGTGGGGAGGTGCAGAGTTTCTGGCCCCCGCTCTGTGCCAGGAGCTAGGCAGGAGCCCCCTGTCTCCAATCCTCAGTCCAGCTGCCTCCTTCCCCCCATCGCCCTTCCCCCATCACACGCCCTCATCTCCGAGGCTTTAGTTGGAGTGACAGGGAGACTCAACAGGGCGCTGGGTATTAGCAATTTGGGGGGATATTACACAGGAATGTTTACAGAAAGGCAATTGCCCGGAAAATGACTTTGGTTGCTGTGGTATGGGGCGGAAAAGATGGTTTTAGAAAACAGACACAGATGGGCTTCTGATCCAAGGACCCACAGCCAGCCAGCAGAAACTGAGGAGTATGGGCACACAAGGAAGGCAGAGCCAGGGGCACCCAGGGACAGGGAGGCCGATTCCTTCACTAGCAGGGGAAGCAAAGGATCCCCTCTCCTAATTCGGGTTCCCAGAGCCTCTGCCTAGTTTGATACATATCTGGTCCCGGTTGACCTTTGTCCTCTGGCCTCCAACCTCCAAGCACACCGTGTGCTTCCCGACTGCAGCAGGCACCCAGCAGGATGGAGTCATCATGCACAATCGAAGGTGGCAGTGCCTCGGGGCTCCTCCTGGCTGACTTGGGCTCCTGTAGCATTGGCTGCAGAGGAGGGACTGGGGGAGCCTCATGCTGTGTGTTTGTGTGTGTGTGTGGGTGTGGCCTAAGGCAGGCAGGTCCTCCACCCTTCCAGCTGTCTCCATGCTCCTCTCCTGCTGCCCTGCCTAGCCCCATGTCCTGTGGGCTTGTGAGTTGGTGTCTTCACCCTGAGTGCCTCCTGCCCTCGCTTCCTGCCAGGGCTATAACCCAGCTCCTACCCCTGCCCAGGCAGTGGGTCGGGGCACACATGTGACAGCCTCTCAGGTCCCCAAGGGAGGGGTTTTGTCCAGCCTCCTTATCTCCACAGAGAGGGTTACAGGGACCTGATTTCCAGATCTTGAGTTTGGGGCTGGGGAGGACTCACATCAGGGGCCCCAGAGAGTTCTCTTCTCCCTTTCCTGAGCTGGTGGCTTCGTTCTTCCTCTACTTTGTCCATTTGCCTCTCTCCTTCCTTCTCCCTCCCTCTCCTCTCCTCTCCCCGTTCTCCTCCTTTGCAGATGACATCATGTGTGAATGTTGCCCAGGGGCAGCCAGAGGACAGAGTAGAGGGTTACATCCGGGGTAAAGATGCCAGTTGGGGACCGGCTTGGTGGCTTATGAGATGGTGTCACTAAGATGTTGGGATCTTAATTCTCATAATCAGTTACAGTGATCTCATGTAAAAGAATGTGGTGGAGGATAAAAATAAATGAGGCTGATAAATAAACGTAGAATTTGGAATTGTTCGGACAAATGACAACGTCACTCTTCCCAAGCACCTGTGCCGTCCTCCTAGCCGGCCACTGGGGGGCGCCCGCCACTTCCCGGCCACCCCAGCCTCAGGCCACTTTCACCTTCCGCGTTTCCCAGGCGGGGCAGGCTGAGCTGAGGGTGGCAGAACCCGCCTTCCTCACCCTGCCCTTCCCCTCATTCGGATTCTGGATTTCGCCAGTTCTTGGCATCTTCCCTGTGGCTTGAATCTCGGACTCAAAAAATATAGTCAGCCTTGCACACTGAGGTTCCTTGGAGAAAAGAGAAGCCCTGAGCCCCCTCCCTTATGTCTCTGGTTTCCCCAACCCCATCCCTGGGTTGGGGGGAACCTTCAGGCCCAACGCCCCTCCACCAGGGTATCCTAGCTTTGCTTCCCTTCCCCCAGAGTTCCCTGCCTCCGTCTCTCTCTATCGCAATGCCCCTATCCCTCTCCCAGCAGAACCCAGCCATGCTTAAGACCCCAGCCCGGGTCTCTCATGCCCTCCCTGCCTGGAACAGGACGCATTGATCTGTGCAGGGCTGGCAGGTGCCTGGATCCGCTTGCTAGATTGGAATCGATCCCTGTGTCTTTTCCCTGGGCTGCTCAGGTCCGAGGGGGGTCAGGGCCACTCCGAGGACTTGCTGATGGCTGGAACAGGCGTAGGGGTAACAGGGAGGTCAGGCTGCTACAAGCCCATCGCTGCTCAGGAATGTCTTTCATTGAAAGCAACCTACTTTGGCCTGGCGCGGTGGCTCACGCCTGTAATCCCAGCACTTTGGGAGGCCGAGGCGGGCGGATCACCTGAGGTCAGGCGTTGGAGACCAGCCTGGCCAACATGGTGAAACTCCGTCTCTACTAAAAATACAAAAATTAGCTGGGCATGGTTGTGGGCTCCTGTAATCCCAGCTACTCAGAAGGCTGAAGCAGGAGAATTGCTTGAGCCCGGGTGGCAGAGGTTGCAGTGAGCCGAGATCGCACCATTGCACTCCAGCCTGGGCCATAGAGTGAAACTCTGTCTCAAAAAAAAAAAAAAAAAAAAAACAGAAAATGAAAAAAAGAAAACAACCTACTTTCTCTACCATTGTCTTGCCAGCCTCTCACTTAGTGCCCAAAGGCAGAGTTTAGACGTTAACATCCCCATTTTACAAATTAGGTTCTTAGGCTCAGAGAGGGAAGATATTTGTTGACTGAATGAGTAAGTAAATTAATGAGGCTGGGTGTGTGTGGTGGCTCATGCCTGTAATCCTAGCACTTTGGGAGGCTGAGGTGGGTGGATCGCTTGAGCTCAGGAGGTGGAGACCAGCCTGGGCCACATGGCAAAACCCCATCTCTACAAAACAAAACAGACCACCAAAATAAGCTGGGCATGGTGGCACGTGCCTGTGGTCCCAGCTACTCAAGAGACTGAGGCTGGAGGCTAGCTTGAGCCCAGGTTGAGGCTGCACTGAGCCATAATCGCGCCACTGCACTCCAGCCTGGGCAACAGAGTGAGACCTTGTCTCAAAAAATAAATAAATGGCTAGCCTGGGGTCTCAGAAAAGTTGCTAAGACACCCAGGGTGTCTCTGGCCTGGGTTTTTCTCTCCCAGTGTTCTGATTTCAAGTGCCTGGCCTGCTGAAGGAGTTAAAATCATGCCTGAATCTTCAGAGCCCCCCCAGGAGGCTGGTCACTGGCTTCCCTCTCCTAAGGACAGGATGCTCCCCCACCCTCAACCAGAAGCCCAGGTTCATCCTCCCAGCTCAGCTGGGGCCCTGCAGAAAGAAGTTAAATCTGTACAAAGTAGGAAGCCAGGACAGCTAGGCTACCCAGGCGTTCCCTTCTCCCCGAGCCTCAGCTTACTTTTTTGTTATATAAAAGCCAAGGATCTCAAAGGTTCTTAAACAGATTCTAAAGCTTTTCACATCAAAGCTCCTCCTTGCCACCGCCCCTCAGAGAGAGCAGATCATCTCTCCTGCCCCCTCCCCTCTCTCTGCCACCCCTTAGTATCTAGCTCCTGCCCGCCTCACCCCAATAGCCCCAATGCCAGAGCACCTGAGGGCTGAGCGACGGCCTGGAGGAGGCAGTGAGGGGTAGTCCCTGCTTCCCTGTCTGTGCAGGCTGCTCAGCAGCCCCTCCCCACTGCCAACTGTGAGATTTGTGGGACTGCAGTCATATAGTGCAGTTGTGAGCTCCATGCCCTACCCTCTGCCTGCTCCAGCAGCTGGGAGCTGGGACCTCTCCCTGCCATAATCTGCCTGGGAGAACTGGGTGACCTGGGGACCCTCCCACTCCACAGTCACCACTCATCTCAGGCTGGTACACTGTTTGCTCCACCCCAGACACACTGAGATCCCCCAGGAGGTAGGGAAGGAGGTGCTGGCATGAGGAGGGGGTAAGAGAGGGGATGAGGAGCTCTTTTGGCTCCAGGAAGGAAGCAGCTGGGAGATGATAATTGGAGACCTGTCCCAATGTTGTCCTGAGCCCTAGGAGGGCAGAGGAGCCTGGATCTCTGGCATAAGGGGCAGGGGTCCTTCTGGCTCAGGCAGGACTAGGCCTGAACTGTGGAGCTGGATTCCAGCAGCAAGGCCACGGCAGAATCCACAAGGCCTGGGCAAAGGAAAGGCTCTTGGCCTCAGAGGGTCCCCTCCTTCTCACTTGTACCCAATGGGCTGCAGACCTCTGGCTGGTGGTGAGGGTGAGTGGAGGAGGAGGAAGGTCAGGGGTTATGGGAGGCAACCCTCTGACTTTGGTTGGAGCTATTTCTCCAGCGCCCAGGGAACCCCCAGCCTTCTCATGGAGGCATTATTCAGGCCACTCTCCTTTAGCCACACTTCTGGCCACTGTGGGTTGCCACAAGTACCTCAAAGACAGGGACTGGGCCCTCAGGAAGATGGCCCCAGTGTTCCCAGTCTCACTCAGTCAGGGTCTATTTCACGAATTACCATCATATCAGGAAACCTTTTGTACTGTACTAATGCAATATACGTTTTTGTTAGCTCACTTTGAACTTTAAATTTACTTAAAAGGAAACTTTATTTCACTACCATCCCAAGGAACTATATCCATGAAATCACTGGTTTGACCTTCTAATTGGGGCTTTTTCTAATCCTTATGAAAATAAAGGTATTTAAAAAAAAAAAAAAAGACCTGGGTGTGGTGGCTCACACTTTTTTTTTTCTTTTTTCTTTTTTCTTTTTTTTTTTTTGAGACAGAGTTTCACACTGTCTCCCAGGCTGGAGTGCAGTGGCGTAATCTCCGTTCACTGCAACCTCTGCCTCCCGGGTTCAAGCATTTCTCCTGCCTCAGCCTCCCAAGGAGCTGAGATTACAGGTGCCCACTATCACTCCCGGCTAATTTTTTGTATTTTTAGTAGAGATGGGGTTTCACTATGTTGGTCAGGCTGGTCTCGAACTCCTGACCTCGTGATCCACCTGCCTCGGCCTCCCAAAGTGCTGGGATTACAGGTATGAGTCATCGTGCCTGGTCCGCGGCTCACACTTTTAATCTCAGCACTTTGGGAGGCCAAAGTGGGAGAATCACTTGAGCCTAGGAGGTTGAGACCAGCCTGGGCAACATAGCAAGACCCCATCTCTAAAAAAAGGAAGAAATTCACTGGGTGTGGTGGCAGGCACCTGTAATTCCAGCTACTTGGGAGGCTGAAGTGGGAGGAACTCTTGAGCCCAGGAGCTTGAGGCTGCAGTGAGCTATGATCACACCATTATACTCCAAGCTGAGTGCCAGAGCAAGACCCTGTCCCCCCAGAAAAAGAAAAAAAGAGGAAGGAAGAGAAGACATAAAATAATGTTCTTCCCAAAGTCATCTCTCATGTATTTGGACCTTATTTTGGGGAGCACAACAGAGGATGGTGACCATGGTGAGAGGGACCACCCAAGACCCAGGGCCATGGTTGGGGATAGCAGCAGGTCAGTGAGGAAGTCCACACATGCCATGTGGTGCTGTCAATGTTCACTCAAGAAACAGTCATCGTGGAGAGTGTGGTGGCACAAACGTAATAAATATTGAGATCAAATCAGGCCTCTTCCATTCAGTGTTGCTTTAGGCTTGTCAGTGGACTTCTCTGAGTCTCAGTAGCCATTTCTGAAATGGGGACCATGATAACACCCACCTGATGGGGTGTAGGGAAGGAAGCATGCAGCCATGAGGCAGGTGGTCAGGCCCTGGTGAGCTGCGGCTCTCATGCCCATGGGAGCCCTTCTTCCCTTGGTTCGGTGGGAGGTGCTGGGTCCTCGCAGGCTCTGTGCCCCTAATGGACACAACCCAACCATTGCCCAGGGAGGGGTGTGTATGTGTGTATGTGTGTGTGTGTGTGTGTTGGGGGCAGGTGGCTTTTCTTGAAACCTGGCTGAATCTCCTCTTTCCTCTGTGGCTGGGCAGGGGATGGCAGACCTGGCAGCTGTCCATAGACCTCCTGACAGTGGATGCTTGGCGGGAGGAGGCTTGTAGCAAACCTGGCTGGTTTCCAGCGTTTCCAGCCGCGTCCCCTGTTGCCCTGGGCAGCCCTTGGAGGAGCCCTATGAGTCAGGCCACACGGGGGCGGGAGTGCATGTGTCTGCTGCAGCGCCTGATGCCCCAGTCCTAGGCCACACTTGGAGGGCTGCTTTGGGGCTGGTGGATTGTGGGGCTGGGGTGTGCAGGAGAGGCTGTGCTTGTCTCCCTATGGACTGACTTCTGAGGGGCACAAATCTATGTTTTATGCCCAGGAATATGGCTGAGGTAGGCCCCCAGCAACTTCTTCCACCCCCAGGGGCATGCGTGACCTCTGGAACCCCTGGCCACTGGTCACTGAAGCTGGAGAGTGCGGGCCAGCAGGGCTGGGCCTGGGGAGGCCAGGAGCTCAGGGCTGGAGAGCATTTGGGAAGGGGATTCAGAGTTCCGCGTGGGACCTCAACCCCCGGCCTTCTCTTTCTTTTGCTTCTGTGCTGTCCTTTGTCCCCTGTACGTCTCTTATGGGTCTTGATCTTGTGTGTGTGTCGGGAGGAGAGACTGAAGAAGGGAGGGGAGAGGTGGGGGGAAAGCCCCTGGGAAGGACTTCAGCTGTTCTGTCTGCTTTCTTTCCCTTTAAGTTTGTTCCAAATCCATCTCTCACTGTCCTCTCTGTGCCCAGCCTCTCCTGTCTGTCTATCTGTCTGTCTCTGGGGAGGGAAGGGAAAAGGGGTCCCACTGCCCCAGACGCTGGGCTTCCATCTCCATGGGAAACCTGAGAGCGATTTTTGCCCTCATTCTCCCCATGTCTTCCTGCCCTGGCCCTTTTCCCAGCCGGCGCCCAGCCTTGAGGATAAGTATGTCCTGGACATATGCTAGTCTGAGGGAGGAGGCAGGGCTCCCCGCCCCCAACCTCAAAGGAAGACTACGAGCTCATTTTCACGTCTTTTAGGGAGCATCTAAAAAGCACCCCTCCTTCCCTCACCTGCTGGCACCAGCTTTAGGAGGGGAGGGGGTTGTGTGGCTGGAGAGGGTCTCAGGATACCTTCTACCCCTTTCATCCAAACCCCCAACCCTTGGCCTCAAAGGGCTGCACCCCCGCGGTCATTATCGCTCCAAACCCACGGAGGAACAGGGAGTATCCAGCCCTTGTTCCTCACCCCTCCCTAGGGGCCGTAGGCGCGCTTTCCACGCCATCCACGCACTTCCCCCTTCAGTCCCTAGTGGGGTGCTGGGCAGCCCCTGCCTCTCCCCGGGCGCCTCTCCACTCTCCTTAGGCCCAGGCCCCGCCCCTTCCCGCAGGGACCCCCTTGGGGGATGGGCAGCCCCAGGCCGGGCGCGCCGTGACCCAGCCGTGCCCCTCTCACCTCTCGCAGATCCGGAGCGGAGCAGCCCCCCCATGCTGTCTGCGGACGATGCGGAGTACCCGCGGGAGTACCGGACCCTGGGGGGCGGGGGCGGCGGGGGCAGCGGGGGCCGGCGCTTCTCCAACGTGGGGCTGGTGCACACGTCCGAGCGGCGGCACACGGTGATCGCGGCCCAGAGTCTGGAGGCGCTCAGCGGGCTCCAGAAGGCGGACGCCGACCGCAAGCGTGATGCCTTCATGGACCACCTGAAGAGCAAGTACCCACAGCACGCCCTGGCCCTGCGAGGCCAGCAGGACAGGATGCGAGAGCAGGTGAGTGGGCTCCCGGCTGCGGCTGCGGCTCCGGCTGCGGCCACGGCCAGCGGGCAGGGGAGGAGGTCTGACCCCGTGCTCCGTGTCCCCAGGCTCATTCCAACTCTGGGAGGCATCTGGAGCAGAGAGGGAAGAAGGGGAGGAGTTGGGGAGTTGTCCCTCCAGGGCAGTGGCTCTGGTTGGCCTTTTCTGGAGCCTGGGGAGGAAGGGGGTGGGGGCTTGGCCCCCAGACCTCTGCCTGCAGTCCGGAAATCGAGAGCGTGTGACGGGGCAGAGAGAGCCCAGCCTCTTTAACTCAGGCTGTTTGGGCAGAACTCTTCTGGGAGGAAAGGAGAGGAGGACAGCCTTGGGGACTGTTGTTCTGTGCCTGAGAGTCCATCCTGTGGTGAAGTTGAGATGCTGGGGTCGTCGGCACCTCTGTGATATGGACTCTAAGAGAGAGTCGGGCCTTGAGAGCCTCAGTAGGCTGGGTCCGATGTGTCCCCAGTTCCTGCAGCCTGCAAGAATGGAGCCCAGAACGGGAGCCTTTGACCTCTTTCCTCCCTGTTCCACCCCGTGGCGTGCTGGGTGACTTGGAGCTGGAGGCCTCCTCTCTCTGTACCTGGGTATCTCTCCTGCCATCAGTAGGGCTTAGAGAGGAGACACAGCGCCTGTGTCTAGACCAGGACCCGTCTCCTTCTATAGCGAGTGGGATGGTTCCTTTTTAAACCTCCCCCAGAACCTCGGGGTCCTGAATGCATCTCTCCACCCAAGTATGAGCTTCTTGTCTGTAAGAACATGCTTTCTGGGTCTAGCATCCTGTGTACAGTTCTGCATTGGTGAGGCGCTTGCATGGTTGCTGCATATTGGCTTCTGAGACTCAGCCATTGTACCCCTGGGTGAAGGGACTGAGGGGAGGGATGCACATCCCATCAGCAGCCTTTCAGTCAAGCCTGGGGGTGTGTCAGTCCCTGTCTCCCTTTTCCGGGTTCTACTGGATGTAGCTGGGGATGGGGAGGAGTGTCCCCACTCCCATCCTCACTGCAGGGAACAAGACACATTGGCACATTTCTGCTACCTTATCTGCCCTCTAGTGCCACCTCCAGTTCCGTCTGGCTTTTGCCTTTTCCCAGCTCTGAAGTCCTTCTGGGAGCAGGATGCAGATCAGGATTAGAGAGAGTTGAAGAAGATGTTGCCGTCACCCTCAAGGAGCCCCTCTCATTGGGTTCCTCCTGTGTGCACTGGCTTGAGGAGAAGGGCAGGGGCATTTGTCATCTAGCTGGGGAGGGGAACAGTCAGTTGGGACGGGGTTTAGAGGAGGGAAGATCATAGGCAGGCCTGATCGGGGAAGGCTTCCTGCAGGAGGAGGTATCTAAATCAGGCTTAGAAAGATGAAAAGGGTTTGCATAGCCCTAAAGGAAAGAATGTTGTTTTAGGAGTGGTGGGGGTGTATGGCATGGGCATAGGCCTGAGTTGGTTTGGGAACTGGCACAGAGGTCCACCTGGCCGGCGAGAAGGCTCAGGTGGGAGGTAGTGGGATGTGTGGGAGCTGACTGAAAAAGTGGGGCAGATGGTGGTGGCTAAGGTGGCTGTGTTTGCTTTTGGATGGTGAATAGGAGGGGAGAAGCGGGACTGGAGGCAGGGGAAGGAGAAGAGGAAGAGTGTATCAGGGATGATGAAGGGGAAAGGATGGATGGATGGGGGTTGGAAGAAGACCAAGTGTAGGTCTAAGGCTAAGCTGCCTGGACCTAGAAGGCAATGACAGAAACACCTGGGCGACAGGGAGATGTTGGTGCCTTGGAGAGAAATAGGAGGGTTGGAGGGAAATGTTTGGGGGTGAGGGAGAGGAATATACAGAGACGGGTTTGAGCAGTGGGTAGGGCATTCTTGGGGATGCTCTTAAGGCACCATATGCACCACTCAGGACTCCAGAGAGGCTGCAGCTTCAGGAGAAGAGTTGAGCACGGTCACAGCAGATACAAAGTGGACCTGGGATGCGGAGTGGCCATCAGGGCACAGTGGGGTCTAAGAAGGGAGAAAGCCCATGATGTTTGGGGAAAGGGGACCAGGAATGTTCTACATCCATGAGGAAGTCCCAGGGGAAAAAAGGCCCCTGGACAAGGGGCCAGCAGGAGGGTGACCAGAGCTTCAGAAGTCCAAAGGATGGGGAGAGAGAAACAGACATCGCGACTGGCCGGGATTTGTGGGCGCAGAGGGTATTGAGAGCTTGTGTCTCGTGGTGTGGTAAAGTAATGGCCAATTTCATGGGTTAGGGAGTTTGGGATTGGTGAAGGATCAGGAGCCCCAGCCACAGACTTATTTTGGGGAGATTGGGCCAGGAAAAGGATGAAAACAGCTGGGTGGAGCTTCCAGGGGTAGCAGGCCTGGGAGAGAAGGCATAGGCATGTCTAAGGGCCTCCTATGTTCTAGCATGTTCACCAGCACAGAGTTTGGAACTCAGTAAATACTTAGGAAATGAATCAAAGCCCAGCCACCCACAAATTTGTTCCTTTCTTCTTTCACTCATTCGTTTCCCCACTTAGAGTGTAAGTGGGCAGGATCTATGGCCCGTTCACTTGCCATGGAATGTTCGGTGCTTAAGCACGGTGCCAGCTCAGGCAGTGTTTGTGGAATGAATGAGAGAATGAGGGAGGAATGAATCTGAGGATGCCAAGGGGAAAGAAGGCCACGGGAAACAGGTCCTAGAGGAATCTGGAAGGATGGTCTTAGGTGTGGGGTGGCCTTGGGGAACGAAGGGGGTGGAGTCACTTCCACTGAGATACAGGAAAGAAAGGTATGCTGTGGGACAGAGACAACTGGGGGGAGGCTTCTCCTGCCCAGCGGTTCCTATTTCTGTGAGGTAGGTGTGACACCTTTAGTGAGGAGGGGATGAGAGCTGGGGAAGGGGAGATGGTAAGGAGCAGCTTCCTTGCCAGTGTGCAGAGGGACAGCCAAGAATTGGATATGAGGCCGGGCGCAGTGGCTCACGCCTGTAATTCCAGCACTTTGGAAGGTTGAAGCAGGTGGATTCCTTGAGCCCAGGAGTTTGAGACCAGCCTAAGCAACATGGCTGTCTCTTAAAAATAATTTTTGTTTTTAATTAGCTGGGCATGGTGGTTTGCCCCTGTAGTCCTTGCTACTCAGGAGGCTGAGGTGGGTGGATCACTTGAGCCCAGGAGGTTAAGGCTGCAGTGAGCCATGATCGTGCCACTGCACTCCAGCCTGGGAGACAGAGTGAGAACCTGTCTCAAAAAAAATAAAGTGGAGATGAGAATTTCAGAAATGTCTGATAGGGAAGGCCCTGCCCTGGGCTCAGGGAACCCCCAGGTCTAACAGAAAAGCAGACATCCAGAAACAGAGCAGGGCTCTAGTTAGAGAGATACCCAGCCTAAATAAGGGACTTGCCAGCATCGCTAGACCCCTCTGCAGTATGAGCTCTGTGCCAAGGCTTGCCCCAGGAATGCCCTTCCCTCCCAATCACAGTACCCCAGCGGCTCCTGCCCGCTTCCCCTAATGGGGTGTCCCCCGCTTCGCACACACAGGTTGGCGGCTGGACCGTGGACCCCGTATGCCTCCTCAGCTCCCTCTGCTCCCACCTCCATGGCGACTCCGCCCCCTCCGGGGCTGGCCAGCCGGCCCAGGTGAGTCACCCACCTCCACCCCACCCCCCAAGCCCATGGTGGAGTTTGGCTTTGGGGAGGATTTTTTTTTTTTGGAGGGGGGATGTTCAGGACTTTTATTTTGCAACCTTTTCTCTTTGGTGTAGGAGCCCCTATTTTCAGGAGACTTCTGTGTCCCGTACTCACATCTGCCCGATGTCTAATTCCCTGCCACTACCTCCTCAGGCCTGGTTGACTTTGGAGAAGGAATTTTTTGAGGGAAGATACTCAGGATTTTTAAAAAAGTTTTTGTATCCCTTTCTCCTTTAAACAGAAGTCCCCTGACCTTGCTCTGTGGGTTTTATGCCCTCCTCCCACTGAGGACTATCTTATTCCCCTCTCCACACCCTCCCCTTCCGTTTCTGAGCAGATCCAGCCTTCCCCAGATGTCCCACCATCAGGAAGTTCTGCATGAAGTCTCTCTCTCACCCCTCTTGCTAAGTTCATGGCTTAGTCTCTAATTTTTAAGAAGACTTGGGCATCAAGCCATCTATTCTGAACTTATTCCCCTCTTCCTCATCAGGCTTCAGTGTCCGTTATGGGAAGATAGATCTTAGCTTAGACAGGGACACATGTAGGCAGGATACCAGGGGCCTGGGCTCCCAGCTAGGCCTGGACATTGCTATGGGAGAAAAATAGGCATCTGAGGCCCAAAATAGGCATCAGAGTTGCAATGGGAAGGGGACAGCCCAGGGGAGGTCTTGACTTGAGGATATTCAGCTGTAGGAGGCGGAGGAGGGGTAGTGGCAGGGAATCCAGTGGGAACAGGGTGCTCAGGTCCTTACACACCCTGCTTCCCCCAGAGGACAAAAAGTCTTGGCTTTTTCAAGGAGAATTAAGAGAAAGAAAATTGTGACCACCTAGGAAATGACAGGCCTTCAGAGGGAGGATGTTTTAGCCGAGTGTAACTCAAGTCTAGTAACAGATTGGCATGCTTGTCATCACTCACAGGGCATTCAGCCCAATTTCTTTCCCAGTTCCCAAGCCCCATCTTGGCTGAACTTTGGGGAACAGGAATGTGTCTGCCCCCAAGGCTGGATGGCAAGTGGGACAGACTTGTCCTGAATGGCCAAGTGCATGGCGGAGACCAAAGTGGGGCTAGGACAGGGATGGTGATAGGACAGAGGACGATGTGATATGCATGGGTAGGGTTGTGGTGCCTTGTCTGCCCAGAGGTCCTCCCCAGATGGAGCATCTTGGGGCTGTGATAGGGGTTGGATGATGGACAGGAGTGAGGCTGGACTGGGTGAGCTCAGTTGTCCCAAGTCAGGGGCTTGGGGGAGCTGGGGATTTTGGCCTGTCCACATCTGGGATCTGCTCTGATGGAGGAAAGGGGAGCGCTTGAGCAGACCTTCCTCCTGGGGCTCTGTAATTAACCAGGAAAGTGTCTGTGCATAGGATCTTTTCATCACTTGATACTTATCACACTCCCTGCCCCTAAGGCTGAGTCTGAGGTTCCCTTTTGTTAAGTGCAGGACCAGAGACTTTGGAAAGGCCAGAACCACACAGCAGGGCAGGATGAGAGGCCATCTAGGAAACTTAGGCATCCTAGGCCTCCCAGACTTGGCTAAGGATTAAGTCACGGGAGAGTTAAAGGCCAAAGGTGCACAGCAAAGACCCCGGTGGGGAGAGGCTGTGGGCTCTGAAGTTTGAGCAGGAGGCAGAACACTGTCCCCTCCCTGATCCTCCACCAGGCGGGACCTTTAGGGATGGGGGCAGTGAAGAGGATCCTGGGAGGGCACCAGAGGTTGGACTCCAAGCCAAAGCCCCTCCCCCGGCTTCCACCAGGCTGTCTAACCTCCCTCCCTCCTGCTGCAACCCGAGTCCCGGGCGCCAGGCCGGCGTATCGGGTGACCGCGGCGACGCAGCCACCAGCCTCCGCCGCTCCTCTGCGGGGCTGCGCCGGCGGGGCCGCGCCGAGGGAGGGGGCCGCGAGAGGGGATGTGCACGGCGGCGCGCAGCGCCGCGCCAGGTGGAGTCGCGGTTACCGGGGCGACTGGGGCCCGGGCCGGCACGGCGGCGGCCGCGGCGGCTCTCGCATTGCAGCAAAGGGCACCGGCGGCGGCGGCCGCGGCTGCGGAGGCGGCCGGGGGAGAGAAGAGCCCGGGCGGGTGGGAGTAGGGGCCCTCCCTCCCCAGCCGGACGCAGGACCTGGGGCTGGGGACCCCGCACGTACACCTGTGGCCGCAGGTAAGGGGGAGCGACTGTGGGGGCCGGGATCGCCGCCTCGGGTTGGGCGGGGGGCGGGGACACGGAGATGGGGGCCCGCTCCGCGGCACCGAGAGCCATCCAGGGGTGGGGGACGTCCAGGCCATTGCAGGTTCCCGATCCCTGAGAAACGCCTCCTCCCCTCCCCCACCGCATTAGGTGCCTTCGGCGTGGGCCGGCCCCCACTCCAAAATCAGGCTGGCGCCCCCTCCCCCAGCGTCGGAAAGTCATGACCTTCCCGGGGTGCGCCCTCTTCCCCAGCGTCCCACAGCACCCCCACCCACCCACCCACACACACACTCTGCATTGGGAAGGAGATGAGGGTGTCATCCACACATCTGGAAGAGAGGGTCATGCATGTACATCGCGGTGGGGGCAGGCGCCCGAGGAGGGGCGAGTGGCTTAGCCCCAGCCCGGGGGACGAGTGTTTACGCTGACTCGTGTTCATGGGAGTTGAGAGGTGGGTGTGTGCACCGGTGCAGCACAGCCAGGGGATTAAGGAGCCGGTGTGGACCCGTGGGTTGCCCTCCCTCCTTGGAAGGTGCGTGGTCAGGGCTTGAGGTCAAGGAGGGGTCATTTGCTCACTGAACCTGCTGGGGATGCCTGCCCAGGGGAGGAAAGAGACCTCAGCTGGCTGGGCCAAGCCTCCCCAGGGGCCCTAGCCCCTCCCCTCCCAGGGCATGAGGGCCGAGGGGGGGAAAACCAGCAGCAGGGGAAGTAGGAACCCCTCTACCAGTGGCTAGGATGGAGGAGAGAGGAAGGGAGTTAACTCCTTAGCTCCCAGAGAGAAGAAGCTGTTTCCTCTTCTCACCAGGAGTTTGAGGACTCCCTGGCCTGGCTTCCTTGGGCCTTGAGAGACACTCCTTTCCCCCGTTTCTCACAGCGTGGTCCCTAGGGTCCTATGCTTCCATCTTACCTTCTTAGAACACCTCTCATTTTGCCCCAGCTCCTTTAAGATTCTTCCCCACAAGTGGTTGCCCCTGCCGGGGTCTCCCCTACTCACCCCTTTCTTTATTTCCCCCTTTCACTGTCTTTTGGGAAGGTGAGACCCCCTCCCTGACTATGGGGGAGGGAGACAGCTTTGGCACTGGAAGATTTGGCTTGAGGTGGACAGCCAGACCTCTCCTGGCCCTTCCTGCCCTCTGCCCTCCTAACTGGGGGGTTTCTGGTGTTGGGAAATTCCCAGGGAAAAGGCCCAGAAGGCTGAGCAGTGCTGGGTGCCAGGAGATGGAGGGAGTGGTGCCAGACCAGAGTATTCAGAGATCCCACCCTCCACCCATGGCTCGGTCCTATTTTATTGACATTCATTCATTGTCACATACTTGCTGAGTGCCTGCTATCCACCAGGTACTGTACTGGGCACAGCAGGAGGAACAGACACCCTGGAAAGGGGTGAGGAGGTACAGGGTGCTGGAAGTTGGAAGGGGAGTGACTGGGAATGTCCCACCTTAGAGAACACTAGAGGAGCCCTTTGCTCTCAGTCACGCTAGTCTGTCCCATGGGTTAAAATCCTGGAAAGAGACAGAGAAGGGGATGGATGATATCCCCAGAGGCCTCCCCCACCACAGTTTCTCTTCGCCAGAGACACTGAGTGGCCAAGAGACTGTGTCTCGTTCCTGGTGGGGTCAACATGAAAGAGGATCATTCTTCCCACTTTCCAGAGGGAGGACAGAGGATGGAGGGGCAGGATTCACTCATGTGCTCTATAGATCAGAGCCTGAAGTTCCAGATTTTGATCTCAACATCTCTCATGCATCCAAGTGACCGGCACAAGCGCAGCCCCTCTTCCATCTTTATCCTTTGAGGGGCTTGGCTGGCCTTTCCTATGGCACTGATGCCACCCAGTCCTCTCCCTTGGCTGCTGCTAGTGATACGTCCCTTCCAGGTGACTGCCCCATGGATGTGCACAGCCTTGGGACCCTGGGGCAGGCCCATGTGGAGGCCATAGCCAGTGTGGTTGTGGCCAGGCCCTGTCTTTATCTCCCTCCCAGGACCACGAGGTGGGCCTCAGTCATCCGAACAAGGTACCTGAGTCTGATGTGTTGACACTGGTGGCAGGGTGGGGGACAGAACATCTTCTATCTCTTTTGCATCAGAGGTCACCTCCCTGACTTATGATATCTGGGACATGATAGGCATGGGACAGTGGCACCCTGACCTGGGGCTTTCTCTTTGTACGTAGGTGGCTCTGAGGCCGTGTGTGTGTGTGTTTCAATAGCCGGGGTGTGTGTCTCTCACTGTGAGTGGGCACCCGTGTCTCTGTTTCTGTGACTGTGGTGTTTTGAGGGTGAGTGTGAATGCCATCAGCACCTCTTGTCCTCTGTGACTGGCTATGGTGCTTGTGAGTGTGTGTAAGCGAGGCAGGGGTCTGGCGGGAGCCAAACACGTTTGTGTATGAGTGGGGGCGGTCTATGTGTGAATGTCTCTGTCTCTGAGTTTCTGTTTGTTTCCAGGGCTGTTTCTGACTGGGGAGCCCCTCTCTTAGTAGGGGTGTGTGTGTGTCGCTCTGGGTGTGTCTGTGGAGATGTCCTTATCAGAGGATGTGTCTGAGAGTCTGTGCTCAGCTGTGCGTGAGCCTGTGTGTTGCGGGGCGCTGTGGGTGGCCCATGTGTGCGCCGCCCGTGCCTGGTGTCATGGTAGTGGTGGGTAAGGGACTTGAGGCCTTCTCTGCAGAGCGGTCCATCACCGCTGGGTCTGCAGACGTGATTGTCCTCATAAACCTTCCGGTGTCCTCTGCCTGCCCCCACGTGTCCACTCCCTCTGCTACCCCTCCCCTTCCCCAGGCCACAGTCAGCTGCCGCTGGAGCCTGTTACTTGGTCCCTGGTCTCCCCTACCCTCAGTACCTGTGGGCATCCCCTAGCACCACTGGGGGTGGCCTCAGTCCATAGATGATTCCAAGCATTGGCTGGGACACAGACTTTGTTGTCCTCTTCTACTGCCTGGTATGTGACTGTTTTTTTTGGTTGTTGTTGTTTGTTTGTTTGTTTTCTAGCGTGAATGCTGGGGGAAGGATGGGGATGGTGGCTTAGGAGGGGGTGGTCTTGGCAAATGACCCTCTTGGTCCCAGCCCCAGCCCAGTGTCACCCCCACCCCAAAGGTCTGCCTTAGGTAAAGCCTCCAGCCGGAGTGCCCCTCGACTCAGCCCCTTCCAACTCCTCCCTGCCAGGAAAGCATTCAGGTGGCCCAGGACACCCTGGCATGGTGTTCTTCCCCCAGGGGCGCCTTCGATGTCCCTCTCCTCTGCCAGTGGCTCTAAGGCCTGGGGATCTTGTCTGCTCGTGCCAGGCACCCCCGGGCCAGGCCATCTGCTGCCTCTGTCTCCCTGCTGAGGCTGGCACCGGTCAGCAGGGTGCCTTGGCTTTGCCAAGAACCAACCCGGCCCCAGGGCAGCTCTTTCCTTGTACTAAGCCATCTGGAAGGGCCTTCTGGTCTCTAGGGAAGGAAGGGTGACCCTGGGTTACTGCAAATGAGGAGGACTCTCTGGCTTCCCATTCTAGGGATGCTAAGAGGGATACGAGGAGCCCTCCTCAATCAGCCAGCCAGCCACAGTCCCCAGTCTCCCCAACTCCCTTCACTGCCCCCAGCTCCCCAGCCATTGATTGCCCAGTGAGTGAGGTTCCTGGCACCTGGCCACTCTGCTCTGTAAACTAGATCCACCATGCTGCATAGGCCTCTCTCTCTTGGCCTTGGGCCCCAGCCCCCCTCCTCCGACCCCTGCCCCATCCATCCTGATCCACCCCATCCACCTCTGCCCCGGGGTCTAGTTCTGATCCCACTCTGCTCCATTCAGACACTTTCTGCTTGTCCACCCAGTTAAGTCTAAATACTTTCTCTCAGCAGTTATGACCACTCATCATCTGGCCTCAGCCTCCCACTTCCCACCCTTTGCAGCCTAATCTGCTACTTTCCCAGCTGCGCCCCAGCCAATGTGGACTAGTGACTTGCCTCAACCCCCCTCCACTTGTCTGCCCCTGGGCACTTCCCCTCTGCCCAGCAGGCCTCTCCTTCCAGTCTCCAGCTGCTCGTTTTTCCAGACCCAACTCAAATGCCACCTCTTCCAAGCACTGTTCCCTGGCCTGCCATTTCTCTGACCCCACAGCTCAGCTTTGTCGCTGCCTCTCTTGTGACTGCCTCATGGGTTCGCTCTATCACCATCCTCTGTGCCTTTTCCCACCAGTAACTCTGCGAGGAGTCGCTGTAGCGCCTGCTCAGGGCCATCCTGGGTACACCATGGTGTTCCAGGTCTCAGTAGAGAATGGATGTACCAGGCATGACTTCATTCCTGCTCCTGGGAGGGTGGAGGGCCCTTGTCCTAGGGCTGAGTGCTGAGTTCCAAGGGTCTCTAACCTGCCCCTGCCCCTCTTTTCCCCTCCTGGGCCCCCTCATAACCATCTCTTCTCTTATTTCCATCAGCAGCCAAACTACTGGAGTTTCAAGGTCAGTGTGTGATGCCTCTGCTCCCATGACAACTGCATGTGCTCTCCCTCCCCTGCCCCTGCCTCTCCCTTGCACAGGCTTTGCACCGGGGTGCGCATCTGCACGGACACCTTCTGGTATGGGCGGTGGGCCTCGGGGCTGCAGGCTGTGGCTGCTGCTTTGGGAGAGTCTGGGTTCGCCTGTCAGGGGCTTGTGGATGGAGTAGGAGTTTGGGCCACCCCTGCTGGGGATCTGGGCTAGAGATGCTCAGTCCCCAGGCATCCCCAGCCCCTGAGGGGCATTTTGAAATGACATACATTTTCCCCAGCCTGGAGAGACTGCTGCCTCTGAGTTAGGGACTTAGACCCTTGTTGTGGGCCCTCTTCTTTGAATTCATATCTCACCTCCCAGGGAGGCCCTGTGACTGTGATGGGTCCCCCTTCCTTTTCTTACTGTCCACCATGGGGGCTGGTCCGTGCTAGGCAGGAGACTCATGGTCCTACACCCTCAAGCCTGTTGTCTAAGTGGAGGGCTAAGCTGAGGGATAGGTGCCTTCTTGCCTCCTCCTGAGCTCTGGCCTTTCCAGAGCTAAGACAGCTGTCTGCCCCTCCCAGGGTATCCTGTTGACCCCTGGGAGAGCACCCTCAGGCACCTGCTTGCCTCCTGGAGTCTCTGGCCTCCCAAGTCCCAGGCATCATGACAGCGGGTGGGAGGCATCCCACCCAGACTCCCCAGGTGTCTTATTTGCATGCATTCTTCCTAGCACTGCAAGAAGTCCTTGAATCAGAGAATCATGGAGTCAAAGTCACACTGTCAAGCATAGCCTCTTTGGAGGAGGCAGTTGAGGGTAGTGGTTAAGCGCATGGACCCAAGAGCCAGGCTGCGTAGTGGTGAATTCCATACAGTCTGCTGCTAACTAGCTTGGTGACCTGGGGCAAGCCACATATCCTCTTAGCCTTGGTTTCTCCTCTGTAGAGTAGAACGACAATGTCTGCATCATAGAATTGTTGTAAAGATAGGGAAAAAAGGCCGGATGTGCTGGCTCACGCCTGTAATCCCAGCACTTTCGGAGGCCGAGGCATATGGAATGCTTGAGCCCAGGAGTTTGAAACCAGCCTGGGCAATGTAGTGAGAACTTGTTGGCCAAGGAGGGAGGCTGAGGTGGGAGGATCACTTGAGTATGGGAGATTGAGGCTGCAGTGAGCTATGTTTGCACCTCTGCGCTCCAGCCTGGGTGACAGAGGGAGGCCCTATCTCAGAAAAAAAAGAAGAAAGAAAGAGAGAAAGAGAGAGAGAAAGAAGGAAAGAAAGAAGGAAGGAAGGAAGGAAAGAAGGAAGGAAGGAAGGAAGGAAGGAAGGAAGGAAGGAAGGAAGGAAACGAAACAAAACAAAACAAAACAAAACACGAGAGGATGCATGTTCCAGGCAGTGCCTGGCTCCTGGTGAGCCTTACATGGTAGCTGACCTCATTAGCTACTAAATCATAGACTCTGCCTTGATTCTCAAACCTAGAAATCAGAATCGCCTTAGGAACTTGTCAAAAATCTCGAACCCCAGGCTCCAATCCCCAGAGATTCTGGTTCAGTGAATATGGGGTCCTGGAAAGGTATTTTTAAAAGCTCCCAAGTGATTCTTCCCTAGTCTATGGACAACCTCTGGGAATCTCAGATCCATGAGCTGCTCCCTGGAACACTCTGGTGATAGGCGCTCTCTACCTCCCATGGTGGTCCCTCTCCTGTCTTGGGAGAGCTCTGCTTGAATCACTGTTTTGTTCTTCTGCCATCTCCCTTATGGTGGGGAAGTCCTGGATGTTTCACTTTCCTCTGCCCTATTGTCTCAGCCCAAGCATGGAGAGAAGTGCCAGCAGGTTTTCCCTCCTCTCGAGAGGGTTTTCTGTACAGGCTGTGAGAATGGAAAGGTGCCCACTGGGCTAGGAAGTGGTGGAGCAGGGAACGTGGGCATCTCTTCTCCCAGGGTTTCTGCCTTCTTGGCAGGCAGCAACCCCCAGGATCCCTGCCCTGCCTCCCTTCATTTGGACCCCTGTTCTGCCTCCTTACTGGCATCTCACTGGTGTCCCCCCGGCACCATGGCCACCCCCTACTCTTCATCGTTGCTGGCTGCCTCGTGCTGCCTGAATTCTGTAGCCCTCATCCGCACTAGCCTGGCAACCACTGACCTTTTAGTTGCCAGGCAACCCCATGACCACCAGACCAGACCTGGTTCCCCACACTGCCACAGAGCTCCCCGCCCTTCAGCTGGGATGAAGGTGAGACAGAGGGGTGTGGGCTGGCACTGGTGGTCAGCCTAGAGCTGAGCCATAGCCTCTCGGTCACAAGCACAAGCGGCCCCTCCCTACTGCCCCTGGCCCATTTCTATGCTGCCTTCCTCCTGCCAAGACCCACACCCACCCAGTGGTCAAGGCATTATGCTTGAGAGGGGAAGCTCCCTGATGTCCCCACGTCTGATCTATTATGGTCCCCAAACCCTCAAGGCCACCTTGGGGACAGCTGGGCATACTGCCCATCAGAAGAAGATGCTCTCCCTTTAAGAGTGCTAATCCAATTGGAACATTAAATTGAGTTAATATGAAGATGGAGATTAATTAGGGGTAAATCAGGAATTGGGGAGAGAGGGAGCTGAAGAGGAGAATAAATGATTCCTTTTTAGAGATATTTTATTGTTGTCTTTTTTTAAATTATAAAAGGAATCTATTCACACCGTTTTGTAGAGAAATCTATAAAGTGAAAAAAGAAAACTGTCAACCCTGAGATAACCAGTGTTAATGGTTTTGAGTGATTTGTTGTTAAAAATAGACAATTTGTTTTACAAAAAAATATAATTGGGCAACATGATTATTTCTTGACAGTATATGTATATGTAATACATATATGTATATAATGCACATAACATGGAATGATGTAGATCGGATTCATTATCTCACTCCTTGTACCAGCTTCTGTACAACAACCAGATTTCTTGCCCAGGGACTAAGGCAGAATGTCAGGGGCTGTGGCCCTGAGTGACATCCCCAGGTTTCAGCCAAAAGTAGGCTCTTAAAGTACGGTTGAAATCATCCTGACTCCCCCTCCCCCACGGAGAGAGCCATCAAGCTGTCCTGTGACATCCTCCCCCACCCCCAGCCAGATATCAGCCTCAGCTACAGCTTCAGAGAAGTGGCTGCCGTCACTCAGAGGCTCCTGGGGGAGGCTGGCTGGCTGTGTGGCAGCATGTGCCTTGCAAGGAGGGGCTGAGGCCTGGCACATGTGTGTCACATCAGACTTAACATGTGTGTTGTGGGCACTGGGCAGGTCGTCTCAAATCCGGGTCCAGCTGGCTTTGAGGAGTTCGGGATAGTTTTCTCAATCACCCTAAATCAGGCACATTCCCTGTGTCCAGCTCTGTCAGGGTCCGCATCCCCTCAAAGCTGGGATCCTGGGGTGCCAGCTCTCTTTGCTTTCTCCCTGGGCCCTGCTTCCCGCCCCCACCCCCACCCCCACCCTCTGAACTCCATGAAGAATAAATTCTCCGCTCACAAACCTGCCACTTAATTAATGTCTGGAACTAATGCCCCAATTTGCTCAACGATTCTGCTGCTCACCTCGGTGACAAATTTGTGTTGTTCTTCGGAAGCCTGAAATAGCAGCCGTGCCCATGGCTCCCACTCACATGGCCTCTTGTCTGGCTTCCCAGGGTGCCTGGGTCCTTTGCCCATTCCTTACCTGCCGGGTGTCCCAGGGAGGCCAAGGCCAGCAGAGACTGGGGAACTCTCTTGTGGCCATGCCAGGAGTCTGTAATCTGTGTGGGAGTCTGTAATCTGTGTGGGTGTCGCTGGCTGGCAGGACCTTCCCAGGCCTGGATATGGGCAGTGACAAGCAAAGGGGGGGGGGGGTGCTCATCCTTGGTTCCTCTCACCCTGCCCGGCCCCTGCAGACCCGCAGCTCACGCCACACTCAGGGAGCCCAGCCCGGGCTGGCAGACCAGGCGGCAAAGCTGTCCTACGCCTCCGCCGAGTCGCTGGAGACCATGTCGGAGGCCGAGCTGCCCCTGGGCTTCAGCAGGATGAACCGCTTCCGACAGAGCCTGCCTCTCTCCCGCTCGGCCAGCCAGACCAAGCTGCGCTCCCCAGGTACTGCCCGCCCAGTCCACCCTCCCTCCCCACACAGGCTCCTCCCTCTGCTCTTCACTCCCTGGAGCCCCCTCCTCCCCTACAGCACGCCAGCTCGCCTCAAGCTCTGCTCTCTTTCCCACAGCCCCTTCTCCCCAAGCAACCCCAGCTCTCTCCATCTCTCTCTCGCCCTCAGCATCCCCACCCGACCCCTTTCCCTCCAAGCCTCCTCTCTCCCTCTTGCTTCCTTTTCTGTCCCTTTCTTTCATCCCTCCCTTCTCTCCCATCTCCCTTCTCTAACTCTCTCCAACCTCTCTCTCCCTCAGCTCACTTCCCCTCAGTTTCCGCCCCACCTGCTCTGCCCCCACTTCCATTTCCTTGTCCAAGTTCCTTCAACTGCCTGGAGTCCAGTGGGTGCCTTGAGAGGCTGGAGAGCCGGCCTGGCGCCCCCGCCGGCAGCATGAGAGGTGCCTGGGTGCATCTGCACTCGGGGGCGGCGTCTAGCCTCAGACCCTGCCGCTGCGGGGCTGGCGCAGCTCCGAAAAGCTCCCCGCGCTCTCCTGGAGGGCGGCGTGGAGACGGCAGCAGTGACAGCGAGGGCGGCGTCTCCTTCGCAGGGGTGCTGTTCCTGCAGTTCGGGGAGGAGACTCGGCGCGTGCACATCACGCACGAGGTCAGCAGCCTGGACACGCTGCACGCACTCATCGCGCACATGTTCCCGCAGAAGCTCACCATGGGCATGCTTAAGTCGCCCAATACCGCCATCCTCATCAAAGACGAGGCTCGCAACGTCTTCTACGAGCTGGAGGACGTCCGGTGGGCGTGGACCGGGGGGGATTTGGGTGGGCTTCCCCACGCTCCTCCTCTGCAGGGTGCTGGACCCCGCCGGCCCTTCCCCAGCTCCTTCCTGACCCGACCTCAGCCTTTCCCCTCCCCTCCCAGAGCCCTACCGCCCCGCCCCCTTCCTCGGCCATCTCAGCCCCCACCCCCTAAATCGTCCACCCCTGCTGGTTCCCTTTGCTTTGAGCTAACCTGAAAATGGCGCCGGAGGCCAGGAAGAGGCCGGGGTGGAGGCTGCTGGGCGTGTGTGCAGGCAGCCTGAGATGGGGCTCCCGGTGCCTCTGGCCACCCCTCTTCTCTAGGCCTGGAGTAGCCATCCCTTCTCATTGTGCACAGCTGGGGGATGGGTGGTGACCCCCGTCTCCCCGCCTCTCCCAGGGACATCCAGGACCGCAGTATTATCAAGATCTACAGAAAGGAGCCCCTCTACGCTGCCTTCCCTGGCTCACATCTCACCAACGGGGACCTCCGGGTATGGCTGGGCATGCCCAGGGCATTGGGGAGGCTGGGCACATGGGGTCCAGGGGAGCAGGGTCTGGGCAGTTGTCATCTGGAACCAGGGCCAGCTTTGGAGAAGACAGCATAGGGGCTGAGGGGTTAGGGAAGAGCCCCTGTCCCACCTGCCACTTTCCCCTCCATTCCGGGCCTGTCCACTCGGGATTTTGCTAACTTGCCTCCAGATATTCTAAGCCCTCTCTCAGGAGCCGGAGCCACCCCTTCCCCTTCTACTTCCCACCCCTCACGGTAGCTGAGCTGAGGGTTACCCCTCTGGTGCCTCTTCATCGGCCACCTTTTCCTCCATGCTAGGAACCCTGATGGGAAAGGGACCCTAGACGCAGCAGGATGGAGGGAGGGCAGAGAGCAGAAGGGACTTCCTAAGCGTCAGGGAGGAGATGCTGGCTCCTCAAGCAAGGGACAGGGGTGACCTTGGTGACCAGCCCCGTGGGGTTCCGGGCTGTCTTCTGCGCAGAGAGAGATGGTGTACGCATCGCGGGAGTCCTCGCCCACGCGGCGCCTCAACAACCTGTCACCAGCGCCGCACCTGGCATCCGGCTCGCCGCCGCCCGGGCTGCCGTCGGGGCTGCCGTCCGGGCTGCAGTCCGGTTCGCCGTCGCGTTCGCGCCTATCGTACGCCGGGGGGCGCCCGCCTTCGTACGCCGGCAGCCCGGTGCACCACGCGGCCGAGAGGCTGGGAGGCGCCCCGGCCGCCCAGGGCGTCAGCCCCAGCCCCAGCGCCATCCTGGAGCGGCGCGACGTGAAGCCGGACGAGGACCTGGCGAGCAAGGCGGGCGGCATGGTGCTGGTGAAAGGCGAGGGCCTCTATGCTGACCCCTACGGGCTGCTGCACGAGGGCCGTCTGAGCCTGGCCGCGGCCGCCGGCGACCCGTTCGCCTACCCGGGCGCCGGCGGCCTCTACAAGCGCGGCTCGGTGCGCTCGCTCAGCACCTACTCGGCCGCCGCGCTGCAGTCCGATCTGGAGGACTCCCTGTACAAGGCGGCGGGCGGCGGCGGCCCGCTGTACGGCGACGGCTACGGCTTCCGCCTGCCGCCTTCGTCACCGCAGAAGCTGGCCGACGTGGCAGCACCCCCCGGAGGTCCCCCGCCACCGCACAGCCCCTACTCGGGGCCGCCCAGCCGCGGCTCGCCAGTGCGCCAGTCCTTCCGCAAGGACTCGGGCTCCTCGTCCGTCTTTGCCGAGAGTCCTGGAGGGAAGACCCGCAGCGCGGGGAGCGCCTCGACGGCCGGAGCTCCCCCTTCGGAGCTCTTCCCTGGGCCTGGGGAACGCTCGCTGGTTGGGTTCGGGCCGCCAGTGCCAGCCAAGGACACGGAGACCAGGTGAGGGACGTTAACCAGGCCTCAGGGACTGGGGGTGGGGGGTGCGCTGCGGAGAGGGTTCACAGCAGAGTCCGTGGCAGGTGTGTGTCCTGGACTGAGATCCTGGAGTCCTTTGGAGACCTTGAGTAGTCTTGAAGGGTCGCCAGAGAGCATCTTGGATGTGGCAGAGAGGGCATTGGAGAGACCAGCTTGCCATTTTCCTCCCATCCGCAAGACTGGAGGGGGTGGTTGAGAGGTCCCCAGACGAGGACTCTGGAGACTTGGGTTTGCATCCATTTTCTAAGCCTCGGTTTCCCCAACTGTAAAATTGAGGGGCTGAACCACTTTTAGTGGCTTTCCAGCTTAAGAGTTTGCAGCAGTGAGAGCTGTCCAGCACCGGGACAGCTGAAGTCCACTGGGGAGGAGGGTGCTGTTGAAAAATGGTGACGAGGAAAGGAGCACATTCGGGTACCTAGCCTCCAGGCTGAGGAGCCCCTGCCCATCGCTCAGTCCCCTCCTAAGGGTGCAGGGCTGGAGGAGGTAACCAGGGCAGTAGGTAATCTGCACCCTCAGGCAGCGCTGCTGAGCAGTGAAGAGAAGCCATTGGCCTTCACACAGCTCTTACGTGGCCTGTGTGGCAGGCGCTGCACAGGGTACTGTCAATGCCAAGCTGAGCAAACCCAGTTCCTGTCCTGGTCTAGTGGGGAGACACTCAGCATACCTCCACTTCCCTTGGGTGGTATGGAAGGAGGCGTTCCTCGGGGCCCCTGGGGTCTGTGGAATGGTTTGGGGGAGGGGTCAGGAGAAAGGCAGAGCAGGCAGGGGAAAGCATTGCCAGGCATGGAGAGATCAGCGTGCAGCCTTTAGGGAGGGAATGAAAGGTGAGATGGGAGGCTGTGGGCTTGATCCTTAGGCATTGGGGCCCTTTGCGTTGTCTGTGTTTTGGCAGCCAGGGATGGGACGGTGTTTCTTCTGGTTACCAATCTTAGGAATGGGGGGCTGGGCAGGAGAGACCCTATGCTCAGAGGCGAGGTTGCCCAGACCCCCTTCCTCCCCAGGGAGCGCATGGAGGCCATGGAGAAGCAGATTGCCAGCCTCACAGGCCTGGTGCAGAGCGCCTTACTGCGAGGCTCTGAGCCTGAGACCCCCAGGTGAGGCCCCTCTCCCAACACCACTGCCAGGGCCTAGGGGTGGAGCAGGAGGAAGGGGAAATGGGCATCGGCTCTGCCAGTGTCTCACTGGGTGACCCTGGGTGAATCCCTTCCCTTCTCTGGGACTCCATCCTGAGATCGGAGAGCTGGAGGAGATGACATCCAAGGTTCCACCCAGCTCTGAAGGTCTGGGGCTGGCCTGGACCCCCTGATGGCTTTTTTCCCTGTGCCACAGCGAGAAGATTGAAGGCTCCAATGGAGCAGCCACCCCCTCAGCACGTGAGTGAACCTCCCCCTCCCCCATCCTTGTTCTCTCCGAGCCTGTTTTCTAATCTATAAAGTGGGGATTAAGCAATAGCTACATCACTGGCCTTAGCCCAAGAGGTCTTTTTCCTGGCACTTTGGTCCCCACCGTTAGGGCTGACCACTTGGGGCAGGTAGAGCCACGGGCTTCTCTGGCTACTGTGTGGGGTCGGAGAGTAGGGAGGACTTTGTCCCAGCCCAGTCCTTCCCAGGCTCACAGTTTGTTCACTTTCTCCCATCCTCGTGGTCCTCTGCAGCCTGTGGGTCAGGCGGCCGGAGCAGCGGGGCCACCCCGGTGTCCGGCCCGCCCCCGCCCTCGGCCAGCAGCACCCCCGCAGGTCAGCCTACCGCCGTTAGCCGGCTGCAGATGCAGCTTCACCTGCGAGGCCTGCAGAACAGCGCCAGTGACTTGCGCGGCCAGCTCCAGCAGTTGCGCAAGCTCCAGGTACCGCCCCGTCCTGGGCCCCGCCCCACCAACGCCCACCTACTGGTAGAAGTCCCTTGCCGCAAGTCCCGCCCCATCCCCTACTACCTCATCCTTTTCCCAGAGCTTCCACGCCCGAGTCCTTCGCCGCTCACTGGCCTCTCTCCGAACCCTTTCTCCCCTTCCCCTTTCTTGAGCTTCCGCTCCCTCGCTGAACCTCCACTTCCTCACCAAGGCCTTATCCCTCGCCCGTGACCCCCTCATTGAGCCCTCCTTCTCCTTCCCTGAGTCCCCATCGCCCTCCTGGAGCCCCAGTCACCCACTGAGCCCCTCCGTCGTCAGTATCCCTCGGGGCAGTTCCAGTTCCTTCCTGCCCTGCATCCCTTTCCCTGAGTCAGCGAGAGCCCTTCCCCCAAGTCCTCTCAGCTCCTCCCTCCTGAGCCCCAACAGTCTCCCCGGCCCTGCTTGGCAGATGGTCCCACCTGTCAGGAGCTTGGCATCGCCGAGTCCGCTCCTCAAGCAGGCCCAGGGGCCGTCAGGTGAGGATAATTAGCAGAGACAGGCTGGGGAGGGGGCAGAGAATTGCCATCTGGGCAACGGGTAAGATCTTGCCCACCCCCGCCATTCAGGCTTGGAACAGGGTTGGATCGATCATCAACTTAGTCTTCCTGTCCCAGCCATAGAAGCTCTATCAAATGCCAGCGCTTGAGTCCTTCATTCCAGTCCCGTCCCCATTCCGGGATGATGGAAGCCATAGCCATGCGGCCGCACTGTCGGCAGGGACCTACATAGGGCTACACCCTGTCCCGCAAATATTCCCAACCCCTTCTCCTGCCTCATATTCCCCAGAACTTAACCTTGCCCTCCTCCCCCTGCAATACCACCCCTGCTCGCGGCCACAGCCATGCAGCTCCCCCTTTGCATGGCCCATTTTAACGCTCCCCTCTCCACGATCCCCATCCGTTCTCCTCCTGCCTCTGTTCTTCCCCAGAACTTAGCCCTCTGCCCCTGCCCTTCGCCATCCCGCCCCTGCCCTTCGCCATCCCACCCCTTCGCTGCTGCCTGAGGCGGAGCCAAGCAGCCGCTTCTTCTGCAGAGCCCCGCCCTGGATTGGGCAGTCCTCTACCCGCCTTCTCCCGGCCCTTCCCCTGCCTCGCGGCTCCGCTCCCCCCACCCGGGTCCATCCGTCCGTGCGTCCCGCAGCTACAGAACCAGGAGTCGGTGCGCGCGCTGCTGAAGCGCACGGAGGCAGAGCTGAGCATGCGCGTGTCGGAGGCGGCGCGGCGGCAGGAGGACCCGCTGCAGCGGCAGCGCACCCTGGTGGAAGAGGAACGGCTGCGCTATCTCAACGACGAGGAGCTTATTACCCAGCAGCTCAAGTGAGGCTGGGCCCGCGGCGGAGGGAGGGGTGGGGGTGCGGCTGGAGTGACCCGCAACCTGGTTTCCCTGGGAGGCGCAGCTCCCTTCCCTCTGAGTCACAGGTGGCGTTGGTCTGTTCTGAAGCCTGATTTCATTCTCCTCTGGCCTGATTTCACTGTGACCCACAAACTTTTGACCGGCTGGCATTATTCCTGATTTCTTTTTTCTGGCTTGATGCCTGCTTTTGCTATGGTCTTGCTTCATAATGATCCACACTCAGGCTTCCTGTGGCCTGCAGCTTCACTGTCATGTGGCCAGCTGCCTGATTTCCCTCTGCCCTCTGCCTACTTTCATTTTGGCCTGTGACCCGTGCAAAGTGACCCTTGGGTAGTGAGTTCAGGTGCAGCGTTCAGGTGCCGTCACTGCTCCAGCCTGGCGCTGACCAGCCATCATTGGAGATCCGATTCCCTGATCTCTGAATCCAGATATAGCCAAGGAAAACCCACCTTCCTTCCTAGTGCAGCTGGAACAGGGCTGTAGTGTTTTCAGAAGGAAGGAGGAATCGCGAACACTGTGCCTCCGCATGCTTAGGCATGGAGGGGTTAACAGAAGACAGTCTTCTGATCCAAATTTAGCAAATGGCTGTCTGGCCAACCATTCCATTGTCTGGCACCTTTGAAGGGAGACGCTGCCTTTCAGTGTCCATTCAGGGAGTGAGCACCCACCCTGCTTTCCCTCGCCAGTGATAAGGATCTGAGACAGAGGCCCTGCTCCTTCCTTTGGGCCCTCTCTTGGTGACACAGGGCACTAGGGGACCTGGAGTCCAGTGCCAGCACTGAGAGGCTGAGTGATCAGGGCAGTTCCTGCCCCTCTCTGTGCCCCAGTGTCCTCATCTGTACCCAGCATTAAGTTTTTCACCTCTCTTTTCAACAAGGGGTTGAGTTGTACTGGCCAGTGACTCCGGGAGCCAGGAGAGGCTGCTCCTTGGAGCCCAGCTTCCTCACTAAGTCATAAATGAGCCTCTTGCGACGGGCTCCTTGAGATGGGTTGCTGCTCCTCAGCCTGAGGCCCACATAGCCTGGTGGTACATGTGCATTTTAGCAAGGCCCAAGGCAACAATTCCCATGACACCATGTGGCTGAAATAGGGTAAGGGGCCACCCCATCACTCTAGGTGTGATAACTTAGTGAGGACTCCAGCCAGATCTCCAAGCAGACTGGCAGGTGTCATCTCTCCTCACCCAGGGAATTCCATTTCTCCAGATTTTCTATCCTTTCCTTGTCCCTTTTCATTCAGCCCAGAGGAGGGGGGTTGGAATTTTCAAAAGCAACTTTACCGAGACATTAAAGGAAAATTAAAGGAGATCTAAAAGCACAGAGCCAGAAGATACGAAAGGAGAGATTTATGCTACCGTCATTATAAGTGTTTGGTCCTTGGCTCCCTGAAGGCCTTGGTTCTCCAGGAACACAGACTCCCCAACCCCTGCCCCATTATCAAACCCATTACTCAGAGAGCTTGGGACCTGCATTACTGTTTCTGGCAGGATTCTCCATCCTCCTGAAAGGGGACTCCTGCTTCTTCTGGGTTGGGCAGATACTGGGCTCCAACCTGGCCATGAAGGCCCTCCCTGCCCAGCTCCCATAGCCTTCCCAGGCTTTAACCCTGCAGCCCCCCTGCCCCACACTCTGGCTGTAGCTCGTGGTTACTCCAGGAGCTTACGCTTACTCTTGCTCCAATTTGCTATACCACTTCCTCTTTCCTGGCAACTTGCTGGAAGTTAAAACTGGTTCTGTTTCATTCAACTTGACTCACTCACCTGCCCATCTAGCCCAGCACTTAAGGTCTGTCTGGGCACTGCCTTTAGGTGCAGCCTCTGCTGACTGAGACCTTTTAGGTCCTGGAATCTACCTTTGCCTAACCCAGGTCCAGCTTTGTAGGTATGCCACGTGTGCGGTCACGCGGAGCCCCATGCTTGGAAGGGCCCCATGCTTGGTGTAATGCTCTGCTGTTGCCATCTTGAAATTCTTAATAATTTTTAAACTAGAGGTAACATTTTCATTTTGCATTGGGCCCCATAAATTATTTAGCTGGTTCCATTTTGACTCTCCCCTCTTGACCCCTCCAGGACTAAACCTGGGCTTGGAAAGCCTAGCCACATTTTAATCCAGTGTCTAGACTAGCTGGCCTGGGACTCATTTGCAGAGCTTGCCCAGGTTAGAGGCCCCCCAACTTTGGCAGATTGGGTGATCAGAACATCAAGTTGCCGATTGAGCTTAGGGAGGCCTAGTCTCTCCTGCCTAAGAATTGCAGTGTTGTCATCTCCTGGAAGCTTATTTGAGTCCTTTACATGAGAGTCTCTTCCCCCTCTGAGTGATGTTTGGGAGTGACCATTTTATAAAACTGGCACAGCCTGGACCAGTCAGGTGTTACACATATGAGCAGGGGAATTGTTCTTTCCCATGTGGTAGAGCGAGGGCTGGGCTAGGACAGTGTATGGATTGGGGGCAGCGTGGCTGATGTTGGTCTAGTGTGAAAATGAGATGCAGCAGAACCAATGGCTGATGTCAGATGTGAGTAGATCCCGCTTTGCTGCAAAATAGCTGTATGACCTTGAACTAACTAGTTAATCTCTTTGAATATCTGAATATCTTTTTTTCCTTTTTTTAAAATGCCAGAGTCTTAGGATAGCTAATTAATTAGGGTAGCTTCCTATAACAAATAAGCTCCCAAATTGTTTAATAATTCAAAAGTAATAAACATATCTTTCTCATGGAACAGTATTGGGTGGGTTAGGCGGGTGGCTCTTCTCCATGCAGTCATTCAGGGACCCAGGCTGATGGAGGTTCTGCCGTCTTCAACATGTGTTTTCCAAGATCACCCAGAGAGTTTCCAACCAATGGAAAAGGAGAAAGGAGCATGGAGGACCTTACATGGGAGGTTTTTGTGAGCCAGGTCTGGAAGCAGCATGTATCCCTTCCACTCATCTTCCATTGGGTAGACTTCAGTTAAATGGCCACTTATCATTGCAAGGGAGGCTGGGATGTGTAGTCTAGGCTCTGAGCCACTGTTTGTCTGTGTATAAGCTGGAGATAATAACTGTTCCCACCTCCAGGATTTGTTTTGAGGGTTAATTAAAGTAATGAAAGCCAAGGCCTGAGTGTGGCACCTGGCATACAGTAAGTGCGTAATACAGGATAGCTCTTTAACTGGTAGTGTTGCTGAGTCACAAGCTTTTGCCCTTGACTTCAACCCAGTCTGTCTTTTCACCTGCTAGTTGGATGAAGATGTGTAAGGCGTGCTGATAAGATTTGCTGATGACACAGAGCTTTAAGGGGGAGCAAATCTGTTGGATGGTAGAACTGAAATTCAAAAGTTGTTTGCCCCTGGATTGAGCTGAAATCCAACAATGGGATTTGACAGGAATATATATAAAGTCCCGCATGTGAGTCAGGGATGTCAGCGACTCAAGTACAGAACTGAGATGACTTACCTGGGCAGCAGTTCCTTCTCTCCCTTGTTCATTCATTCCACAATTATTTCCCAGACATCTACTCTGCACCAGGCACCATGCCAGGTGCTAGAAACCGGAGATGAATCTGGAAGACATGGTCTTTGCCTGCCTGGGGTTAGTAGTCCAGAAGGCTGCACAACCCAGCCAACAGGAGCTTCAGCGGTTTGGAGGGCAGGAAGCAGACCCAACAGCCGCAAGGGGAGGGGCTGGAGGACAGCTTCCCACTGAGACCTGAGGATCAGTGGGAGTTAGCACGTGTGTGTGCCTGTATGTGTATGGGTGAATGGAATATTCTAGGCAGAGAAAACAGCATTATAAAGAGCCAGAGAGGACAGCACATGTAGCACCTCAGAGCAGGTCTGAAGGGCTCTAAGCAGAAGCCAGATGAGATGAGGGTTACAGCAGCACGGAAAACAAGAGCAGTTCCCAGGCACTGAGCCCTTTGCCGCGTGCTTTCCTGTCTTCATTAGCTCATCCAATCCACCTGATGGCCCCCATGAAGGGGGAACTCTTTTTTTTTTTTTTGAGACAGAGTCCCACTCTGTTCCCCAGGCTGGAGTGCAGTGGCATGATCTCGGCCCACTGCAACCTCCGCCTCCTGGGTTCAAGCGATTCTCCTGCCTCAGCCTCCCAAGTAGCTGGGATTACAGCCGCACGCCACCATGGCCAGCAAATTTTTGTATATTTAGTAAAGACAGGGTTTCGCCATATTGGCCAGTTGGTCTCGAACCCCTGACCTCAGGTGATCAGCCCACCTCGGCCTCCCAAAGTGCTGAGGTTATAGGCTTGAACCACCATGCCTAGCGGGGAGCTCTTACCATCCCTATTTTTTGGACGAGGAGGTTGAAGTCCAGAGATATTAGGTAACTTGCCCAAGATCTCTCCTCTGGCAAGGGCAGAGTGAGGATTGGAGCTTGGATCAGTCTGACTCTAGAACCAAGTTTTCAACTACCACCTTCCTGCCCTTCTTGGCTGCATTGAAAAGTTTGGATGTTAGGCCTCAGGATGATGGGATCCATTTAGCGTTCAATGGCACAAGTGAAGACCTGATCTGATTTACAATTTAGAAGAATGTAGGGTCTCAAATGACACAAGTTCAGCATATAGTAGCTGAAAATCTAACTCAGCTTTGGCCCTCAGGAAAGAGGCTGTGTGGCTGGATCATGTGAGAGAAGGGCAATGGACATGGCAGTTTCCCCCGAGACAAGAGACCTCCCCGGGGGCACGTGCTCTGCCTCTGGTTCTTTGAAAGGCAACTAAGTTCTCTCTGCTTCCTTGGCAGAATAGAATCAGGGGATGCAAGTTACAATGAGAGATACTCGGGCAGATATTGCTGAGGGTCAGAGCTTCCAAGGGGGCAGATGGTGCAGGGCACCTCTTAGGGAGCGCTTCTGAAGTCTCCTCATCTCTGAGATTTGGCGTTGCAGATTTTACTTGAGTATGTGGCCTGATGGCTGGCTTTTATGTTTGTATGCTTTTGAGACAAGGTCTCCCTCTGTCACTCAGGCTAGAGTGCAGTGGCACAATCACGGCTCACTGCAGCCTCAACCTCCTGGGCTCAAGTGATTCCCCCTGCCTTAGCCTCCCGAGTAGCTGGGACTACAGGCACCTGCCACTACATCCAGCTAATTATTTTATTTTTTTGTAGTGATGAGGTCTCCCTATGTTGCCCAGGATGGTCTTGAACTCCTGGGCTCAAGTGATCCGCCTGCCTCAGCCTCCCAAAGTACTGAGATTACGGGCGTGAGCCACGGTGCCCAGCCTCCTGCTTTTACTTTCGATCCAACTGGTGGCCTGATTTCTTTCCAGTTGCCCAATTTCAGGGGGCTGGGCTGGCATCTCAGGCCAAAAGGGCTGAAAGGGTCTCTCTGTGGCTGCAGTGACCTGGAGAAATCGGTGGAGAAGATCCAGAGAGACGTGTCCCACAACCACCGGCTGGTGCCCGGCCCTGAGCTGGAGGAGAAGGCACTGGTGCTGAAGCAGCTCGGGGAGACGCTGACAGAGCTCAAGGGTGGGTCTGGGGCCTGCGAATGCAGCACGTTGTTCAGGGTGGGGAAGTCTGCCATACTCCAGCCACCATCCTCTCCTCCCAGTCTGTGGTGCTCCCTCTGGCCCCAGCTCATGCCTTCCTGTCTCCTCAGCTCACTTCCCGGGCCTGCAGAGCAAGATGCGGGTGGTGCTGCGCGTGGAGGTGGAGGCGGTGAAGTTCCTGAAGGAGGAGCCCCAGCGCCTGGATGGGCTCCTCAAGCGCTGCCGCGGGGTCACGGACACGCTGGCCCAGATCCGAAGGTCATTCTGTCCCTGACCTCTGATTTCCCATGGGTTCACACACCGGGCCCAGACCCATAGGTCATACTGAACCCTTACCCCAACTCCCCCAAAGGTCACTGGCGTGCCGACTGGACTGGCACCTCAGCTCTGCCCTGTGACCCCTGCATGCTGTAGACCTGGCTTCCTCTTATACCAGGGGCAGTCACTCCTCCCCAGGCCCTCCCACAGCATCCCAGAGCCTGCCTCCCACCCCACCTCCCTCAGAGCAGCCTTCCTGCAGAAGGGTCACCACCTGCTGGCCTCACAGCTGCTCCCAACTCTCCCAACCCCAGGCAAGTGGATGAGGGTGTGTGGCCACCCCCCAACAATCTCCTGAGTCAGTCCCCCAAGAAGGTGACGGCAGAGACTGACTTCAACAAGAGCGTGGACTTCGAAATGCCACCCCCCAGCCCCCCGCTGAACCTGCATGAGCTGAGCGGGCCAGCTGAAGGAGCCTCTCTTACCCCCAAGGGGGGCAACCCCACCAAAGGCCTGGACACTCCTGGCAAGAGAAGCGTGGACAAAGCTGTGTCTGTTGAGGTGCTGGGGCCAGGGATTGTGGGTGGGGCCATGAGCCAGGTTCACACATTCTTACGACCATCCTTCCTAGAGTGGGGAGTGCCAATCCTGTGGGTCTTTTTCCTTGGGGGAGGAGGGCCAGTGCCCTAATGGAAGCCTAAGAAGCATAATGAGGGTGACATTAGCCCTCCTAGACAGAAAGCGTATTATAAAGCTACAATAATCAAAGCAGTATGATGTTTGCCCAAGAATAGACTATGTAGTCAGTGAAACAATAGAATGCCCAGAAATAGATCTAAGTTTATCACGAATGTAGTATATAATGAGGGTGGCATTCCTACCCATGGGGATGCCATGTGATACCCACGAGAAGTCAAAGTGTCTTCCTGGAGGTGGGATCAAATATGAGGCTTCGTTTTCTATTCCTTGCCTACGTGGCTTGGGGGAGGAGGCTGAGGCCCCAGAGGTCCTGGAGCAGGAGAGCTACCTCAATCCTGACTCCTGGCTCCCTGTTAAGGCTGCAGAGCGAGACTGGGAGGAGAAGCGGGCAGCCCTGACCCAGTACAGTGCCAAGGACATCAACCGGCTGCTGGAAGAGACACAGGCAGAGCTGCTCAAGGCCATCCCTGACCTGGACTGTGCCAGCAAGGCCCATCCAGGCCCGGCCCCCACTCCAGATCACAAGCCCCCCAAGGCCCCCCACGGCCAGAAGGCAGCCCCCCGAACGGAGCCCAGTGGGAGGAGGGGCTCAGGTATGGGGAGTAGTAGGGCTGGTAAGGAGCCCAGCGTGGGGGAGTGCCCTCCTCAGGAGCCCAGGCTGATGGGGGAGGCACTGGGATCTCAAGATCATTGTGGTTGGGCTGCCACACAAGGGAGGCCCTGGGACATCGGCTGCCACTAAAGGGAGACTGGGACCCAGAAGGACAGGGCAAGCTGGACTCCATCCCGGCATTTCCCACTGTCCTGGGAAGGGAGCCACTGAGAGGACCAGGCAGGGAGCAAGTCCAGGCAGAGTCATCCGCCTCCACGGCTTGGCTGGGCGCATGCCCCAAACCAGGCTGTGTTGAGGGCGGGTTGAGCGCTGATACTGCTGATACTGACACAGTTCCCATGGTCCCCAGCCTGAGTCACGGTCCCGGGAGTGGCAGAAATCCAGACCAGAAGTGGCAGTCATCATTCCTTCATTTTATTCATTCCTGCAATGCATATTGGTTAAGTACCTACTGTGTGCTAGGTGCTGGAGATACGGAAATAAGACAGGGCTTGCTTTAAAAGAGCTCAAAATTTAGTGGGGGGAATAACACTGACATTTGTGTTTATCAAGCACTTACTCTGTGATAAGAACTGTTCCATTGCTTTTAATGTAGTCATCCTTATAATTTTATTTTTATTTTTTATTTATTTATTGTTTTTGAGACGGGGTCTGTCTCTGTCGCCCAGGCTGGAGTGCAGTGGCGCTATCTTGGCTCACTACAAGCTCCGCCTCCTGGGTTCTCGCCATTCTCCTGCCTCAGCCTCCCGAGTAGCTGGGACTACAGGCGCCTGCACCACGCCCGGCTAATTTTTTTGTATTTTTAGTAGAGATGGGGTCTCACCGTGTTAGCCAGGATGGTCTCGATCTCCTGACCTCGTGATCCGCCCACCTTGGCCTCCCAAAGTGCTGGGATTACAGACTTGAGCCACCACGCCTGGCCTCATCCTTATAATTGTATAACAAGCTCAGGAGGCAGACACGGTAGTTATTCCCATTTTACAGAGAAGGACATAGGCTCAAAATGATTAAGAAATCTGTGCCGGACCATGCCTAGTATGTAAACCAGAAATAGAATGCAAGTGCTAAATGTAATAGCAGAGGTGAATGCCGGTACTGTGCAGTCCTGGCGGAGGCCCTAGGAGGGCAGGAAGGCTTCCCTAAAGATGTGACTTTTCACTGAAATCTTGCAAATGAGTGGGCACTTCCCTAGCTAGTGAGAGCGGGTACTCCAGGGTGAGGGAACAGCGTGTGCAAACGCCTGAAGGTGTGTGTGTGGCATGGCCTGAACAGGGTCCAGCCTGGGGAGCAGCAAGCAGAGCTGAGGCTGAAAGCTTGGCAGGTGCAGAGGTGCTGGCCTAAGGAGCTTGGACATGGTTTGGGGTGATGGGGAGCCACTGCAAGATCAAAGGCAGGGGAATGGCTAGAGTGACCTCTCTGCAGGTTACCCCGGAAGCAGGGCTGGAGGACAAATTGGGGGAGAGGAGAGCCCAGTGGGAGGGGCCAGGATCCCTGGAGGAGAGATGGAGAGCTGAGCCGAGGCAAGGGTGAGGGGCAGTGGGAAGGAGGTGGTTAGAGCAGCGCCTCTCTAACTTGAATGTGTGTCCGTCACCTCAGGATCTGTTCAACCAGATCCTGGTTTAGCAGCCCAGAGGTGGGGCCTGAGCTGCAGTTCTGACAAGCTGCCAGGCGCTGCCAGTGCTGCTGGTCCACAGACAACACTTGGAGTAGCAAGAGTGCTGTCAGGAGAGGGACAGGGCTTGGGGCTTGTGTGCAGGAGAGGTAAGAGAAGGAGGGGCCCTGTGTTCTTGCCCCCAGGCTTTCCTCTCACCTCCTCCTGGTCCTCCCTGGAGGAAGAAGCAAGGTTTATCCCCTTCAAGTTAGATGTAGTGCACTGACTCCAAGGTTGCAGGCCTGCTGACCCCCAGCCCCTTGGTGCCTGCAGATGAGTTGACCGTGCCCCGATACCGCACAGAGAAGCCCTCCAAGTCGCCCCCACCGCCCCCTCCCCGCCGGAGCTTCCCCTCCTCCCATGGCCTGACCACCACACGTACCGGAGAGGTGGTGGTCACCAGCAAGAAGGACTCGGCCTTCATCAAGGTACCACTCCCACCTCAGACAGAGGGCCAGGGGACTGAGTTAGGATGAAGCCTCAGATGACTTCTGGAGGCCCTCTGGGGTGGGAAAGAGACCCCTTTCTCAGAGAACATGGAAGGAAAGAGGGAGTGGCCGGTGGCGACTTTGTCCTGCTAGTTTGGGATTCTAGGTATGTGTATTTGCCTTAATTCCATGCCAGGCCCCTGTCTGTTGAGGGACACCCTGGCAGGGGTGTAGCAGCAGAAGTAGCAGACGAGAAGCTGGGGTACATGGGCGATGGGGCCTGGGAGGTGAGCTGGTGCTGAAGTGGGGCAGAGCCTGGCCTTGACAGGAGTCCCGGGCCTTGCAGAAGGCTGAGTCCGAGGAGCTGGAGGTGCAGAAGCCCCAGGTGAAGCTGCGCCGGGCTGTGTCTGAGGTGGCCCGCCCAGCCTCCACACCACCCATCATGGCCTCGGCCATCAAGGACGAGGATGACGAGGATCGCATCATCGCAGAGCTAGAGGTAGGTCAGGGCACACCTGGCCCCCAAGGTCTCAGCCAGGCCCCCTTCCCTCCCAGGCTGCCCCCCAGGCCAGGTGACAGGATGAGGCAGAAGATGGGCTCTCGGGCTCCCTGCGGAGCGCTGGCTGTTCAGACCCCAGCCTTTTGCCTCCATTTCTTCTCCACTGTGAAATGAGGGGTGGGGGTCTAAAGTCTTCTCTCCTTGCAGGTTTGAGTTTTTTAACTATAGTCTCTGAGTCCCCCCAAGTATCCCCAGACCTCCTGCACTCTGAAAGTCCCGTATCCGAAGATTCTGAGATCACCGAGTTTGGAGATCCCCATCCCCCAGTGTTCTGAGATCAGCTCATGCTTGAGACCCCCATACTTGAGTATTCTGAGGACGGAGCTCTGAGACTCTCATACCCCATGCCTCGACTCTCCCAGCAGTGTCAGTCACCACACTCAAGCGTTCTCAGCCACCCCCAGCTCCAGTGCGGGAGACCTGGACTACCAGGGCTCTGAGGTGACCAGATGAGGGCAGAGAGGGCTGGCGGCTATGGCAAGGGACCAAGGGGTGAGGCTGGGGGCCGATGCCATCCCAGGCCACCCTCCCCAAGGGTGCCGGGGCCACAGGCCAGCACCCCCATCCTCCCTAGTGCCCCCTCCTCCAAACCTGCCCCCACCTTCTGCTCCCCAGGTGTTTGAGAGAAGCTCAGTGTCTTCCCTCCCCCCCACGCCCCGCCGCCAGCTGATCCCCACCTTGCTGTCCCCCCAGGACCTGGGGCCCCCCGGGGGCTCAGCCCCAGGCCCTACACGGAAGGTAACGGGGCTGCTGCCACTTCTCACAGCTCTCTCTCTGCCTGTGCCCCCACAGCTTCCTCTCCTCACCTCCCACGCTAACCCGCTAAAACGCCAGTCACCATCCCAAGTCCCACCATGGCCACAGCCACTGCCACAGCATTACATGTGGACTCACCCCTCCCCCACTCCAAGGACAGGCGCATAACCCTTCCTCCCCGCTGCTTGCTGGGGGGCTCCCTGAGACTCCAGCAGCCTGGGTGTCTGGTGGCCCCTTGTGTCTGCATTTTCTCACGGGCTTGCTGATGGAGGCCTGAGTATTTTGTTCTGGTTCGCAGTTTGAGCTTAGGTCTGGCCCGAAGGCTGAGTGTGGCCAAGATTGGAGTTTGGATCTTGCTCACAAGATGACTTTGGATCCAGCTCAAAATCTGACCTTGTCCTGAGCCCTTGCCTAGCCCCCACCTCCATCTTCGCTGCTCTGCTGCCTGTGCCGGGGAGGGGCTCTGTTTTTCCCCTAGAATCTATGCCTTGCGCTGGGGGCCAGGACACCACAGGGGTAGGCTCGTCTACAGCCTCACTAGCCCAAGGGCCTACGATGCCCTCTTGGACAGAGAGCCTGGAATGGAAGAAAGCTATGCCATTCCTTGGCTGCTGGTTCTTTTGGCATTGGGAAATTCTTCCTTCTCTCTAATGTCAGTCCTTGCTGCTGTCCTGCTGCACTTATTTCCTCTTTATTCTTTCCTGGGAATTTGGGGGTGAACCTGCTGTCTGCACCCTACCCCTGGGGACTGTGCTTGGGGAGGAGGGGAGGGGGAAGGTCTGGGAATCTCTCTCTCTCTGCCAGGTCAGGTTGAGGCAGGGGGGCCTCCGCTCTGGAGAAGGAGAGCCTCCCGTGTGCACACACTCCCTATCTGGGGCTCCCTGGCCCACAGTGGGCTCTGTGCTGGTGGCCACCTGATTTCTGGCCTGGCTGGAGGCCTGTTGGCGCTTTGGTTTCCTGGCGGGGGAGGAGCAGAGGGGCATCAGATAGTGGACAGTGCCTTCTGCTGGGCAGAGGATGGGCACAGAGCAGTGCGAGGAACCTCTAGGATGAGCTGTATGGAAGGGGCGCCTCCTGGGCTGGCCATGCCCTTGGCACTTTGGCCCCTCCCATCCAAGCCCTGCCCCTTTCCGGCTCTGGGAGCCCATCCTGAGGGGCCCAGTGGACAAGGCCTTTTGCCCCTGGCCGACCCTCTGCATCCTGCGGCAGCATCGGGCAACGGAGCCGGGCGAGCGTGAGGTTGCCCTCTCTGCCTTCCCAGTCAGCACCCCCCACTTCCAGGTAAGCAGGTGGCAAGGCTGGGTGGGTTCCTTTGGGAGGGGGTGGTTGGGGGTCCCTGCTGCCCCCTCCCATCTCCCCACGGCTCCCTTTAGTGGAAGGAGCACTGGCCTTGGAGTCAGACTACCTGGGTTCAAATCCAGGCTCTGCCACTAACTAGCTGTGGGTGGGTGGCCTTGGGTGAAGTGTGTTACCTCCCTCGCCCTGGTGAGAGCAGCAGTCACTTCCCGGGTTAAGGTAGGCACTGAAGGTGAGGAAGGGTGTGACGGCACCTGGCACAAGCCTGGTGCTCAGAGTTAGACCAGGATTCACTCACATCGGGGAGTGGTACTTGGGGCTTCCCTCTGTGCCCTCACCGAGGCCAGGGCCAGGGATGCTGGCACCGGAGCAGGTGCCCAAGGGAGCTTTGCCCGAGTGTGTGTGCCACAGAGGATTTGTCAGGGGGCAAGCCCCACCCCTTCTAGCTGTGAAGCTCTTGGGGAGAGCACACAAAGTTGGGGTAGACCAGAAGTCTCTGGTTTGAGATGCCAGAGGCTGACATGTTGTCTCTGCCCACATGGGGCCAAAGGTCTCGGCCATTCCATTCATTTCAACAAATAGCTAATATTTATGAAGCACTCACAACATGCCCAGCGAGCTCACTTCATCCTCCACCGGCCCCACCTTGGTGTCGAGTCATTGCACAGATGGGCACGCTCATGGGAACAACCCTGAGCCCGGCTCCCAGAGGCTCACATGGGTGGTGTAAAGTAAATGTGTGCCTGCCCTGGCCAAACCGGCACCTTTACTGGCAAGTAGGAGGCCACAGGGTATGGTGGGAAAGACCTGAATTCTGGTCCCAATTTTGCCTCCAACTTACTGGGTAGCCTCTGTCAGGACCCTCCCTGCCTCAGTTTTCCCATCTGTAAAAGAAAGGGGCTAGGCTCACCTAACTGTAACACCCATTTTAGCTTGGGGTTTGGTTGTAGGAATCACACTCTTCCTCATCTTCCTTCTCCCGGCAGGCTGCCCCAGGTCCCAGGGCCTTCTGCGTCCCAAGGATCATCTTGACAGAGTGTGCCCCCAACCCTCCCTCCCCGCCAGAGGCCAGACTTGAGGAACTGGGACCCAGGACAGCTCCCACCCCAAGACCTCAGACCCTGGCTGACAGCACGAGGGGCTGGGATGGCCCACAGTCCCCACCAGGGGTAGTGGGGGAGACTTCTGGGCCGAGGAGCAGCTTCATGCCCCGGAAGGAGGGGGCAGCTCTGAAGAGACTGGGTGGAGGAGGCAGCAGCCTAGAGGATGGAGGAGCCAGAGTACAGTGTCCTCAGGGACCAGCCCAGGATGGGACTCCAGAGACCTCTACTGCTGACACCTACCCAGAGGAGATCCTCAAGGACTCTGGACATGATGCCCAAACCTGCAGTAGGGAGCATCAGGGCCAGGCTGCTGCCAACTCAGGCCGCACCACGTGGGGCGCCACTGCCCAGCAGATGGACAGCTTGGAGGAGACGCTCCGGGAGCTGGAAGCCACCCTGAGCAACATGGGCACAGGCCCTGCCATGGGGTCCCCTGGCAGCCCCCCACCCCTACCCCTCCGCCCCCAGGTGGCTGCCCGCTTTTCATCCTCCTCTGCTGCCTTCCTCCTCCATTTCCAGAGTCAGACAGAGTAGGGGGCAGCAGAAATGCCAGGCCAGCCCCCTCCTCCCACCGGCCTTCTCTCAGCTCTTACCACTCTCCTGGGAGCCTGGTGCCAGAGCAGGGTTTGCAGGCAGAGTCCGGGGGAGGCTGGGAAGCCGGCCTACCCAGGGGCCGGCCAATCCCCAGCCTTGGCAAGAACCAGGGCCTCCCGCTTCTGCTCTGTATCTGTAAACCAACAAATAAAGTTCTCTCCCCACCTTCCATCCCCATGCTCCCCTCCCCTTCCTGTCTCTGATTCTCTGTCTCTGTCATCTCTCTGCTTGCGCCTCTGGATCCCCAGTGCCCCGCGGGCAGGCCTGGTACTTGGGGAGGTTCATGGGAGCCAAGCTTGCCCATCCCTAGGGAGACCTCACCTGCATCCTCCCCTTAGGAGGAGGATGTGGGCCTGGGGCTGCCCCTCTGCTCTGTGTGCCATTATAGAGAGCCCCTTGCTGGCATGTGCACCCAGGTCCAGATGGTGCCCCTTGCCGGGAGTGGGGTTGCTGCTGGGGACCCTCACTTTAGCAGAGGCTCCCCAAGGAGGGCATCAGCTGCCCCTGAGCTACTCAAGGAAGCCACCGAAGAGCTCTCCCTCAAGAGCCGTTGGGAAACTGGCTTGGGCCCCACCCCTCTCCTGCAGGGAGACCATAAGTGGGGACTGAGAGGGTGGACCTGGGTTCTGGACTCGGGTGTGGAGCTAGAGAGGGGTCTCCAGGTCTCAAAGGGCCCCACTGAGGAGGTCCCAGCCCCGAGACCCCACCCAGTGCTAGGGTTCCTGTGTGATTCACCCCATGTGGACTCTGCAACTGCAACCCTGTTCCTCTTCCTGCAGAGTGGCGGAGGCAGTGTACCACCCATGAAGGTGGTGACTCCGGGGGCCTCTCGGCTGAAGGCGGCCCAGGGCCAGGCGGGCAGCCCCGACAAAAGCAAACATGGCAAGCAGAGGGCCGAGTACATGCGGATCCAGGCCCAGCAGCAGGTGAGGGCGGGGACTGTGGGGGCCACCCAGGCCCACTCTGCTGCATGCCGGGCCCCTGCCCCACTGGGCATCTCCTGCCCCTGCTCCCGTGACCAGCTTTCCCAACCTCTTCCCAGACAGACCTTCCCTGCCAGGACTGCCCCACCCACCCCCTGAACCGTCTTCTCCCTCCTCCTCCCGATCCCGGAGCTTTGGATCTAGATTAGCACATGAGTTCTCAACCAGGCACCTCCCCTCTCAGGAGTTCCCTCACTCAGACACAGAGAAGACTCTCCAGCTGCCACTGCTGGCTCCTGGAGGAGGGGCGAGCGAGCGAGTTTGTGACTCCAGCAGCCCCAACGCCTGGGTCCCTTCTCAGGCCTGGCCTACCCTGGGGTGCAGAAGGGGGATTTTGTGGCCCTCTGCTTCCTGCCACTCTGTTTCTCTCTCCGCTTCCCTCTCCCTCTTCCCAGGGCTCCGCCTGCTATTCAGGGCCCCACTCTCATCCTGGTCTCCCTCTTAGCTCTTAGGCCACCCCTAGCCAAGGGAGAAGCCAACTTTGCATCTGCTTTTCAGCCTTGTGTTTGGGTTTCAGTGGGGTCACCTCCCGTCTTTGCAAGGTTGGGTGGGGACAGGGCGAGGCACTTTGGCCCTCAGGAAGGGTAGGGGTGCAGCAGGAATTGCAGGGATGCCGCAATCTCTTTCAGGTCTAATGAGCAGGCGCGGAGGCTGTGTGGAGAGTGGACATACCTCACCTGTGGGTGTTTACTGCCCTTGTGGCCTGGTCAGAGGCTGCAGGGTGGCTCCTGGACCCAGATGTTGTGAGAGACCCTTAGTGCACTCGTTTGATTTAGTTAATATTTATGAGCAGCTCCTGTATGACAGGCCCATTCTGGGTGTGAGGGTGGGGGCTGTGATATGTCCAGATGCTCTCACTTAAAGAAGGTTCTAGACTCAGAGGCAAGACGTTAGAGAAGGTTCTAGACTCAGAGGCAAGAGGTTAGAGATGGGTGAGTCCATCTCTTTTTCAGATGAGGGGGCAGCTCAGAGGAGGAGAGGGGCTTCCCAAAGGTGCACAGCAAGGTGGCATCACAGCCAGGATCGGGACCTAGGAATCTTGGAACCCTTCCCTGCACTGGCCCTGGGACAGCCCTGGGCACCCAAGGCCCTGCCTCCCTACTGGCTCCCAGGAGAATTTCTCAAAAAGCAGCCCTCCAGCCCCCCGCAGCCTCTCCACAGCTCCCACCTGCCTCCTCATGGCCCCCAGACACCCTGCGAGCCCCACCTCCAGATCTTTTTCCTGCCACTGCCAGGGATGAGTTCCCCTTGTCCTGTCCGGGCTGGACCCTCCTGGGTGCCCAGCAGAGCAGCTGACACTGACAGAGCTTTCGCTGGGGCCAGGCATGCGCATTATCTCATCTCACACTCACCACACTGAGGAAGGTCTATTACCCCCATGTGACGGGGGCGGAAACTGAGGCTTAATCCAAGGCCACACGGCTAGCAAGTGGGGGGCAGGACACAAGTCCAGACTGCCTCCCTCCCCACCACAAAGTGCTTCAGCCTCTCCAGCAGCCCCTTCCCTCAGCTCTAATGATGTTGCACTGTTTCCCACCCTAGTCCCTCCCTCCCCAGAGCCCAGCTCCTCCGCTGTGGTGTCAGCCTCATGCCTTTATGGCCCAGCCTCCACCCCATCTCCGGGGTTGCCTGGGTCTCCAGTGACATCGAGATGGGCTCTTTTCACCCCCCTCCCCCACTGCTCTGCAGCATGTGGCCTTGTAGACCCCCCCCACACCTGCATAGGGCTGTGCAGACCCTCTGTTCCTCAGCATCCTCTCCCCAGCCTCCACCTGGAGCCTCTGGGCTCCTTTCTGGGTGACTCCCTCTATTTTTTGAGACGGAGTCTTGCTCTGTCTCCCAGGCTGGAGTCCAGTGGTGTGATCTCAGCTCACTGCAGCCTCCGCCTCCTGGGTTCAAGTGATTCTCGTGCCTCAGCCTCCCGAGCAGCTGAGACTACAGGCTAATTACCACACTGGCTAATTTTTGTATTTTTAGTAGAGACGGGGTTTCACCATGTTGGCCAGGCTGGTCTCAAACTCCTGAGCTCAGGTGATCCTCCCACCTCAGCCTCCCAAAGTGCTGGGATTACAGGCGTGAGCCATTGCACCCTGCCTGGGCGACTCTCCTTTGCCTGCCTCTTCCCTTCCTGTGCCCCACTCCTCAGCCTCTTCTCCTCACACCATGCCTTCCTCTCCTCAGGCACCAGGTGCACTGCTTAGTCCCTGCCCCCACCCAGGTCTCCATTCTGAGCTCCAGTCACCCACACACGCTTCCCCGGGCATCCCCAGGCTCCTCGAATGCGTGTGTCCAGACATAATGCTCCCCCGACCACGCTGCCCCAGCCGGTACGAGGCTGCCCCAGCTGCTGTCTCCCTCAGGAAGGGTCGCCCACCCCCAGCCTTCCCAAGCCCCTCCGTGCCCCTGTCTCACTTCCAGTGCTCCAGTAGCCTTTCTTATAAACATGGCTTCTTTCTTGTAAAGTAATAAATGTTTACAGTGGAAATTTTATTTTATTTTATTTTATTTTATTTTATTTTATTTTTTTGAGGCAGGGTCTCACACTGTCACCCGGGCTGGAGTGCAATGGTGCGATCCCAGCTCACTGCAACCTCTGCCTCCTGGGTTCAAGGGATTCTCCTGTCTCAGCCTCCCGAGTAGCTGGGATTACAGGCGCCCACCACCAAGCCTGGCTAAATTTTTGCATTTTTAGTAGAGATGGGGTTTCACCATATTGGCCAGACTGGTCTTGAACTCCTGACCTCGTGATCCACCCGCCTCAGCCTTCCAAACTGCTGGGATTACAGGTGTGAGCCACCGCCACCAGCCTCCCTGTGGAAATTTTCAACAGTAAAGTATAGAGAAGCAGGGGAAAACCATCGATGTCTCACTACCAACATGCACGGTCTTCTAAGATCTCCTTGTGACTTCTGTCACCTCTAACTGATTTCCCAAGACCTGGGGGTGGGGAGGGAACTTTGTAAAATGCAGATTTGATTGTCTCTGTGTGTGTCACACACACACACACACACACACACACACACACCCCTGCCAGCTTAAAATCCCTGCCCCGGCCCCTGGCAGATGATCAACCCAAATCCTTCATGTGCGGCCCAGGGCCCTTCACAGCAGCCTCAGCTCACCCTGCCCCTGCACCCACACCCTCGGTGTGCTCCAGCCATGCGGGTCACTGGTGGGACACGATCCACACTAGCTCAGCCTGTGGCCTTGGTCAAAGCCCTCTGTCTTCTCAGGCCCTTTCTTCGTCTGTACAATGGGGACAGAAGTATCCAGCCTGGTCCTGAGCTCACATAATGCCAGGTACAGGAGAGAGCTTGGAACACCACAGTGAGCTCTACGGTGGCCGGCGGGGGTGGGGATTGGGGGGGCGGTGCCCAAGGCCTCTCCTTCATCCAGTGAGTCCAAGCTGTCTTTGATAATGTTGAGATGGAGGGGACTAGAAGTGCTGGGATCAGGGACACAGAAATTGGGAGTAAGAAAGTTCTAAGATGGAGGTGCCTTGCAGCAGTGCCTGACCCCACAGAGTAGTCAGAGGAAGTGACTGAGGAGAAGCCCGTGAATGTTGTGCTTAAGATCCCAGGGAGGGACGGGAGCCAGGTTCCCAGGCGTGCAAGGATCAAGGCTTTGTGTAGACCTGAAGCTATGGACACCCCCTCTTCTATTAGGGCTAAGAAATTTGCTGAACAACTGCTTATCTTCTCAGATGGCTGAAATGAAGATACTTTTTTTTTTTTTTTTTTTTTTTGAGATGGAGTCTCGCTCTGTTGCTCAGGTTGGAGTCCAGTGGCGTGATCTCGGCTCACGGCAACCTCTGCCTCCCGGGTTCAAGCGATTCTCCTGCTTCAGCCTCCTGAGTAGCTGGGATTACAGGTGTGTGTCAACACGCCCGGCTAATTTTTGTATTTTCAGTAGAGGTGGGGTTTCACCATGTTGACCAGGCTGGTCTTGAACTCCTGACCTCAAGTGATCCGCCTGCCTCAGCCTCCCAAAGTGCTGGGAGCCATTGCGTCCGGCCCCAGATGAAGAGACTTTAATGAAAGGACGACACCAGAGGATTGAGGGAGAAAACAAGGGATGCCGAGGTACCCATGGACATCTCAGAGCAGGAGGCTGTGACTCCCTGGGGGAAGGGCAGTGGGGCAGGTGTTTAGCGAGTCCCGGAGGGCGGGAGCAGCAGAGCTGTGCTGTGGAGGGCACAGCTGCTGCCTGTGACACAGCTCCCAGGAGGGAGAGAGCAGGGAAGGAACTTCACCCCACCTACCTCTCTCTCACCCTGCCACAGACCCCACTGGCCAAACCCAACCAGAGTCCAGTCAGCAAAGGAGTGACCAGGATCAGCCTCTCAGGGTACAGAGCACGGCAGAAATTAGTTCTGGGAGGCCAGGGGCAGTGGCTCACGCCTGTAATCCCCACTTTGGGAGGCTAAGACAGGAGGATCACTCGAGGCCAGGAGTTCGAGACCAGCCTGGGCAACATACGTGAGCCCCCCCATAATTGGTTCCGGGGTATGGAGAGGCAAGTGAAAGACAGATAGCATACCTGTTAGGTACCAAGTTTACAACTTTATACCTTAAAGTAAATCTGTGTTGTCACAGCTGCATCCCCACAGCACCTAGAATAGTGCTTGGCATACGTAGGCACTCAGTAAATATTTGTTGAGTGAATGAGCGAATGAGTTTGCCACCAATCAGGCCCAATCCAGGTGGAAACAGCCAAAGCAAATCTGAAAGGTTAAAATGACAATCGCTATAATGGCTACCATTTGTTGCATGTGTACTGAGGGTGTTGGGCGCCGGGTCTTACACCCTGTTGGCATCATCTCGTCATGTGCATCTGGTGCTGTGGGGCCTGTTATCCGTTTGCAGGTGAGGACATGAAGGCACAGAGAGATATGCGATTAGGGTCACACGGTTAAAAAGTGGCAGAGCTGGGACTTAAACCCGAGTTTGCCTGCTACAAATTCTGCTGTCTTAGTGCTGGATTCTGTTGCCCTGCCAGGGAGCATAACCTCGTGGGTGTGAGCAAGCCTCGATGAGATCGCGCTTGTGACGAGAATTCTAGAAGGTGATACGTTAACAAAAAATGAAGGTCGAATAGATCAATAAAGCAACACTGGGCCTCACGTGTATCAGTGAGAATGCTTTCAGCTGCAAGGAACAGGAACCCTGATTCAAAATGGATAAACAATAAGGAAAGGTATCCTGTAACCAAGAAGGCTGGAAGCAGGGGGATTCCAGGGTTGGTGAATTTAGCAGCTTGAGGATATCAGGACCCAAGTTTCTTTGCATTTGGTCCCGCTGTCATTTTTATTATTTTATTATTATTATTATTATTTTTTTTTTTTTTTTTGAGACGGAGTCTCACTCTGTCACCCAGGCTGGAGTGCAGTGGCGCAACTTTGGCTCACTGCAACCTCCGCCTCCTGGGTTCAAGTGATTCTCCTGCCTCAGCCTCCCTAGTAGCTGGGATTACAGGTGCCCACAACCACGCCTGGCTAATTTTTGTATTTTCAGTAGAGACAGGGTTTCACCATGTTGGTCAGGCTGGTCTCGAACTCCTGACCTCGTGATTCGCCCACCTCAGCCTCCCAGTGCTGGGATTACAGGTGTGAGCCACCACACCCGGCCTATTTTATTTTTATTTTTATTTATTTATTTATTTATTTTGAGATGGACCCTCGCTCTGTCACCCAGGCTGGAGTGCAGTGGCACAATCTCAGGTCACTGCAACCTCTGCCTCCTGGGTTCAAGCAGTTCTCCTGCCTCAGCCTCCCGAGTAGCTGGGATTACAGGTGCCTGCCACTGCCCCCAGCTAATTTTTGTATTTTTAGTAAAGATGGGGTTTCACCATGTTGGCCAGGCTGGCCTTGAACTCCCGACCTTGTGATCCACCCACCTCAGCCTCCCAAAGTGCTGGGATTACAGGTGTGAACCACCGTGACTGGCCTTATTTTTTTTTCTTTCTTTTTTTTTTTTGACACGGAGTCTAGCTCTGTTGCCCAGGCTGGAGTGCAGTGGTGCGATCTCTGCTCACTGCAAGCTCTGCCTCCTGGGTTCACGCCATTCTCCTGCCTCACCCTCCTGATTAGCTGGGATTACAGGTGCCCGCCACCACGCCTGGCTCATTTTTCGTATTTTTAGTAGAGACAGGGTTTCACCCTGTTAGCCAGGATGGTCTCGATCTCCTGACCTCATGATCCGCCCGCCTCGGCCTCCCAAAGTGCTGGGATTACAGGCATGAGCCACAGAGCCCAGTCTTATTATTATTATTTTTGAGATAGGGTCTTACTCTGTCACCCAGGCAGTGGCATGATCTCTGCTCACTGCAGCCTCAACCTCTCCAAGCTCAATCCATCCTCCCGCCTCAGCCTTCCAAGTAGCTGGACTGCAGGTGGCGCCATCAAGCCTCACTAATTTTTTGTATTTTTGATAGAGATGGGGTTTTGTCACATTGCCCAGGCTGGTCTCAAACTCCTGACCTCAGGTGATCCACCCACCTAAGCTTCCCAAAGTGCTGGGATTACAGGCATGAGCCACCAAGCCCGGCTTCACACAGCTGTTTTTATTTATTTATTTAATTTTTTTTTGAGATAGAGTCTCTCGCTCTGTCACCCAGGCTGGAGTGCAGTGGTGCGATCTCGGCTCACTGCAACCTCCACCTCCCTGATTCAAGCGATCTTCCTGCCTCAGCCTCCCAGGTAGCTGGGACTACAGGTGCACGCCACCACGCCTGGTTAATTTTTGTAATTTTTGGTAGAGTTGGCGTTTCACTGTGTTGGCCAGGCTGGTCTCAAACTCCTGGCCTCAAGTGATCTGACTGCCTAGGCCTCCCAAAGTGCTGGGATTACAGGCATGAGCCCGGCCTCACACAGCTGTTTTTAGAAGCTGGAGAATCTTTCCCAGAAGCCTCCAACAGACCACACCTCTTATCTCACTGCCCATTCCTAAATCAGTCACTGGCAAGGAGAAAGGAATTTCTCCAATTGCCATAGATTTTGTCATGATCCCCACATCCCCCACTCTGGGCTGGGGAAAGCCCAGCTTCTCCTGATGGTTCAATACCTGACCCAGGCAGGGCTTAGCAAGGAAGGAGGGCATGGGGGCTAGGGAGGGTGGCCCTGGGAATGGCCCTGGAGGTGGAGTCAGCGGGGTCTGTAGAGTCGAGAGGTTCCACACTTGTCTGGACATCTGGGCGTCAGAATGTGAAGGGCCTCGGGAACATGGACCTGGCGAGAGCAGGTGGCCGGCTCTGATCCCCAGGCAAGAGGGAGGTGTGCAGGGTGGTGCCCTCTGGGACCAGCTCAGTGCTCCATGCCTCCCCCAGCTGAAAGCTGGACATGTGTGAGGTTTCTGCCTTGCCACGAAGGTAACAAAGTTCTGCTTCTCTGGACATAATTGGAATCAGCAGGGGAGGATGATGGGTGAAAGGAAATGACAGGAACCTTCAGAGACAGCAGCTGTGTCACCTGAGAAGGGTTAGCAGCACAGGCTGGGGTCACCGGGCACAGCTGGACGTGCTCCCTCAACTTCAGGAGAGTGGATTGTGGATGGTGTGTCCAGAGTCTCCCGGGAGGGAAGATGACCCGAGAGGATTTTAGAAAGCACATGTTGCAGAAGTGGTCTCCATGAAGAAGCGGGACGGGGACGAGGCATCCCCATAAACTGGTGAAGCTGGATGTCTAAAGGTCTTGCACTGGCTGTTGGGGGGAGAAGGGGTACCTCAACTGGGTGAAGGCACATCACCTGCCTGAATACAGAAGCCAGGTGGTGGTGCCGGAAGACAAGTGTTCCCAAGACCAAAACTTGGAATAGAATGAGGCTCTTGAAAAATGCTGAAGGGGTAGGAGCAGAAAAAGCAGCTTTTACCTAGAAAGATCAGTTCAGAGGGAAAAGGACAACCGGGGAGAATCAGCACCTTGCCGGGGGACATGGTGAGGTGTGAAGAGACATCAGGGGGAACTGGGCAGTGCTTCCCTCTCACCTGGCTTTGGGGGAAAGAACTTTAAATGGGAAAGGCTAGAGCAGAGGAGAGGCAGGACTGAGCCCAAGGTAAGTGACACAGTGGTCAGAGAGCCTCTGGTTCCCGTTGGATGAGTTTGTCTCCAGGCCCAGGTACTGGGGGCACAGAGAGGGCAGGGGCCATGCCTGACACATGCTGAGGACTGCGTGAATCTGACGACCCTGTGGCTGGGCCCTGGACCCCCTAGAACTCCCTTGAGTAATGGATGAGCAGAGGAGAGGGGTTAGAAAACCCAAACAGGGCCAGGCGCGGTGGTTCACGCCTGTAATCCCAACACTTTGGGAGGCCGAGGTGGGCAGATCACCTGAGGTGGGGAGTTTGAGACCAACCTGACCAACGTGGAGAAACCTCGTCTTACTAAAAACACAAAATTAGCCGGGCGTGGTGGCGCATGCCTGTAATTCCAGCTACTCGGGAGGCTGAGGCAGGAGAATCGCTTGAACCCGGGAGGCGGAGGTTGCCGTGAGCCAAGATTGCGCCATTGTACTCCAGCCTGGACAACAAGAGCAAAAGTCCATCTCAAAAAAAAAAAAAAAAGAAAGAAAAAGAAAACCCAAATGGGGAATTTTCGCTTTAACTTAAATAAATAAATAACAAAACAAACAAACAAACAAAAAAACAGGGCCTCATTCTGTCACCCAGGCTGGAGTGCAGTGGTGCAGTCATGGCTCACTGCCACTTCCACCTCCTGAGCTCAGGCCATTCTCCCACCTCAGCCTCCAGAGAAGCTGGAACCACAGGCACACACCATCACACTCAGCTATTTAAAAAAAATTTTTTTTTTAGTAGAGACGAGGTCTCGCCATGTTACCCAGGCTGGTCTTGACTTCCTGGGCTCAAGCAATCCTGCCTCAGCCTCCTGAAGTGCTGGGATTACAGGTGTGAGCCACCACACCCGGCCCTTGTTTTGATTCTCATAAAAGGGAAATGTAGATGGCAAACTACACTGTAGTGAGCAAAACCCAGGTGAATCGTGGAACCAACCATCTGTGCACCTGTAAAGGAGAAATGGTGATTGCAGCCAGCGCTGGTTCTTTACTGTGAGCTGGGCAGGCTGCTGGAGACAGGGCTTGCTTTAGACTCTAGCTTCTCCTCTGCAAGGCATCTGAGAAAACTCCGTAGCAGCAGGGTGATAGTAGAGGGAAGTGAAGGACCCTGCCCAGACCTAACCTCAGGGTGGTCTCTGGTGACTCGCCACAGCGCCCTGTCTTATCTTTTGGATCTTTTTTTAAATCTGGGTGATTCAGTTCTCACACTAGTAGCTAAGCAAGGCCAGGAGGGACAGTGGGTACAATTACAAGGAGAAACCTGGGTCTGTGTAGCCTTAATCCAGTGGATCTCAAAGGTAAGTGTGCAGCAGAGGCACCTGGGGCACCTGCTTAAAATGCACATTCATGAGCCCACACAAGAGATGGATTCTGGAGGGGAGCCCAGGAATCTGCATTCACGATGCATGCCAGAGGGTGGCCCCTGGAGGTGATGAGGTAATGCACGTAGCTCTCAAACCGCACTTTGGAGACCGCAGCTGCAGAGGAAAAGCCTCCAGGACCGGTGGAGTTGCGGGAGTCCACCGAAGGTGGGAGGAGGATGAGGGGTCAGTTCTGACCACTAGAACTGACCAGTGAGGGCAGGACAAGTCATGAGGGAGTAGCCTCCTGTTACCAACTGGGGCGACAAGTGCTTGCAGGGCATGCAGTGGGGCCTCCTGCACTGGGCGGGAGGCTGGTGCGGCAGCGCCTTCTTCTCAGATTTCCAGGTGGTGGTGGTGGTGGTGGTGGACGGGGTCTTTGAAGTGTTTATTCCCCCCTGGGAGGATAAGCCCCCTCCTCTGTTGCCACCAGGATGAAGCTGGAAGGGGCTCTGGCTGTACAGCGGGCCATTTGGGACTAGGAGCCTTTCCCCACCCTGACCCCCGTCCCCCGCAGGGCTTGTGCCCCTGTCCCAGCTAATGTTTCACTTCTTCCTCCCCTCCCCTGCCCTCCCCCACCCCCACCTCCCCATCTGCCCATCCTGGGCGCGGCCTCTTCTGTGCTTCTCTGGTCGCTCTGCTTCTCTCTCTGCTCTCAGTAACTATGGGCCTGCCCTCTGACCACCCAGGCCCTTTGTCCAACCTCGTGCCCCCTCCCCCCCCTTTTCTGCCCCCACCCCTCCACCATTCAAGGGACCCCTCTCTCCAGATGCCCCTCTGGCTTCTTCCTTTTGCAGTTAATTTCCTTGGATTTGTGGAGGTTTTCCACTTTTAAAACTTCAGCTGGGGGCCAGCATGGAGGCGCTCCCTTCCGCTCTCTGACCCCTGACCCCTGTTTTTGTTCCAGGCCACTAAACCATCTAAAGAGATGAGCGGGTCGAATGAGACCTCGAGCCCAGTCTCAGAAAAGCCCTCGGCTTCCAGAACCTCTATCCCTGTATTGACTTCCTTTGGGGCAAGGAATTCTTCCATCTCCTTCTAGAAGCCCCTCACCCCGCTGCCCCGCCTGTCCCCCTCCCTCACTCCTGCCATTTCTCCCCTCTCTTCCTTCATCTCCACCCCACCCCACCCTACTCTCCAGACGCCCTGAGGGGTGTGCCCTGAAGAGGAGGGTGCGGCCCTCCTCAGCGACCCCTACCCATCATCTGTTGGTGTTTTTGGTTTTGTTTTTTTTTTTTTTTTTAACAATTAACTTTTAATTATCTTTTTTTAAACAGTAAAACTAAAAACCAAACACACCACCTTCCTTGATCCCAGCTGGCCTCTCGCTGGCCGCACCTGTCACATCTCTCCTTCTTCTCTTTCACCACTCTTTCCCCCAGTCCATCCTGAAGCTCCTGCACCCCCTTCCCGCCTTCCCCTCACTTCCCAAGAATACTCCAAACAAACTCTGAACCACGGAGACTTGGAGCAGTGGGAGACCCCTCTCCCGTTTCTCGATACCTTCCTGGAGGAACGCGGGGACATCGGACCAACCCATACATCAAGCCAGAGAGCGGGGCTTAGGGAGACTGGCCTTGGAGATGCCCCACTCCCTGTCTAAGCTCCGACAAGACTGTGACTTCCTCTGTGGCTGCTCTGCCTCCTCCCACTCACACCCAAGTGGGCCTGGAGTAGAGACGGACAGGCTGGAGACGAGGCCGGAGTTTGAGAGGCCTCAGGGTGGGTGTGAGGCCATGGAGTCTGTATCCCTGGGGAGGCGCTGGCCTCCTGGGCCTTGCCGTCCAGTGGGGAGTGGAGGGCAGAGGCCCTTTGGTCTGCTGGCTGTGGAGGGTGGGTTGCACGGACAGCCGGATATCGGGGACACTGCCTTGGGAGAGGGCGGCCCGGACGGGTATTTGGTACTTTTAGTTTCCTGATTTAGCACTTTAAATGGCATTAACTTATTGAATGGGGATGGGGTGGGCAAGAGTGAGGGGCCTAGAAAACCAGGTTTTGTGGCTTGCAGTTGGGGGAAGGGTCTGGTTTGAGGGAAATGGGAGGGTCGAGAGGGGCTTGACGGGGAGCACTGAAGACACCTGGGACCCGCAGGTGGGGTGACTTGAACTTCAGTCATCCTCTTGGCAATTTGAGGGTTTTCCCAGGAAAGGATGAGACGTAGTTTTTCAATGGGGCTCTGGTGACCCTGGTGAGATGTCTGAAGGTCCCTGAGGCCTGACCATCCAGCCAGCGCCCCTGGCCTGTGGACGCCCTGCCTGCCCTGCAGAGGCGGTTGGCAGTGCCGCCTGGCTTTTGGCCGGGTCCTGGGGAGGCAGAGAGAGGCCAATTTTGGTTCTCACTCCTGGCCCCCCAGAGGGCACAGTGAGGAGCCGGTAGGGAGAGGATAGGAGAAGAGGAGGAGGAGGAGCGGGGTCCCCGGCCGCAGGATTCCCACTTGGAGCACAAAGTGAAGTAAGCACAGGGGAGGGGGACTAGAATCAGTCCCCCATAGCAAGCACAGAAAGGAGGAGCTGCGCAGAAGGCAGAGCCCCCCAGACCCTGGGGCCTGGCTGGGGAAGGTCCGCACCTGGGGAGAGCTGGGAGCTGTTGAAGGTTTGGGGGGAGGGGAAACGGGTTGTGTTTCTTCATTTCTTTTTTTGTTTTTGCCTTTGTTGGTTCATCCTTGTTTTCTAGCTTTGGATCATTTTTGTACCAAGGCGAGCAAGCCTTTTTGAAAAATAACAAAAGAGGAAAAAAAAAATCCCTCCTGGAAAAAAAAAAAAACCCTGGAAAATAGAAAAAAAAAAAAGGACCTCATAAATGATGCAATTACTTTTAATTGCAGGCAACTCTTTACATTTAAGTGAAGTGTCTTAACATTTTATATTGTTTTAAAAATATATTTACATATTATATATATAATATACGTAATATAAATATATATAAATATTTAAAAAAGAAAAAAAAAAGAAAACCACGGCACTCTCCCTGGCCACTGTTTTGGCGGGGGAGGGGGGCTGGGGGGCGGGCACGTCGGCCTGGCTTCTGTGGTCCCAGTGAAATGGTCTGGTTTGATTTGGCTGTACAGAGACCCCCTGACTTGGGAGGGGAGGGGGGAGTGGTGCCCCCTCCTCCCTCCACTCCATTACTCTCTGCTTGCTACTTCGCTTGCCCCCAGCTCCCACCCTCAGCCCTGTGACTGGAATGTGTGCCCCACCGTCATTGTCCTGAGTTGAATGTCCCTTTGTGGGGGAGGTGGGGGGGGCAGTGTCCATCCACGAAGGGGCAGAAGGAGGGAGCCACGTGCCCCGCCCCACCCGCTCGGGTGAAGCCCAGTGGGATTTGCATCTTTCTTTCTCTTTGGTTCCTGCACATTTATGGGCTGGGAGGCATCCGTGTGGAATTGCGTGCAGCCTGTGTGTGTGCTGGCACAAGCCCATGCACTGTGTGTGCAGACGCATGGGGCCTGCACCCACAGGCATGGCCGAGCACATGTGTGGGGGAAGGCGTGGGCACATAGGTGCATGTAACCTGTTTGGGCATTGGCACGTGCCTACCTGCATGTTAGCGTGAGAGGAGCTTTGTGTGTGAGAACATGTGTAATGTGTGTGCAGACATGCCGAGAGCCAGAGACTTGTGTGTGGGCCACGTACATGTGGATAGAGACGCATACATGGAGGTGCATGTAATCTGTGTCTCCGAGTGTGTGTGTGCAGGTATGTGTGCTGGTGCAGACCCAAGTGTGTGGGTGTGCCTCTGTGTGCGTGTGTTCCATCATCCCTGCACCACTGGCTCCAGATCCCTTCCTGAGCCCCCGTCCCCGCTGGCCCTCTCACAGCCTGCAGCACATCAGTGCCCCCAGCTGCATGCGCCTCGCTGCTCTGTCCATCAGTGTGTGCTTGACCAAGAGAAAACTAAGACGTCTCGGGGGACCCCTGTACCTGGTCCTCTCAGCCCCCGCCCACTGTGCTGTGTTACTCGCATGGGGGATTTCCTGCCCCTTCCACAATATGCTGTTTCCCCAGGAGCCTCAGGCCTGAGGCTCTGAGTGGGGTCCCCAGGGGGCCCCCCGGGGTGAGCCCCGGCTCCACACCCTGCCCCATCCACCCTGTAGGGCCCATGTTGGTGTAGCAGTGATGGCTTCTGTGGATATTCTGTGACCTCTGTCGGTGTAACTTGACAATTTCTAAATGGAAAAGGGTTGCTGTGTTTTCTCTGTCTCTCTTTTTTAATGTCCTTTTTTCTTCTCCCCCGCTCCCTGCTCTCTTTCCTTTTCAGTTTTTCTAGCCAAGTGTTTGGGGCTTTAATAAAACTTGTTTCTTTTTCCTCTCCTGGATCTCCTTCCTATAGGCTGATGTCTCATTATTTCTCTGCTTCACCCTGGAGGATCTGGAAGGTGCTGGGATGGGTGGGGTGGCAGGTGGGGAATCCCTGGCAGCCACTGGCCTTCAGCTGGCAGAGCATGAGGGGGAGGACAGAACAGGGCCCCTGGGATTAGCCAGGTGGGGTGGTGTACACCAGTAATCCCAGCTACTCGGGTGGCTGAGGCATGAGAATCGCTTGAACCCAGGAGGTGGAGGTTGCAGTGAGCCAAGATCGCACCACTGCGCTCCAGCCTGGATGACAGAGCGAGAACCTGTCTCAAAAAACAAAAACAAAACAAAAAAAACCAGTTCTCAGCTTGGCATTCCAGGAGGTGTCCTGCCTAACCCTCACAACCATCGGTGAGGTAGCTACCGGCACTACCTACTCAGGCAAGTGACAAAACTCAGAGATGTTGGGCATCTTACCCAGAGTCATACAACTGGTAGGTTGTAGACAAACCAGTAAGTTTGAATCCAGCTCTGCCTGACACCAAAGCCCACGGTTACCCTGAAACCAAGCAGGGCTGATGACCTCCAGTAGTCCCCTGAATTGGGTCTCAGCCTCCTGCCCTTTGAGTGAGATGACCCTTGGTGGGGGTCCACCCATCTTTTCTTTCTTTTCTTTTTTTTAGACGGGGTCTCCCTCTGTCACCCAGGCTGGAGTGCATGATTACAGCTCACTATAGCCTCAACTTCCCTGGGCTCAGGTAATTGTCCCATCTCAGCCTCCCAAGTAGCTGGGACTACAGGTGCCTGCCACCACACCTGGCTACATTTTTTTGTATTTTTTGTAGAGATGAGGTTTCGCCATGTTGCCCAGGCTGGTCTCGAACTCCTGAGCTCAAGTGATCTGCCCACCTCGGCCTTCCAAAGTGCTGGGATTACAGGCGTGAACCACCGAGCCCGGCCACAAACATCTTTTCTAGATGCAGCAGCTTTCAAACCCGTAAAGTGGTAACAATACAAAATGCATTTGACACCTCTATGCTTTAGGTATGTACACACATATGCACAAACAGCCACAGCAAAGCAGCACCTGCTACACAGAGCACCATGGTGTATGCCATGGGTCCTGATTGGGTTTTACAGGCTTTCCCGGAATTCTGAAGGCTGTGCCACTGTTCCAGCATGTTCTAAGAGTCCCCGAGGCAGCCTTCCAGCTGTTCTGCGTGGCTGAGGGCTGGCATGTTACTGAATCTCTTCTCCCCCCTCAGCATCACTTCACTTCCATCCCTGAAGGTAGTGACTGTGTCCTGGAGCCACAATCTTCCAGTCATCACAGGGGCCCCAGTTGCGCTTCCTTCTCTTAAAGACCTCTTTGGAGACAGAGGGCAGCAACCTGCCTACTGTCTGCAGGGAATGCCCCTCCATGAGTCACCCACCCACCAAAGCCCAGCAACCCTTGAGACTCACAGAAAGCCAGTCCTCAGCCTGCCCGTAGCCCATCCCTATGTCCTTTTTAGAATGTCGGCAGATCTTGCCTTCTCTCTGCCATCCTATTCCCCAAAAACTGGGAGAGGAGCCAAAAAACCCCCTCTCCCAGAATCACTGCACTCATGACAGTTCAAGATCAAGTAACAAACGGAACCATCCGCTGCACGCCTGGAAGGAGGCAGGCACTCATTCACCCGCCAGATGCCTATCCAGGATGCACTCCCTGTGAGGCGCTGCTCGTCCACTCCTTGGGGCTGGGGCTCTGTCTGGCGGGAGAGCTGCCAGGACAGCCAGCAGACAGAACACAGACACCCGAGCTCAACCAAGGCAGGTGCTGGGAGAACACAAAAAAGAGGCACAGTGGCAGATGTGGCGGGGAGTAGCAGGGTCAGTCACATTTGAGAGGAGACCTTGTGGGTGGGTGAGGAGTGGGCTTTGGGGGCGCTGGTGGCTGAGGGTCCCAGGCACAAGGCCCTGGGTGGGACGTAACCAGTGGGTTCTGGAAAATGAAGGAAATCCAAGAAGAGTGAGGAGGGGAAAGTGCAGCGTGGTGGGCAGAAGCCCCCTCATGTGAGGCCTTATGGGCTGTGGTAAGGAAGGTGCCATGGAAAACAATAGGAGGGTTTAAAGTAAGAAAGTGTCATGAACTGACATGTTGTTTCAGAAGTTGTCTCAGAGTGGGCTGGACGTGGTGGCTCACGCCTGTAATCCCAGCACTTAGGGAGGCTGAGGCGGGCAGATTACAAGGTCAGGAGTTCGAGACCAGCCTGGCCAACATGGTGAAACCCGGTCTCTACTAAAAATACAAAAATTAGCTGGGTGTGGTGGCAGGCACCTGTAATCCCAGCTACTGGGGAGGCTGAGGCAGGAGAATCACTTGAACCCGGGAGGCAGAGGTTGCAGTGAGCCAAGATCATGGCATTGCACTCCAGCCTGGGCGACAAGAATGAGACTCTGTCTCAAAAAAAAAAAAAAAAAAAAAGTTAATCAGAGTGGCATGCACCTGCGGTTCCAGCTACTGGGGAGGCTGAGGTGGGAGGATTGCTTGAGGCCAGGAGTTTGAAGTTTCAGTGAGCTATGATGGCATCACTGCACTCCAGTGTGGGTGACCGAGGGACACCCTGTCTCAAATACAATACTGCCTACTGTCTGCAGGGAATGCCCCTCCGTGAGTCACCCACCCACCAAAGCCCAGCAACCCTTGAGATTACAGAAAGCCAGTCCCCAGCCCTGTCTCAAAAATGAAAAATAGGCCTGGCGCGGTGGCTCATGCCTGTAATCCCAGCACTTTGGGAGGCAGAAGCGGGCAGATCACGAGGTCAGGAGATCGAGACCATCCTGGCTAACACAGTGAAACCCTGTCTCTACTGAAAATACAAAAAAATTAGCCGGGCGTGGTGGCGGGCGCCTGTAGTTCCAGCTACTCGGGAGGCTGAGGCAGGAGAATGGCATGAACCCGGGAGGCGGAGCTTGCAGTGAGCCGAGATCGCGCCACTGCACTCCAGCCTGGGTGACAGAGTGAGACTCCGTCTCAAAAGAAAAAAAAAAAGAAAAACCGGAACTTATCCCTCCCAATAGCCATGCTTTATTAATGTTTTATAATACTAATTGCTACCATTTATGGAGAGTTCGTTAATCTTCTAACAACCCAGACAATAGATATTATTACCTCTGTGCTATCAGTGGGGAAGGTTGACTCTGGCCAAGATTTGAGCGCGATCTGACTGCCTTCAGAGCTCAGGTTCCTGATGGAGAGGAGGCAGGCGCTACTTGACGTGTAGTGGTCGGGGAAGCCCTCGGCTTCTCTCCTTCACTGTCTGCACATCCTCTCTTGGCCCCCCTGGGCATTTTCTGACTGTTTGATCATTGAGTGGCTTAAGTGGTCCCTGAGCTCAGAGTGACAGAGCACGATCCACAGGATGGGGGCCTGGGGCTAGTGGCATCTGTGCCCCTTAACTGAGAACAGGCTTCCTCGAAGCTCACTGGTGCTGACTGGCTGATACCACTCATAATGGCACACCTGGCAGGGGGATCCCTCCATCCCCTCCCCTTTGTCATCGTTCCAGAAATCTTCACTCAAAATCTCAGCCTGTGTTTTAGTTCAGGGTGACAATCATGCTGCCTCTCCATGTCCATACTAGAAGGGCAGGGAAAAATCTCTATTCCTTTCACCTAAGCCCTCATAGATTTGGAGTTTTCCCAAAGAAATGTTTCCTGCCGGGCGCAGTGGCTCACGCCTGTAATCCCAGCACTTTGGGAGGCCGAGGCAGGTGGATCACGAGGTCAGGGGTTCGAGACCAGCCTGACCAACATGGTGAAACCCCGTCTCTACTAAAAATACAAAAATTAGCTGGGCGTGGTGGCGGGCGCCTGTAATCCCAGCTACTCAGGAGGCTGAGGCAAGAGAATTGCTTGAACCCGGGAGGCGGAGGTTGCAGTGAGCCGAGATTGCACCACTGCACTCCAGCCTGGGTGACAGAGCAAGACTCTGTCTAAAAAAAAGAAAAAAAAAAAAGTTTCCTATGAAATATATCAAACCCCACTGGAAGCCAGGCACAGTGGCTCATGCCTGTAATCCCAGCACTTTGGGAGGCCAAGGCGGGCGGATCACGAGGTCAAGAGATCGAGACCATCCTGGCCAACATGGTGAAACCCCGTCTCTACTACAAATACAAAAAATTAGCTGGGTGTGGTGGCGCATGCCTGTAGTACCGGCTACTCGGGAGGCTGAGGCAGGAGAATCGCTTGAAACTGGAAGGCGGAGGTTGCAGTGAGCTGAGATCACGCCACTGCACTCCAGTCTGGGCAACAAAAACGAAACTCCATCTCCAAAAAAAAAAACCCCCACTGGATAGGCAGAGCAAGTTTTACTGTATTTTATTTATCCTATTTTATTTTTCTGAGACAAGGTCTTGCTCTGTCACCCACACTGGAGTGCAGTGGCGCCATCATAACACACTGCAACCTCAAACTCCTGGGCACAAGGGATCCTCTGGCCTCAGCCTCCTGAGTAGCTGGGACTACAGGTGCAAGTCACAACCCCTGGCTAATTTTTCAATTTTTGCAGAGACAGAGTTACCAAGGCTTATTTTGAACTGCTAGACTCAAGTGATCCTCCTGCCTTAGTCTCCCAGAGTGTTGGGATTACAGGCGTGAGCCAGCAAGCCTGGCCTAGAGCAAGTTTTAGAGTACAGTTTGTTATTGTTTGTATGGCTGCTTTTTTTTTCTTTTCTTTTTTTTTTTTTTTTTTTTTACAGAGTCTCACTCTGTTGCCCAGGCTGGAGTGCAGTGGCACAATCTCAGCTCACTGCAACCTCCGCCTCCTGGATTCAAGCAATTTTCCCGCCTTAGCCTCCTGAGTAACTGGGACTAGAGGCAGGTACCACCACGCCCAGCTAATTTTTGTATTTTTAGTAGAGACGAGGTTTCACCATGTGGGCCAGGCTGGTCTTAAACTCCTGACCTCAAGTGATTTGCCCAACTCAGCCTCCCAAAGTGCTGGGATTACAGGCACGAGCTACCACGACCGACCTGTTATGGCTTTTTTAAATTATTTATTTATTTATTTATTTATTTATTTGTTCAAGACAGGGTCTTGTTCTGTCACCAGGGTTAGAATGCAGTAGTACTATCTCGGCTCACTGCAGCCTCGACCTCCTGGATTCAAGCAGACCTCCCACTTCAGCCTCCAGAGTAGCTAGGACTACAGGTATGTGCAACCATGCCTGGTCAATTTTAGTTTTTTGTACAGCCCAGGTCTCAGTATATTGCCCAGGCTGGTCTCAAACTACTGGGCTCAAGTGATCCTCCCACTTCCACCTTCCAAAGTGCTGGGATTACAGACGTGAGTCACCATGCTTGGCCTGTTACACGGCTTTATTGAGATTTATTTCACATACCACAAAATGCACCCTTTTAAAGTCTACAGTTCAGTGATTTTTAGTATATTCACAGATATGTGTGACCATCACCACAATCGAACTTTAGATTATTTCAACTCCCCGAACCCTGACCACTTGACAGTCATTCCCCATTCCTGCACCCTCCTCTCTGCCACCTACCTCCTCACCCCGACCCACAGCCCTAGGGAATTAGTAATTTACTTTCTATCTGTATGGATTTCCCATTGCAGACACTTCCCACAAATGGAGTTATACAACATGTCGTCTTTTGTGACAATCTTCTTTCTACATGTTTCCAAAATTCATCTATGTTGTAGCATGTATCAGTACTGATGCAGGGCAGACAAGCCCCCAAATTGGGGTTTAGCAGAGGAGGATTCTTGGTTTTGTCCGGGAAATAATTCAAGGGTGAGCCGGTGGTGTTAGACAGCAGCTTTTATTGAAGCGACAGTGCACAGCAGCAGAGGTGCTGTTCCTTGTGGAGCGGGGCTACCCCACAGGCCTTGTGCTCAGAGTAGCAGCTCAGAGGTGGGTCTGCACTCATAGTTATACCCACTTTTAATTGTATGCAAATTAAGGGGTAGATTGTGCAGAAATTTGTAGGAAAATTTTGGTAACTTTTGGGTCATTGGGTCGTTGCCATGGAAAGGGGTGGTAATTTCTGGCTGTTGCCGTGGCAATGGTAAACTGAAATGCTGCACTGGTAGGTGTGTCTTATGGAGACCTGCTTCCACTCCATCTTTGTTTTAGCTAGTTCTCAATTTGGTCCAGTGTCCAAGAACTGACTCTGGAGTCGAGTCCCACCTCCTACCTCAGTATTTCATTCTTTTTTTTTTCTTTTTTTCTTTTTTTTTTTTTTTGAGACAGAGTCTCTCTCTGATGCCTAGGCTGGAGTGCAATGGCATGATCTCGGCTCACTGCAACCTCTGCCTCCCAGGCTCAAGCGAGTCTCCTATCTCACCCTCCCGACTGCAAGTCGGGACTTGTAGCTGGGACTACAAGTGTGTGCCAGCATGCCCGGCTAACTTTTGTATTTTTAGTGGAGAAGGGGTTTCACCATGTTGGTCAGGCTGGTCTTGAACTTTTGACCTCAAGTGATCCACCCACTTTGGCCTTCCAAAGTGCTGGGATTACAGGCATGAGTCACCGCGCCCAGACTGAATAATTTTCTCTTGTATGGATATATCATATTTTACTTATCCATTCATCAGTTGATGGATATTTAGGTTGTCAGTACATGAACATTTGTGTACAAGTTTTTTTTTGTGTGTTGACATATGTTTCAGCTCTCTTGAGTATATCCTAAGGAATAGAATTGCTGGGTTTTACAATAACTCTAGGTTTAACATTTTGAGGAGCTGCCAAACTGTTTTCCAAAGTGGCTGCCCCACCAGCCATGTAATAAGCATTCTAATTTCTCCACATTCAACACTTGTTATTGTCTGTTTTTTTACTGCAGCCACCCTAATGTGTATGAAGAGGTAGCTTATGGTTTTGATTTGTATTCCCATGATGACTACTGATGTTGAAAATCTTGGCCGGGAGCGGTGGCTTATGCCTGTAATCCCAGCACTTTGGGAGGCTGAGGCAGGCGGATCACGAGGTCAGGAGATCGAGACCATCCTGGCTAACAGTGAAACCCCATCTCTACCAAAAATACAAAAAAATTAGCCGAGCATGGTGGCGGGCGCCTGTAGTCCCAGCTACTCGGGAGGCTGAGGCAGGAGAATGGCGTGAACCCGGGAGGCGGAGCTTGCGGTGAACCACTGCACTCCAGCCTGGGTAACAGAGCGAGACTCCATCTCAAAAAAAAAAAAAAGAAAATATTTTCAAGTATATAATAGCTATTGGCATATCTTCTTTGGATAAATGTCTTCAGATCCTTTGCTTATTTTTATCCAAATTGGGTTGTCTTTTTATTGTTGAATTTTATTGTTCTTTATATATTCTAGATATGAGTCCCTTGTCAAATATATGATTTGCAAATGTTTTCTCCCACCGGGTGTGGTGGTGCATGCCTATAATCCCAGCTCAGGAGGATCACTTGAGCCCAGGAGGTCGAGGTTATGGTGAGCCATGATCATACTGCTGCATTCCAACTGGAGCCACAGAGTGAGTCCCTGTCTCAGGAAAAAACACACACACACACACACACACTTTTTTTCTTCCATCCAATGATTGGTTGTCTTTTCACTTTCCTAATAGTATCCTTTGACACACACAGTTTTTAATTTTTATGAAGTCCAATCTATCAATTTTTTTTCTTTTATAGCTTGTGCTTTTGGTGTCGCAGCTAGAAGATCCTCACACCTCAGCCTCCCAAGTAGCTGGGACTACAGGCATACACCACCATACCTCGCTAATTAAAAATTTTTTTTTGCCTGCGCATGGTGGCTCATGCCTATAATCCTAGCACTTTGGGAGGCTGAGGTGGGCAGACCACTTGAGGTCAGGAGTTTGAGACCAGCCTGGCCAACATGGTGAAACCCCGTCTCTACTAAAAATATAAAAATTAGCAAGGCGTGGTGGTGGGCGCCTGTAATCCCAGCTACTTGGGAGGC